>NC_000016.10:21516789-21819819 GCF_000001405.40 Homo sapiens
TGCCTGTAATCCTAGCAAATTGGGAGGCTGAGGCACATGCCTGTAATCTAAGCTCCCGGAGGTTGAGGCAGGAGAATTGCTTAAAACCAGGAAGCAGAGGTTGCAGTGAGCAACGAGCCTGGGCGACAGAGACAGACTCTGTCTCAAAACAAAAACAAAAACAAAAAACAAAAAACCACATAACCTTTTCCCATTTGCACAAAGCTGGGAAACCCCAAATGCCCTCCACAGGGGTCTACGGGGGGTCGGGGGGTGGGGGCGGTGAGCACACTTGTTCCTGCCGACACAGGGAAGTCTTCTTAGCAGCTAAAGAGGGCAGCCTCTGCGTACTGCCTGGGAACATGGCAAAACCATTTTAGGCTTAAAAAAAAGGTGGAGAACAAGTTGTACATTATGATCTTTTAAATAAATAGGCCAGCGATATATTTGTAACAGAAGCAGCTCTGGAAGCGTACACTGTCAGCCACAGAAACTCTGGGGCTGGGGGGTGGTAAAGGAGGAGAAATGTGTCACCCAGGCAGGAGCTTAGTGGCACCATCTTGGCTCCCAAGTTCAAGCAGTTCTCCTGCCTCAGCCTCCGAGTAGCTGGGACTACAGGTGTGCGCCGTCACGCCCAGCTGATTTTTGCTTTTTTTTTTTGAGACAGAGTTTCGCCTTGTTGCCCAAGCTGGAGTGCAGTGGTGCGATCTCAGCTCACTGCAACCTCCACCTCCTGGGTTCTAGTGATTCTCCTGCCACAGCTTCCCGAGTAGCTGGGATTACAGGCATCTGCCACCACGCCTGGCTAATTTTTTGTATTTTTAGTAGAGATGGGGTTTCCCCATGTTGGCCAGGCTGGTCTCGAACTCCTGACTTCAGGTGATCCGCCTGCCTCGGCCTCCCAAAGTGCTGGGATTACAGGCATGAGCCACAGTGCCTGGCTGGTTTGAATTTTTAAATGATGATGAATTCATGTATGACTGATGTGATTTTTATTAGAAAGAGAAAACTAGGCAGCGCCCCATCCTATGTCTCCTTCCTGGTGGCCAATGAAGCATTTCCCACAACTCACTCCTGGCACCAACAGGAAGTCAGACACTCAGCACCCAGGGGCTGCTTTTTTTTTTTTTTTTTTTTTTTTTGAGACAGGCTTGCTCTGTCACCCAGGCTGGAGTGCAGTGGCAGGATCTCAACTCACTGCAAACTCCACGTCCCGGAGCATGCCTCAGACTCATAAGTAGCTGGGATTACAGGCGTGAGCCACTATGCTCAGCTAATTTTTGTATTTTTAGTAGAGATGGGGTTTCACCATGTTGGTCAGGCTGGTCTCGGACTCCTGACCTCGGTAGATCTGCCTGTCTTGGCCTCCCATAGTGCTGGGATTATAGACGTGGGCCATCACACCCAGCCAACAGGGATTCATTTTTTAAAGGTAAGAGTGCAGGCTGCATAAGCTATTATCCATGTCGTTACATACCAGGCGGGCATGTACCTAGGCGAGAGGGAGACTGAACCAGTGAAATTCTAATGACAAAAAAAAGAAATCAGTCATCCCCTACATTCACATGTCCAACGCCCAGCTGGAAGCCACAGGCTCTCCCCACTCCTGTCCTACGATTTTTCCCGGCTTTGACCTGCATGGTGGTGCGGCTGCTCCGCTCAGAGCCTCAGAGAAACCACACAGAGCCCTGCTGAGTCTTGCCCTCGGGGCATTCTCACATTTATGAAGAAATGCCTCCCCCTCCCCCTTCTCCCCAAAGTACGGTGTGGCAGAAAACAGCGCCAACAGGTCCTGCCAGTCAGAAGCCACTCCCCTGATTTCATGGCTCAAGACCCCAACTATAAATTAACCCTTCCCACCTTGAATGTGTACACACACTACTGAGATCCAGGCCGATCCTTGCCATGGGATGAACCTGAGAATTGCCAAGACCCGCCTTCCCACGCCACCCAACCAAATCATGTGGTATCTGGTACAAGTCATTTTCCCCCTGAAATCCCACAAGAAAACTATTTTGAGGCCGGGCACGGCGGCTCACGCCTGTAATCCCAGCACTTTGGGAGGCCGAGGCGGGCGGATCACAAGGTCAGGAGATCGAGACCATCCTGGCTAACACGGTGAAACCCCGTCTCTACTAAAAATACAAAAAAAATTAGCCGGGCGTAGTGGCGGGCGCCTGTAGCCCCAGCTACTCGGAAGGCTGAGGCAGGAGAATGGCGTGAACCCGGGAGGCGGGGCTTGCAGTGAGCCGAGATCGCGCCACTGCACTCCAGCCAGGGCGACAGAGTGAGACTCCATCTCAAAAAAAAAAAGAAAAGAAAAGAAAACTATTTTGAAAAGCAGTTCTCTCTGGCCTGGTGAAGAACACACCAGCACCATGCCCACCAAAATAGGAGCCCCATGGCTGTTTCCCAGAGTAACCTGGGACCCGAACCTCCATTCACTGTAACACAGACTGAATCTGCAGCCAAGCTCCGCTCTCTCACTACTGGGCAACCCTCAGGGGGGATCCCTTAGCCTAAACCAGCACCAGTCACTACCCGCACACGATTTTATTACTACTGTTTTCTTATGAGTCAGCCCGTGTCACTGATTCCTGACGAGCTGGTGTGGAGAGCAGAAATGAATAATTTTCTTTTTAACTGCAATTTCGTTTTCACCAACCAGTCAGCAATCGGAGCTTTAACAATAAACCGGTTGCTCAGTTACTCCACGTGGGTGCCACGCAAGAGGCTGGGAGTATTGCTCAGCGGGGCCAACGGGAGGCTGGCACTTGCCTGAACCGCTTAAGTGGGGGAATGAAATGCCCACCGAAGGGCAGGGCAGGGACCCTGCTGTCCCGTCACTGAAGATATTCCCAGCCTGTGGGGAGAAGTGTAAAAGAATGAATGAAAGAAACGCACTTGGTTTCTGGGACCAATGACCTTAGCCTAGAACTGCCGGGACGGTCCAGGAACGCAAAAATGTAGAGATGTGGGAGCCAGGGGCGTAGTGATGCAAGGATGCAGGGACCCAGGGACTACGACCTCCCAACCCCCGGCCCGCGCCCCGTACTCACGCACGGAGTGGCAGGCTACGAGCTTGGCTGCCTCCTCGGGCACCGGGCAGGTGGGGAAGAGCGGCTTGAGCAGGTAGGTGGCGAAGACCAGGGCCACGATGTACTGCGATGAAGGCCGGATGATGAGCAGCTCGATCCAGAGCTTGAGGAAGGCGGGCAGCGAGCCGTAGACGTCCAGCATGTAGGCGTAGTCGCCGCCCGATTTGGAGATGGTGGTGCCCAGCTCCGCGTAGCAGAGCGCGCCCACGATGGAGAAGACGCCGCACGCGGCCCACACCACCAGCGCCAGCCCCGGCGAGCCTGCCTCCTTGAGCACGCCCGTGGGCGTCACGAAGATGCCCGAGCTCATGATGGCGACCACGATGACGGCCACGCCCTTGAGTAGCGTGATGTTCCCCTGCAGGGTCACGCCCTCGCCCTCGCCTGCCGGCGCCGCGCCGTCCGCGCGCTTGGCGGCCATCATCTTCTCCCGCGCCTCTTCCTTCTCCTCGGCCACCGGGGCCGCTAGCGCGCGCCGCTTCGGGCCCGCACCCGCCATGCTCTGCTTACCGGCCGGGCCTGGGACACCCGGGAGCCGCAGCCGAGCGAGGATTGTGCGCGCCGCTCGCCGCCCGCCGCCCGCAGCTGCGTCAGGAACCCCGCCCGCGCCGCCTTTTAGGCCCCGGCCCACTGGCCCCGCCCACCGTCCGCGGCTCCTCCCCGACCCGTGGCCCGGCCGCGGCCCTCAGCCCCGCCCCCTCGACCCAGCTCGGAGCACGTGCGTCGTCCGGCCTAGCCTGGCAGGCGATTCCCAGGCCCGCGTGGTCCTCGAAGGCCCCCGTACTCCTGCGCCATGGAGACCCCGGCCTCGCGACCTACCCCCCCGGCGCCCGCGTCATCCCAGCCCGTCCTCCCGGGTGCGCCTGGGCGGGGCCTGGCAGTCAGGGCGAGCCCCTTCACCCACTGGCCCGCAGCCTCTCGTCAAGCCTGGGAGCGGGCAGTGCACCAGGGCTGGCCTGAGGCCAAGGATGGGGTTTGGGGTACCCCCCGAAGGGAACCTAGGCTCCTGTCCCGGATGGGCCGAGGGGATGGAACCGCCCCCACAACCAGCTCCTGGGGCACGGGGGAGGGATGAGAAGATGACCTGAGGGGAAGCTCCTGCAGCCTCCTTCCAGCCTGGGGGCTGCATCAATGTGGCTGGTGAGCCGCGAACTGAGACGAGGGAAGAACCGAACCGAGGCCACCCAGTAATTCCCATTGTATCCCAAAAGAATCTTGCCAAAGATGGCGATCCGGTGCCCGTAGCTTTGAGAAGCAGTAATAACACAGGCTTTGGGAAGCCAGCACTCTGCCTGAGCTCAATTTAATCAACAGAACCGGGGGTTCACCGGGAGCCATAAGACCCCCACCCCCAAATCTAGCTGGGAAATTCAAAGGCAGGCTTCAGTGTGAAGGGGCTTTAAAGCTTGTTATTCCTGGGGAATGCGAGAGGCATCTTAGCTAAAAAGGGTTGAGAGGTAATTTCAGTTAGAGGCGAGAGCAGGATGCCAAGGCTCCTAGGCCTGGAAACGGGAAGGAATATAAATACTGCCCCGAGATTGACCAGACTGGTGAGCAGCCAAAGACCTGTTCAAAGGGTGTGTGTGGGTCAGGGAGGAAGCTCCTCGGTATCCCCCCAACCCGGGGTTCCTTGGCGTGTGTCCTAACGAGTACTTGGAAGCTCACAGCAGGCATGTGGGGAGGCCTTTGTTCTGGGTGAGCGTTCAGCCTCCCAGGGCAAACACGCAAACACCGGTTGCAGAGCTGGGTGTTCACAGCAAGACAGTCTGCTGGGCAGATGCCTCTGGAATCCACAGAATTCTGAACAATAGCCGTGGTGGAGGGGGGGTCAGAATCCCTGTCGTGCTGGGACCTCTAGCTGCAGCCAGGAATGTCCAGGCCCCACCCCGGGGAGGAGGCGGCTGAGGAATGCCACGGCTTGTCATTCTGGACCTTGCTCGCCCCCCGGTATGGCAGGCATTCCTCTGCAGTGATAAAACCAAGCGAAATCTCAGCAGCCCAGGCAGCCACCGGCAGGGGAGTGCGGAGGTCGCACAGATACTAACTTGTAATCTGCCGTCCACGCTGCGGGCTGTGGAAGGTGCAGAGAGCCCTCCATCCACCCTATTCTTCCCGCTGTGCCTGCAGAGGGAAGGAGACAGTACCACCATGGCTGGACAAACTCACCGAGTGCTCACTGAGTCCTCCCCTAGATAGCTTCTTGTGCAATAGGGTAGGTGCCAGTTAGGAGCAAGGTTAGAGATTATAGGGCCAGATTTTTTGCTTAGGTTCAACTACGCAAAATAAAAATAGACTTTGCATGCATTTCAGGCACTGGGCTGACGACCGGCCACCAGGGAGGCTCCGCCCCACTTCTTAGCTTTGGCCCCAACGTTAGTCTTGTTGCTGCTCTCAGGCGTGCTCTGCGTGTGAAAGATGACTTGGAGGCTGGGCGCGGTGGCTCACGCCTGTAATGCCAGCCCTTTGGGAGACCAAGGTGGGAAAATCTCTTGAGCCCAGGAGTTCAAGACCAGCCTGGGCAACATAGGGAGACCCCGTCTCTACAAAAAATACAAAAACTAGCCCAGCGTGGTGGTGGTGCACCTGTAGTCCCAGCTGCTGGGGAGGCTGAGGTAGAAGGATCACCTGAGCTGGGGAAGGTTGAGGCTGCAGTGAGCTGAGATCACGCCACTGCACTCCAGCCTAGGCGACAGAATGAGACCGGTCTTTTTTTTTTTTTTTTTTTTTTTTTTTTGAGACGGAGTCTCGCTCTGTTACCCAGGCTGGAGTGCAGTGGCGCGATCTCGGCTTACTGCAAGCTCCGCCTCCTGGGTTCACACCATTCTCCTGCCTCAGCCTCCCAAGTAGCTGGGACTACAGGCGCTCACCACCATGCCCGGCTAATTTTTTGTATTTTTAGCAGAGACGGGGTTTCACGGTGTTAGCCAGGATGGTCTTGATCTCCTGACCTTGTGATCCCCCCGCCTCGGCCTCCCAAAGTGCTGGGATTACAGGCGTGAGCCACTGCGCCCGGCGAGACTGGTCTTGAAAAAAAAAAAAAAGATGACATGGAAGCAACAGTAGGAGCCGGGGTCAGAGTTCAGGCCCGTCCATCCGTGGATGATGGATAAACCCAGCGTAGTCCGCCATCCCTTGGAGAGTCATTCAGCTGCACACAGGAAGACGCGCTGCAATGTGCAGGACCCCTGAAAACACTGGGCTGCGTGAAAGGGTCAGTGACCACGGGTTGTATGATTCCGAGTGCACGAATGTTCAGGACAGGAGGATCCAGAGAGACGGACGAGATTCGTGGCTGCTTAGGGCGGGGGGAAGGGGCGATGGAGAGTGAGGGCTGAGTGGATGGGGTCTCTCTTTGGGGTGATAAAATGTCTTGGAACTAGATGATGGGGATGGTTGCCCAACACTGGGAGTGACTTAAACACCACGGATTTGTACGTGTTTAAATGACTAACGGTTAATGTTATGTTATGTGTGAACTATACATCCAAAAGATAAAAGCAGTTCAGGCCTAGAATCGAACGGTCCTGGGTTCAGATCTCACCTCTACCACTTGCTGGTTAATGTGGCACCAGGCGAGTGACTCGGCTCAGCTTTCAAAGTCTCAGTTTCCTCTTCTGTGAAGCAGGGAGACACCTGCGCCCGCCTCCTGGGGACCAGCAGGTAGAAGACCCTGAGCCGCTGGCATTGCCATCACTGCAGAACTGTGCTCCCAGGGCTGGCAGGTGGAGGACCCTGAGCCTCTGGTGTCATCCTCACTGCAGAACTGTGCTCCCGGGGCTGGCGGGTGGAGGACCCTGAGCTGCTGGTGTTGCCGTCACTGCCGAACTGTGCTCCCAGGGCTGGCCGAATGCCTGGCTTCCACCCTCAGACTTTCTTTCCAATGTGTGCAGAGGGAACACGGAGGGACAGCAGTTGCAGCAGCCCACACTTGCTGTGTCGGGCATGGTCTCAGTGGCTGGAGCGTGAAGATGGAGGCGGGGATGGGAGTGGGCGGCTCTGAGTCAAGGGACACCTGGAGCCCCCAGAAGCTGGAAGAGGCAGGAGGGGTCCTGGAGCCCCCGAGGGAGTCTGGCCCTGCCACCACCTTGATGTTGGCCTCTGGCCTCCGGGACTGTGAGAGAAGAAAGGGCTGTTGTCCTAAGCCCCTGTTTGCAGACAAAGGGAATAATCTCAACATTGAAAAAATATGGCCTTAATCTTTAGTGCGTAGGTGGCAAACTTACCTTCAGGATGGCAGAGACAGATCTTTTTTTCCTGTTGACAGGCATTTTAACATTTCCAGAGACACAGGAGCCAGGTTCTCCTGCTTGGCCTCTGCAGTATGAGCCAAACCTGCCTATTGTTAAGTGATTGAATGAGTTGATGCTCACCTTGAACTTTCTTCCACTCTACCCTGGATTACAAGAAGAATTCATTGCTCAGCCCACGTCCCAGCATGAGGCTGGAAGCAGCTGTGAATTTTGTAGAGACTGGAGGGCCCTGCACTCTTTGCAGCTGCCAGCTTCAGCGCTGCTTTCTTCGGCTACTTTGCCCCGCCTCTCAGTTTTGGGGACAGTGGCTGCAGGGCAGATGCCATTCAACCAGGTCAAATTTCCATGTGAGGATGGAAATTTGTAGGTTATAATTCAATTCTCTATTTTGAAAAATATCCAGGTGGATATTGTTTACCACCAAAACAATGACTTCTATTGTGTGGGCCCGAAAACCAGGCTGATGCATGCTACGGCATGGGTGTGTGGTGCCTGCTCCGTGTGTGAACCATGCTGCTCCGTGTGTGAACTGTGTCTGTTCCATGTGTGAACTGTGTCTGTTCCATGTGTGATCCATGCTGCTCCATGTGTGAACCATGTCTGTTCCATGTGTGAACTATCTGTTCCATGTGTGAACCATGTCTGTTCCATGTGTGAACCATGTCTGTTCCATGTGTGAACCATGTCTGTTCCATGTGTGATTCATGCTGCTCCATATGTGATTCATGCTGCTCCATGTGTGATCCATGCTGTTCCATGTGTGAGCCGTGTATGTTCCATGTGTGATCTGTGTCTGTTCCATGTATGGTCCATGCTGTTCCATGTGTGAACTGTGTCTGTTCCATGTGTGAACCATGTCTGTTCCATGTGTGAACTATCTGTTCCATGTGTGAACTATCTGTTCCATGTGTGAACCATGTCTGTTCCATCTGTGAACCATGTATGTTCCGTGTGTGAACCATGTCTGTTCCATGTGTGATTCATGCTGCTCCATATGTGATTCATGCTGTTCCATGTGTGAGCCGTGTATGTTCCATGTGTGATCTGTGTCTGTTCCATGTATGGTCCATGCTGTTCCATGTGTGAACTGTGTCTGTTCCATGTGTGAACCGTGTCTGTTCCACATGTGGTCCATGCTGCTCCATGTGTGAGCCATGTCTGTTCCATGTGTGATCCATGTCTGCTCCATGTCTGATCACACCTGCTCCCTGTCACTCATTTTGTCTAGACTTCTCAATGATGACAGCCCCCAGTTAACTGGATTTAAGGTAGTTTCTAAACATTTGTAGCCAGATCCATCTAGTATCCTGCAATTCATTCATTGACTCAGCAAACATTTCACAATAGCTAGACATACGCCTGGCTTTGTGAGAATGCATGTCCTCATGACACCCCAGCCTGCGGGTGACCCTTTCATGTGCACCCCTGTGATAACGTGGGATGTGCAGGAGCCTGGGTGTGGGGGGAGGGGATGCTGCTGCCTGGGGCTGGCACTGACGAAGGAGGATGAGCCCAGGAGAGGGAGCAGCGCCTGGAGGCCCAGGGGCAGTGCACAGCAGTCCCCGAGCTTACAAGTGGGAGCACTGCAGCCCATGGCGCCTGACCGCGTTTATTCTGTGCCATGGGCAAGCAGAATGGTTGAGGATCCCGCCCCTGGGGGCTCACATTCCAGAGGAGGATGCAAGCATCATGCAGCAACACATGCCTGATGCCAACAGCTGGGGAGGGGACACAGGGAGACCGTGGTTGGGACAAGTGTCTGAAAGCTGGTTGAGGATGGAAAGGAGTGACTGTGAAGCAGCCGTGGGGACAGCAACCCCAGCCAGAGGCCCACACACACAAGGTGACGTGGAAGAGGGCCAGGCTGCGAATCTTGCTGGGAGAAGCTCGTGCTCGATCCCAAGCCTAGTGGAAAGCCTCAGTTTTGAACAGGGCAGCAGAATGGCCAAGTGTCGGTTTCTCAAAAAAACCCACTGTTAAAAGAAAAAGGGATTTGAGGGAAGAGGGGAAGAGGCTGGAAAGGAAGTGGCTAAACTGGAAGCCCAGCTTGTCACTCAGGCTGCAGCAGAAGGGACAGAGAAAAGTGGACGGACTTGGAATAGGCAGCAGTTTGAGGGTCCTCCAGCAGAGCGTGCTGCTGCCCTGGGTGCAAGGAGTGAGGGGAGAGGAGGGCCCAAGGGGGCTCCCGAGATTGCCTGTGGCGTCGGGTGGATGGAGGAACCATTTATCAAGACGGGGTTGGTGGGCACAGAGTTGGGGATGCAGCAGTGCATGGACAGCCCACCTTTCAGCAGGAGGGACAAGTGTCAAAAAATGACAGCTCCGTTACTGCTGGGCACCGCTGTGTGCCAGGTGCCATCTGGGGGCTCAGCTCAGGCTGAGGGAACAGGAGGAGCAGGTGTTGAGCAGGTGGTGTGGGGCGGGCGGGGAAGGGTGCCCTCAGGTCCATCAGAACAGCCACAAGAGCCCTGGGGTGGGAGGGGGCCGATATTCTGGTCGGCACAGAGTGGGCTGCCAGGAGAGGGTGGGGGCGGAGGGGCAGGAATGTGGATTCTGTCTCAGGGGGGCAAGGCTGAGGGGATGTAGCTGGGCACATGGCCTGCTCTGAATTGAGCTTGGTTCTCTGGAGGGTCGATGGGAAGGATGTGCTGGGGATGGGGAGGAAGCGGAGGAGGAGGAGGCGGTGGCAGCTGTGAACAGGCAATGCTTCTCACACAGGTGTATCTTTATTAAACAAGAAAATAACATAAAAGCAAAGGGAGGAAGCCTTGAACCTTAAAAGCTGGGCCAGAAATTCTACAATACAATCAGAAGCCACAATCTGGTCACAGTGAGAGCCCTTCCCGCAGAGCCGCAGACATTGGCCGCTGCCCCTGGGGCGGGAGGGAAGCCTCCTGTTTGTTTTTTGTCCCGTTGCTTTGAGGGCTGGAATCAATGTCATTTTCTCTCGGAGTGTTTCTGGTTTCATCTCAGTGTGTCCAGGCTCGGATGTCTTCCTGGGAGTATCTCCGTGTCTCAGGATTAACACCAGTTTTTAAAAATAACTGACAAAGGCCATTTTTCAGGAGACAAAGATGTTGGTGCGTGCAGAGGGCCCCCTGTGTTGATATGGAAAATGAAGGTCAGCCACTCCCTGCTTCTCTTGGTATCTTGTTGGACACGATGTCAATGTGGGGCTGGTAGAACTGGAGCCCAGGGCCCCTCTGGCCGCTTGGGCCTTTCTCTGTCTCCAGGTCCCCATGGAAATGGGCAGCCCATGGAGAATGGCTGAATAGCTGCTGTCTGCCCCCATCCCAAGCTCCAGGTTCAGACACCACCCCCTCCATTGACTGTGTCACCCCTTCCCCACCAGAGGAGCGGGCTATTCTCACAGCGCTGCAGGAAGCCCAGCCAAGTGCCTTCCTCTGGCTGCTGCTTCCATCAGCGTGAACTGCCCGGCATTGTAGGATAAGTTTTCTCCTGGGTTTTAAGGTTCAGGACTCTCTCTTTGCTGCACTTTTTCCTTGACTAATTGCACAAATAAGAGAAGGCAAGAGTGAAATGCTGCGTATCCCTTGGCCTAGCGGGTCAGCGACAACTTTCTCAACTTGTCAAGTGAGCCTCAGTTTCCTTATTAAAAACCAGGGATGATTTTGTAGAACTTGTCGCAACTCAGTGGGAGTGCCGTGGCCCTTATGCCCAATGACACCATCCTGTCACTTCAGGAGTTTCTCATAAAACACCATTCCCCAGACCAATGGCGCTGCGAGCTTCTGGGGCGTGGGCTGGGCCCAGCATGTCAGTGCGACCCACAGCGGGGCTGGAGCTGCTGAATGTGCACAACACACTTCACCCCGGGCCTGGTTCAGGAGCGGGCAAGGCAGCTGTACACCCTGTCCTTCAGCAAACTCCTCTTGATCGATGGAATCGAAGTCAGGAGCATCACCTTAGACGCAGAACAGAAACGTGCCCATTTCCCAGCTTGGTGCTTTCCCACTTCTACTTTGACTCCTTCAACCCAATCCTCTTTCACCCGCATCACCACCAAGTGTGATCTCCTTTAAAGAGCCAGACACTTTATTTTGGGGGGGCATGGAGGGGTGGAGTCTCACTCTGTTGCCCAGGCTAGAGGGCAGTGGCACAATCTCAGCTTATTGCAACCTCCACCTCCTGGGTTCAAGCGATTTCTGGCTAGATTTTGTTTTGTTTTGTTTTGAGACGGAGTCTCGCTCTGTCACCCAGGCTAGAGTGCGGTGGCCGCCATCTCGGCTCACTGCAAGCTCCGTCTCCCAGGTTCAAGCGATTCTCCTGCCTCAGCCTCCACAGTAGCTGGGATTATAGGTGCATGCCAACACGCCCGGCTAATTTTTCTTTGTATTTTTAGAAAAGACAGGGTTTCACAATATTGCCCAGGCTCGTCTCAAACTCCTGACCTCATGATCTGCCCACCTCAGCCTTCCAAAGTGCTGGGATTACAGGCGTGAGCCACCGTGCCTAGCCTTAGTTTTTTTTTTTTTTTCTTTTTGAGATGGAGTCTCACTCTGTTGCCCAGGCTGGAGTACAGTGGCACGATCTCGGCTCACTGCAACCTCCACCTCCTGGGTTCAAGCAATTCTCCCTGCCTCAGTCTCCCGAGTAGCTGGGACTACAGGTACATGCCAGCACACCCGGCTAGTTTTTTGTACTTTTAGTAGAGACGGGGTTTCACCGTGTTAGCCAGGATGGTCTTGATCTCCTGACCTCATGATCTACCTGCCTCAGCCTTCCAAAGTGCTGGGATTACAGGCGTGAGCCTAGTTTTTGTATTTTTTTTTTTTTGGAGGCGGAGTCTCACTCTGTCGCCCAGACTGGAGTGCAGTGGCACAATCTTGGCTCATTGCAACCTCTGCATCCCGGGTTCAAGCAATTCTCCTGCCTCAGCCTCCCAAGTAGCTGGGATTACAGGTGCCTGCCACCATGCCCGACTAATTTTTTGCGTTTTTTTTTTTTTTTTAGTAGAGACGGGGCTTCACCATGTTGCCCAGGCTGGTCTTGAACTCCTGACCTCAGGTGATCTGCCCACCTCAGCCTCCCAAAGTGCGGGGATTACAGGCGTGAGCCACCGCGCCTGACCTAACCTACTTATTCTTTATCTCCCCGGAATGAAACGGCTTTTATCACCTTGGGAAACAGATTAGCATCTGCTTATTTTTCTGTGCTTATCTGACTGTAAGGTGACATTGGAAGATAATTTAATTAGGTTGATTGTAAAACTTTCTCTCTTCTGGGAGGAATATTTTTTAATGCTATGAAAATAAAAATACTGGGCCAGGCACGGTGGCTCATGCCTGTAATCCCAGAACTTTGGGAGGCCAAGGTAGGCAGATCACCTGAGGTCAGGAGTTCGAGACCAGCCTGACCAACATGGTGAAACCAAATCTCTACTAAAAATGCAAAAAAAAAAAAAAAAAAAAAATAGGCTGGGCGCAGTGGCTTGCGTCTGTAATCCCAGTACTTTGGGAGGCTGAGGCGGGCGGATCACCTGAGGTTGAGAGTTCAAGACCAGCCTGACCAACATGGAGAAACCCCATCTCTAGTAAAAATACAAAATTAGCCAGGCGTGGTGGCCCATGCCTGTAATCTCAGCTAATTGGGAGGCTGAGGCAGGAGAATTGCTTGAACCTGGGAGGCAGAGGTTGTGGTGAACCAAGATGGCATCAATGCACTCCAGCCTAGGCGACAAGAGCAAAACTCTGTCTCAAAGAAAAAAAAAAAATTTGCTGGGCATGGTGGCGGGTGCCTGTAATCCCCGCTACTCGGGAGGCTGAGGCAGGAGAATTGCTTGAACCCGGGAGGCAGAGGTTGCAGTGAGCTGAGATCATGACATTGCACTCCAGCCTGGGTGACAGAGCGACACTCCATCTAAAAAAAAGGAAAAGAAAAACACTGTACTGATTTTGGATTTTTTCCAAGCAAGTAATAGGTAAAAAGAAACCCAAACTGGCTTACATGAAAGGGCACCTATTGGCTTGTGTAACTGATCAGGTGCAACCATTGCTATAAGCTTGATCCAGACCCGACGCGGTGACTCATGCCAGTAATCTCAGCACTTTGGGAGGACGAGGCAGGCGGATCGCCTGAGGTCGGGAGATCGAGACCAGCCTGACCAACATGGAGAAACCCCGTCTCTGCTAAAAATACAAAATTAGCCAGGCACAGTGGTGTACGCCTGTAATCCCAGCTACTTGTGAGGCTGAGGCAGGAGAATCACCTGAACCCGGGAGGTGGAGGTTGCAGTGAGCCAAGATTGCGCCACTGCACTCCAGCCTGGGTGACAAAGCAAGACTCCATCTCAAAAACAAAACAAAACAAAAAACAACAAAAAAAAAGAGGGTGAAAGGCAGCCCCAGAGTGGGAGAAGAGATTTGTAAAATGGACAAAGGCCTTATAATTGGAATATATAAAGAACTCCTAAAAATCACTAAGAAAACCACAGACAGCCCAAGAGAAAAATGGGCAAATGGCTCAAGTAGGTATCTGGTGAAAGAGGATATGCAGATGGCCAATGAATCTGCACAAAGTGCTCCACATCATTAATCATTAGGGAAGTGCAAATTAAATCCACAGGAGACACCTGGGCACACCCTCCAGAAAGCACACAATGACCTGCTGGCAAGGACAGGAACGACCACTTTGGAAAACTCTTTGGCAGCACAGCCAAACTGAGCCTTTCCACTCGAAAATGCCCTTTGCTCAGAACCCAGCAGCAGCTCCAAAGTCTCCACCCAGCCTATGGGGCCCCAGTACCCACCCTTGCCTCCCATGCCTCTCTCCTCACCCCTGCACTTGGCTGCCCTCACCCTCGGGCTGCACCTTGAACACCAGAAGGGTGCTCCTGCCTCCAGCCTCTGCCTGGAATTCTCTGCCCTCGGGTAGCCATGTGGTTCACTCCTCCTTTGGTCTCTGCCCAAATGGCCCCTGTAGAAGAGACCTCCCCACCCAGCCATGTCCTCTCCCTGTGACTTACCACCCCAGACTTTCTGTGTTGATGCATCATGGTCTACCTCCTTCCATCAGAACGTGAGCTCCGAGGCAAAGGCTCTTCAGACCTGAAACAGTCTAGGCTCTGTCCCCAGAGTCTAGAATAGAGCCTGCCACGTAATTGGCACTCAATAAATGTTACATGAATTAATGGAAACCATCCTGGCACAAGTGGTAGCTCTCTTTCCACAAAAAGAATGAGCTTGCCAAGAGAGAGACAACATCACGAAAGAGAGACAGAAAAGCCACACTCAGACCCAACATTGAGTTCTGGATCAAGTCTTTTTTTTTTTTTTTTTTTTTTTGAGACAAAGTTTTGCTCTTGTTTCCCAGGCTGGAATGCAATGGCGCGATCTCGGCTCACTACAACCTCTGCCTCGCGGGTTCAAGCAATTCTCCTGCCTCAGCCTCCCGAGTAGCTGGGATTACAGGCATGCACCACCAAGCTCGGCTAATTTTGTATTTTTAGTAGAGATGGGGTTTCTCCATGTTGGTCAGGCTAGTCTGGAACTTGGCCTCCCAAAGTGCTGGGTTTACAGGCGTGAGCCACAGCGCCTGGCTCCTATGTTATTTTTTAGGAGCTTTATTGTTTTACCTTTCCTATTTAGATCTATAGTCTGTCAGGAATTAATTTTTGTGTGTGCTGTGAGGTAGGGGTGTGAGGTATGGTGAGAAAAAAGATTCATGGTTCCCCATTTGGATATCCCGTTGGCTCGGTGGGGTGGCTCATGCCTGTAATCCCAGCACTTTGGGAGGTCAAAGCAGGAGAACTATTGGAGCTCAGGGGTTCAGGACCAACCTGGGCAACATAGTGAGACCCTGTGGATCGACAGATGAATTGATCGATCAATCAATACATAGATAGATAAGTATCCAAATGATCCAAAACTATTCACAGAAAAGCCCATCCATTCCCTACAGCATGACTCAGGGATCACAAATGTGTGGAACCTTCTAGACATGCTATTCTTTTTCATTGGTTGATTTGTCCTTCTCTGACAGGTACCACATTATCTTAATTAATATAGCTTTTTATTTTTATTTATTTATTTATTTTATATGGAGTCTCGCTCTGTCGCCCAGGCTGGAGTGCAGTGGCATGATCTCAGCTCACTGCAAGTTCTGCCTCCCAGATTCAAGCGATTCTCCTGCCTCAGTCTCCTGAGTAGCTGGGATTACAGGCATGAGCCACCGCACCTAGCTAATTTTTGTATTTTTAGCAGAGACAGGGTTTCGCCATGTTGGCCAGGCTGGTGTCGAACTTCTGACCTCAGGTGATCTTCCCACCTCGGCCTCCCAAAGTGCTGGGATTACAGGCATGAGCCACTGCGCCTGGCCTACTATAGCTTTTGAAATAGGTCTTGACATCAAATTGTGTATGTTTTCTGGTTTTATCCTGCCAGATTACTTTTGGTTGTATTTTTGGTAGAGACGGAGTTTCACCATGTTGGCCAGGCTGGTCTCAAACTTCTGACCTCAAGTGATCCACCTGCCTCAGCCTCCCAAAGTGCTGGGATTACAGGCGTGAACCACTGTGCCTGGCCTCACAAGAATTCCTTTTTATTTTGAGACGGAGTTTTGCTCTTGTTGCCCAGGCTGGAGTGCAATAGTGCAATCTTGGCTCACTGCAACCTCTGCCTCCCGGGTTCAAGCAATTCTCCTGCCTCAGCCTCCCAAGTAGCTGGGATTACAGGCACGCACCCAGCTAATGTTTGTGTTTTTTATAGAGACAGGTTTTCACCGTGTTGGCCAGGATGGTCTCGATCTCCTGGGTAACAACGCTTCCTTCCTTCAAAGTCAGTTCTGCTATTCATGTGGACCTAATGTCTCTAGGATCTTGTGCCCTCATTAGTGGCCTGGAAGGACGCCCAGACCTTCCAGTTCATCAGGGGTTGAAGTGGGCGATAGTTGTTCACCATCATCTTCTTCTCTTCACCAAGTGCAGAAAACAGGAGAGTACGAAATGCAGAGAGCTGGAATAGAGGGCAGCCAGGGTGAGCTTGGTATGAGTGCAGGGTGAGCCAGCCCCCGGGTGTCCCTCAGGCCTTGTGTGGTCTCCTCCCATGCTGAATCAGGATGGCCTGAAATGACCAGTAAAGATGGTGGAAGTGATGGTGTGTGCAGGGCCAGGTTATAAAAGGCATTGCCGCTTCCGCCTTGGTCTTTAGGATCACTTGCTCTGGGGGGAAGCTGGTCACCATATTGGGAGGGTACTCAAGCAGCCCCGAGGAGAGGCCCACAGGGAAAGGAGCTGAGGCTCCCAGCCAACTGCCAGCGCCAACTTGCCATCCACTTGAGAGGGCCAACCTTGGAATGAATCCTCTAGCCCTAGTTGAGCTTTCAGATCGCTACAGTCCCAGCTGACACTGGGCTACAATTCATGAAAGATGGTAAGCCAGAGCCACCCAAATTCACAACCCAAGGAAACTATGGGAGATAATAAATGATTGGTTTTTGTTGTCGTTGTTGTTGTTTGAGACAGTGTTTCGCTCTTGTTTCCCAGGCTGGAGTGTCATTGGCAAGATCTCAGCTCGCTGCAACCTCCGCCTCCCAGGTTCAAGCGATTCTCCTGCCTCGGCCTCCCGAGTAATTGGGATCACAGGCATGAGCCACCATGCCCGGCTAATTTTTTTTTTTTTTTTTTGAGATGGAATTTTGCTCCTGTTGCCCAGACTGGAGTGCAATGGTGTGATCTTTGCTCACCGCAACCTCCGCCTCCTGGGTTCAAGGGATTCTCCTGCCTCAGCCTCCTGAGTAGCTGGGCTTACAGGCATGCACCACCACGCCCGGCTAATTTTGTATTTTTAGTAGAGATGGGGTTTCTCCATGTTGGTCAGGCTGCTCTCAAACTCCTGACCTCAGGTTATCCACCTGCCTCGGCCTCCCAAAGTACTGGGATTATAGGCGTTAGCCACTGTGCTCAGCCTAATTTTGTATTTTTAGTAGAGACAGGGTTTCACCATGTTGGTCAGGCTGGTCTTGAACTCCTGACCTCAGGCGATCCACTCGCCTCGGCCCCCAAAGTGCTGGGATTACAGGCATGAGCTACTGCACCCGGCCCAAATGATTGTTTTCTAAAGCCACTATGTTTTGGAGCTATTTGTTACACAGCAATAGATAACTAACACCTATAATGTAAATGCTAAAGTAACATTTGAATTTACTTTTCACTCAAGGAACTAAAAGACTACTTTTTATGGCTGGATGCAGTGCCTCATGCCTGTAATCCCAGCACTTTGGGAGGCCAAGGTGGGTGAATCACCTGAGGTCAGGAGTTTGAGACCAGCCTGGCCAACATGGAGAATCCCCATCCCTACTAAAAATACAAAATTAGCCAGATGTGGTGGCTCATGCTTGTAATCCAGCTCCTCGGGAGGGTGAGGCAGGAGAAGCGCTTTAACCTGGGAGGTGGAGCTTGTGGTGAGCGAGATCACGCCATTGCACTCCAGCCTGGGCAACAGGGAAACTCTGTCTCAAAATAAATAAATAAATGAAAAATAAAAAAAGACTTTTTATGTATTATCTCACTTGTTCACAGAATATACTTATGAACTCTGTGAGGCAACTCACGCATTTAATTAAATTCAGAAGTGAGATTATGTCTACATGCTGACAGCATACTGGGCCAGTTAGCCCTGCATGATGATCCAGCGCCCCCTAGAATTGCGCGCGCATGGTGCACGTGGCCTCCTGGGCCATGACCACAGTGTGCTCATCCACATTTGTGGTCTGCACATTTGTTGACTGTCTCAGAAAGGCAGCCTTTCTCCTCCCCTGGAAAACTCCCCGCCTTCCAGGACATGTGCCTCCCTGGCTCCCCTGCTCAGGATAAGGAGCTCCTGCCCTGCATTTTTATATGACACCGGCCACCCTGGCTTAATACTATTGGCTTCGTTTCTACTTTCCTGCCAGACAGCAGTATTCTGAGACGAATGCCCTGTTCCTGTGCCGCCCCTCCACACCTGCCCCCCTCCCACCCTCTCTTGGTGGCACAGACCCAGAATGGGCACTTGTCACATATATGCTTGTTGAGTAGCATAAGGGCCTTGCTGACAAGGGGCCACCTTCAACAAAAGCCTTCCCCATGTCCAACAGCTCTGGTTTGGAGGTAGGCAGATATTCTGCATCCCACATCTCCACGTGCAAATGACATCATGCCATGGTTTGTATATAAGGGAATATTTTCACAGGCCCAGGAGACTGAAAGACCCTCTAAGAGCTCACCTGGAGCCCTCAGAAAGAGATGAGCCAGAGATGCTAAGTCCTGCTGCGACTGCTGAGAAACGTCTGCCGGGCGGGGGCGGGGCATAGGCAGCATGCCTGTGGCTCTGAACTGCCTTGGACAGACAGAATTGCTATAGATTCTTAAGATTTCCAGAAAAAAATGATAGTATAACTTTTATTTATTTTTTATTTTATTTTTTTGAGACAGTCTCACTCTGTCGCCCAGGTTGGAGTGCAGTGGTGCCATCTCAGCTCACTGCAACCTCCGCCTTCCAGGTTCAAGTGATTCTCCTACCTCAGCCTCCCAAGTAGCTGGCACTACAGGCACACGCCACCATGCCTGGCTAATTTTTGTATTTTTATTTATTTATTTATTTGAGATGGAGTTTTGCTCTTGTTGTCCAGGCTGGAGTGCAGTGGTGCGATCTCGGCTCACTGCAGCCTCCACCTCCCGGCTTCAAGTTATTCTCTTGCCCCAGCTTCCCAAGTAGCTGATATTACAGGCGTGCACCACCACGCCTGGCTAATTTTGTAGATTTAGTAGAGACGGGGTTTCACCATGTTGGTCAGGCTGGTCTCGAACTCCTGGCCTCAAGTGATCTGCCTGTCTCAGCCTTCTAAAGTGCTAAAATTATAGGCATGAGCCATGACGCCCAGCCCAATAGTATAACTTTTAAAAATGTATACAAGGATTATTAACTAATTTTCGAAAAAAAAAAAAAGCAATGAAACTATTTAGATAAGAAAAAGGAGGCCGGGCTCGGTGGCTCATGCCTGGAATCCCAGCACTTTGGGAGGCCAAGGTGGGCAGATCACCTGAGTTCAAGACCAGCTTGGCCAACATGGTGAAACCCCGTCTCTACTAAAAATACAAAAATTAGCCAGGCGTGGTGATGGGTGCCTGTAATCCCAGCTACTCGAGAGGCTGAGGCAGGAGAATTGCTTGAACCCAGGAGGTGGAGGTAGTAGTGAGCTGAGATCGAGCCACTGCACTGCAGCCTGGGCGACAGAGCGAGACTCTGTCTCAAAAAAAAAAAAAGGAAAGAAAAGAAAAAGGAAGAAAACAAAAACCATGCAGACCCATGACGCTGGGACAACTCCCATGGATGCCTTGTGTGTCTGTGTGTGATAGATTAGGGCGTTGCTCAGAACATGCTCGCTGTGATCACTGGAACCGCTGTCCAATCTCAACAAGCTCCTACTTCAATTGGAACTTTCTTCTTGTGTAAGAACACCCCAAATGCATGAAAGAATATATATAACTCCTCAAGGCTCTTATGCAGCATCTTAGTGACGCTGCCAAGCAAGAGAGACGCCTTCCATGAAGCGCCATCATGCCAGTTACGGGCACGGCTCACTTGGCTTGGGGCCACTTCAACGGGCTCCTTCTGGATGATCCAGGTGACCGACTCGGTCAGCGGCGGGGTGGTGAGCGAGCCCACATAGGTCCAGTAATCCCAGCAGGTGGGCAGCAGAGCGGAGGGGTCGAAGGGGCGCATGGCCGCCTGCGCGTCCTGAGAGACCGAGAAGCACAGGCCGTATCAGTCCTCAGGTGGGACTAGGAGCTTCCATCTTGTCTCAGCACGGGAGGCCTTCATGGTGCTTGGAAGGAAGTGCTTTCCCCGAGATAAGGCCATGAGGCCACTGCTGTCACACTTGGAAGCAGTGATAAGAAAATGTGAGCCTTCTATACAGAGCAAGGATTCCTGCCAACTTACATTGGTGGGAATTACATTACATTACACCAGCTTATGTTGGTGCTTACATTTTTCCTTTTGAAGTCATTTCTTGGGGCGCAGTAGCTCACCCCTGTAATCTCAGCACTTTGGGAGGCCGAGGCGGGTGGATCACTTGAGGTCAGGAGTTCGAGACCAGCCTGGTCAACATGATGAAACCCTGTCTCTACTAAAAATACAAAAATTATCCAGATGTGGTGGTGGGCGCCTGTAGTCCCAGCTACTCAGGAGGCTGAGGCAAGAGAATTGCTTGAGCCCAGGAGGCAGAGGTTGCAGTGAGCTGAGATCACGCCACTGCACTCCAGCCTGGGCAACAGAGTGAGACTCTGTCTCAAATAATAATAATAATTAATAAATAAATAATAAAAAATTAAAAAGCCATTTCTTTTAGCATACCTTGGCTGCAAAAAATATTACTTTTTATTGTGATAAAATATACATAACATAAAATTTACCGTCTTAACCTTTTTTTTTTTTTGAGATGCAGTTTTGCTCTTGTTGCCCAGGCTGGGGTGCAATGGTGCGATCTTGGCTCACTGCAACCCTTCGCCTCCCAGGCTCAAGTGATTCTCCTGCCTCAACCTCCTGAGTAGCTGGGATTACAGGCACCCGCCACCACATCTGCTAATTTTGTATTTTTAGTAGAGACGGGGTTTCTTCATGTTGGTCAGGCTGGTTTTGAACTCCCAATCTCAGGTGATTCACCTGCCTCAGCCTCCCACAGCGCTGGGATGAGAGGCATGAGCCACCATGCCCGGCCCATCTTAACCATTTTGAAGTGTAAAATTTGATGGCGTTAAATGCAGTCACATTGTGGTGCAACCATCTCCACCATCCGTCTCCAGAACTTTTCCATCATCCCAAACTCAAATTCTGTCCTGACCCCACTAAACACTATGTCCAGCTTCCTCCCCCAGGCCTGGCACCCACCATTCTGCTTCCATCTCTCTGAATCTGAGGACTCTGGGGACCTGATGTGGGTGGGATCCTGTGGTTTTTGTCTTTTGTGTCTGGCTTATTTCACTGGGCATAATGTCCTTCAGGTTTATCCACATTGGAGCATGTGTCAGGAGTCCCTGCATTGTTGCTTTTTTTTTTTTTTTTTTGAGACAGAGTCTCGCTGTGTCACCCAGGCTGGCGTGCAGTGGTGTGATCTCGGCTCACTGCAAGCTCCGCCTCCTGGAGTTCAAGACCAGCTTGAACTCCTGGGTTCATGCCATTATCCTGCCTCAGCCTCCCCAGTAGCTGGGACTATAGGCACCCGCCACCACGCTCGGCAAATTTTTTGTATTTTTAGTAGAGACGGGGTTTCACCATGTTAGACAGGATGGTCTCGATCTCCTGACCTCGTGATCCGCCCACCTCGGCCTCCCAAAATGTTGGGATTACAGGCATGAGCCACCGTGCCTGGCTTGCCTGGAGACATTTCTACTGCTACCTTACCGATCAGGGTATCCAGTATCTCCGTGATTACCTTCATCTGTCCCTGGAAACTGTGCCTGCCACCCTACGCTGCAGCCGTCCAGGGACTGGCAGGCCTCGGCCTAAAGGTCTGGAGGGTGGGCGACCTGCAAGACTCACAAGAGGGGAAGCCGACAGACATACCTACAGACGGAGTGCTGTGCCCCTGGTGCCGATAAGAAAGCTGAGGCTCGGGCTGGGTCAGCAACCGAATTCCAGTTTAGAGGCAGATTTGGTCGTGGACATGGCCAGCCACCTCCGTAAAATTAGAGAGGATTATTTTGCATTGAATACACTCACAGCCAAAAAACAAAAAAAAAAGAGTCAGGGTCTTACTTTGTCAACTAGGCAGGAGTGCAATGATGCCATCATAGCTCACTGCAGTCTCTAATTCCTGGGCTCAAGTGATCCCCCCGCGTCAGTCTCCCAAGTAGCTAGGACACCATACCAGGGTTTAAAATTAATTGTTTGTAGCCAGGGGGTCTTGCCATCTTGCCCAAGCTGTTCTCCAACTCCTGGGCTCCAGTGATCCTCCTGCCTTGGCCTCTCAAAATATTGGGATTACAGGCATAAGCCACTGTGCCCAGCCAGCTCTTTTGGATATATACCCAGAAGTGTGTGATTGCTGAATCATAGGGTAGTTCTATTTATAACTTTTTATTTTTTTTATTTTTTTGAGGCAGAGTCTCACTCTGTCTTCCAGGCTGGAGTGCCGTGGCATGATCTCGGCTCATGGTGGTTGGGCCTGGCCGCAACACAGCCCTCATCAGCGTCCCATGCCAACCAAGCACAACTCTGCACCTGTCCCTGGCCAGCACTGTGGGACAAGAGTCCAGTCCAAAGTGACAGAGTCTCTGTCTGGAAGGAAGATGGCCTCCCTGCTCAGCCACATCACATCACCTTGACTTTGCTGGGCCCTGGCCTTCCAAGGTGGAAGCCAGCAACCTAGATGCCTTGGGCTTGTCTCCTAACATCAAGCAGTGAGGGTCAGGGTCAAGAGAGGCGGCTGAGCTACCAGAAGGAAGCCCAGGAGTGTCCACGCCGGCAGACACATGCATCAGTTCTGTGCACACGTGTTCACGTTTATAATTATCCAGTTAATTAAAAAAAAAAAACAGCATTATAGGCTGGGCACAGTGGCTCATGCCTGTAATTGCAGCACTTTGGGAGGCCAAGGCAGGCAGATCACCTGAAGTCAGGAGTTCAAGACCAGCCTGACCAACATGGCGAAACCCCGTCTCTACTAAAAATACAAAAATTAGCCAGGCATGGTGGCAGGTGCCTGTCATCCCAGCTACTCGGGAGTCTGAGACACAAGAATTGCTTTAGCACAGGAGGCAGAGGTTGCAGTGAGCCAAGACTGCACCATTGCACTCCAGTCTGGGCAACAGAGAGAGACTCGGTCTCAAACAACAACAACAGCAACAAAACCCACAGCATTATTGTGATAGAATTCACATACCATGCAACTCTCCCATCTAAAGTGTACAACCTGGTTGGGCGCGATGGATCATGCCTGTAATCCCAGCACTTTGGGAGGCCGATGTGGGAGGACTGCTTGAGGCCAGGAGTTTGAGACCAGCCTAAGCAACATAACAAGAATCTGACTCTACAAAAAACACAAAAACTAGCCAGGTGCAGTGGTACATGCCTGTGGTCCCAGGTAGTTGGGAGGTTGAGGTGGGAGGATGGCTTGAGCCCCGGAGGTTGAGGCTGCAGTGAGCTGTGATCATACCAGTGCACTCTAGCCTGGGTGACAGAGTGAGATCCTTTCTTAAAATAAGTAAATAGGCCGGGCACAGTGGCTCATGCCTGTAATCCCAGCACTTTGGGAGGCCAAGGCGGGTGGATCACCTGAAGTCGGGAGTTCGAGACCAGCCTGACCAACATGGCGAAACTGCGTCTCTACTAAAAATACAAAATTGGCCAGGCGTGGTGGTGCATGCCTGTAATCCCAGCTACTCGGGAGGCTGAGGCAGGAGAATCGCTTGAACCTGGGAGGCAGAGGTTGCAGTGAGCTGAGATCATGCCATTGCACTCCAGCCTGGGCAACAAGAGTGAAACTCCATCTCAAAAAAAAAAAAAAAAAAAAACCAGAAAAAGTAAATAAAAATTGAAGTGTACAATTCTATGGTTTTGGGTATATTCACAGTTGTGCAGCCATCCCAAGTCAATTTTAGAACATTTTCAGCACCTCAAGGAGGAAGCTTGGTACTTTTTAGCTCTTCTCCCCACCCCCGCCGTGCTGCTTCTGTCTCTGTGGGTTTCATAGGAACTGAGTCATGTAACATGTGGAACATTTGTGTCTTGCGTCTGTCACTTAGTACGGTGCTTTTGAGGCTCACCCACACCGCAGCGTGAGTTAGAGCTGTGTCCTTTCTGATTGCCAAGTAATATCTCATTGCATGGTCTAGCTGGGTTGACATCCCATTGCACACTCTAGCTGGGCTGTGAAGGAGCAGGCTGCTTGTGCACATGGGTAACAGATGGATGTACAGTGAGACGTCAGTCTGTGCACATGGGTAACAGGTGGGTGCACCGTGAGGTGTTGGTCTATGCACATGGGTAACAGGCGGGTGTGCAGTGAGACGTCAGTCTGTGCACATGGGTAACAGGTGGGTGCACAGTGAGGTGTTAGTCTGTGCACATGGGTAACAGGCGGGTGTGCAGTGAGATGTCAGTCTGGTGCGCGTGGGTAACAGGCAGGTGTGCAGTGAGGCGTCAGTCTGGTGCACGTGGGTAACAAGTGGGTGTGCAGTGAGGCGTCAGTCTGTACACGTGGGTAACAGGTGGATGTGCAGTGAGGTGTCAGTCTGGTGCACGTGGGTAACAGGCGGGTGTGCAGTGAGATGTCAGTCTGTGCACATGGGTAACAGGTCGGTGTGCAGTGAGACGTTGGTCTGTGCACATGGGTAACAGGCAGGTGTGCAGTGAGATGTCCTCTCCTCCTGCCGGCCACACGTCCCCGCTCCCAGGGCACAGATGTGCCAGTCACTTTCTGAGCAACTACTTCAAATCTTCAGAACAACCCTTCAAGAAGTATTTCTAGTTTACTGATGAAGATAGACAGACAGATATAAACAACTTGCCCAAAGCCACGTTGCCAGTCAGGGCCACTGAGGCCTGGCCCGTTCCAAGGTGCGGGCTCATCTCTCCCTCCCCAGGACTGCAGGAATCAGTCGGGGGAGCGGCAGGCCCCAGCCATTCCACTGCGTGCAGGTTTCCTGCCAATTAAGCTTTCCAGCCTTGGGCTGAGAAGAGGATGCCTGTGTGTTGCCTCATCGTCCCCAGGAGTTCCTGTCCTGTCTCTAAGATGCATGAGGGCTGGAGCAGCCATGTGGTTACAGAAAGCTGCTCCCCCTCAGGGCCCCCAGAGGAAGTCAGGGCCCTTCCTTTATGCGTGTGGTGAGCCCCAGGCAGCTAGAATGGGACACCGGTGAGCACACCAATGAGGCTGAAGACCATCACATCCATTATCTGAGCACGGATGGCCCAGCTACCTGTGGAAAGCACCACAAGCCTTTGCTGGCGGAAGTGGGTTGGTGACTTGTTCCACTTTTCTCTTATTTATTTATTTATTTTGAGACGGAGTTTCGCTCTTGTTGCCCAGGCTGGAGTGCAATGGCACGATCTCGGCTCACCACAACCTCCACCTCCCGGGTTCAAGCGATTCTCCTGCCTCAGCCTCCCTAGCAGCTGGGATTACACGCATGCACCATCACGCCTGGCTAATTTTGTATTTGTAATAGAGATGGGGTTTCTCTATGTTGGTCAGGCTCGTCTCAAACTCCTGACCTCAGGTAATCCACCCGCCTCAGCCTCCCACAGTGCTGGGATTATAGGCGTGAGCCACCGCTCTGTTCCTGGTTTTGTCTTCTTTCTCTTAAACAGGACCCCGCATTTTATGAGCGTCAAGCCTCACCCAGCCTAACTCCGCCCTTGGTTTGTCCTCTTAGAGTCTCAGTTTCCCCAGGTGTACGACAGGCAGTGTGGTGGCTGTAATGGGCTTCCATCAGTGCCTGCCACATGGGCGTGGGGCTCGGTAGGTGCTGCCGCTGCTGCTGCCAAAGCTAGAAGAGCCCCCACAGGGCATAGAGCCATTCCCTGGATCCCCTGGACCTGGTGGGCTGTTTCCAGCTCCACAAGGCAGCCAATTCCCCGGTAGCCCTGACTCTTGCGAAGGCAGGGAGGAGGGGGGGCCCCAGCAGCCTGAGGAGCTTGCAGCTTGTCCAGGCATGGAGGGTGGGGACCCTCTGTGGGCAGTTTTTGCCAAAACTTCTGGCTATGGTGAGAGGGTCAAAGGCGAAGCCTCGAGGTCTCCATTCTGGGAGTGTCTGCCCAGGGTCACCGGGGCCACACTGGGGCTGGGCCTGCGTGCTGGGAGCTGAGTGCATAGTGACAGGTCAGCACTGGTAGGGGCCTGTGCAGATGGGACGGCGCTGGGGGTGGGGGTGGGGGTCCGGGCTTCCAGGCGGCGCCTAATGTGGTTTTGGTTATAGACACTGCCTGTGTTTCCCTCTAAGCTGCTGAAAAGCTCAGAAATGTGCAGCAGGGCCTGGAGCTCAGCCTGGGTTCTGACTGCATGTGGGAGGTGGGCGCTGGGACGACTGGGAGTTCAGGCTGCATGGAGCCACTTCCTGGGTTTAAAAACGGGCTCTTCACCTGCCACCTGTGTGCCCGGGCAAGGCCTTCTCTGCCTCTCTGAGCTTTGGTTTCCCTGTGTGTGCAAGACAGATGAATCACAGGCCCTGCCCCATGGAGTGATTGGAAGATTCAGTGTGATGATTTATATGGAGGGCTGTCGCTTCTTTGAACCCTTCCCACCGAGGTGTGGGGTGATGTCGCCTTGCCCTGAGCCTGGGCAGGTGCTCCTGGTGGGAGTGGTGAACAGGATGCCGCAGGAGCAGTGCTTTGTGACTCTGGAAGCCAGGGCAGAAAAGACATCGTGTCCATCTGGCTCTTTCTGGAAATGCACCCTTGGAGCCCTGAGCACTGCATAGAAGCCAGCTGGGTCCCCAGGGAATGACCGTGGCAGGCATTCCTGGAGGGTCTCTGCCGAGTCAGTCCCACATCAGGGCCCGGACCAGCCTGGAACTAGGAGAGATGATGGGGACTACGTGACTCTGGTCTTTCCTGCCCTAGTTCAGGACAGCTTGTTCCTTAACTGGAGGAAACCAGGAAAGCAGCCCAGAAGCTGCAGATGAGCCCATCCCTGGGTGAGGACTGCTGAGTCCGAGGGGGTGAGAGGCAGAGCTGGGATTTGAAGCCAAGGCCATCTGCCCTTGAGCCTGAGGCCACCACGGCCCCGTCCTGCCCTGCACTGCCCACCAATCAGGAGTTAGATTCAACCACACTTCTAGCATTTTCCATCAGAAGGCCATCATTCTAAAGTTTCATGGACTCCCAAAAGGTAATAGCTCTCTCTGGGAACCAGCTGACTGAAAGCACCCGCAGCAACAAAAAGCGACTTTAACCTTAGTGATTGGGCTGGTGGATTTTCGTTTCGTGACAGGCAGCAGCAGCCTGTGCATTCCACAGCAGACGTGTGTGTGTGAGTGTTGGCCACAGCTGGGCCTTAAACTCAACTGCACATTTCACCAAGAACCAGACATGCTCCTTATTCCATTACATGGTGAGAATGCTGCTCTAGTGTGGATTTTTTTTTTTTTTGGAGACGGATTCTCGAGCTGTCACCCAGACTGGAGTGCAGTGGCATGATCTCGGCTCACTGCAACCTCCATCTCCTGGGTTCAAGCGATTCTCCTGCCTCAGCCTCCTGAGTAGCTGGGATTACAGGAGTGTGCCACCACACCCAGCTAATTTTTGTATTTTTAGTAGAGATGGGGTTTTGCCATGTTGGCCAGGCTGGTCTTGAACTCCTGACCTCAGGTGATCTACCCACCTCGGCCTCCCTAAGTGCTGGGATTACAGGTGTGAGCCACCGCGCCCGGGCTACTGTGGATGTTTAACATCTCCATTTCACAGGCGAGGAAGCTGAGGCTCAGAGGTGCGCAGCTCAGGAGTGGTGGATCAGGGCTCTGGACCCAGGAGTCCAACTGTGGGGCTCTCTGATACACTGTGCTATGGGAGAAGCTCCCAGAAGTCCTAGGCTAGGAGCCTCTAGGCGAGAGGGTTGTTCAAGTCTCTTCCCATTCCCTGACCCGTGAAGCATAGACTCTTGCCCCCAAGGCTGGGTCTTTTACCTCCTAAGGTCTTTTTTTTTTTTTTTTTTTTTGAGATGAGTCTCGCTGTGTCACTCGGCCTGGAGTGCAGTGGCACAATCTCAGCTCACTGCAACCTCCATCTCCCAGATTCAAGCAATTCTCCCGCCTCAGCCTCCCGAGTAGCTGGGATTACAGGCACCCGCCACCATGCCTGGCTAATTTTTGTAGTTTTAGTAGAGATAGGCTTTCACCATGTTGGCCAGGCTGGTCTTGAACTCCTGACCTAAGGTGGTCTGCCTGCTTTGGCCTCCCAAAGTGTTAGGATTACAGGCTTGAGCCACCGCACTCAGCCTCTTAAGGTCTTTTAATTTCTCAAAGGTCTAACTCGGCCAGGCGCGGTGGTTCACGCCTGTAATCCCAGCAATTTGGGAGGCCAAGGTGGGCGGATCACTTGAGGTCAGGAGTTTGAGATCAGCCTGGCCAACATGGTGAAACCCCGTCTCTACTAAAAATACAAAAATTAGCCAGGCATGGTGGTGGGCGCCGGTACTTCCAGCTACTCAGGAGGTTGAGGCAGGAGAATCAATTGAACCTGGAAGGCGGAGGTTGCAGTGAGCCGAGGTCGCGCCATTGCACTCCAGCCTGGGCAACAGAGCGAGATTCTATCTCAAAAAAAAAAAAAAAAAAAGAGTCTAACTCTTTATTTTCAGCTGAGGGGATGAGCCCAGAGATCAGCATCAGGACCAGAGCTCAGTCCGCGGTGGCACTTCCTCCCCTGTCCCGGGCATCATTCCTCCCCTGTGGTTTGCCTAGAAAATTCTGACTTACCCCATGGGGAAGAAATGCTCCAGAACCTTCCCCAGGAGGAAAACAGCCCTTGGGTAAAGGGTCCTTCACAGCCAGCTCTTTTCTTTCCCACCAAGAGGTGGGACCACCTGGTGTGGAAGGTGGAGGCTGGCTGGGAAAACAACCCCTCCCCAGGTTTCCTCTGGCTGTGGAGCCGCGCGGAGGAAGAGGATGGGGCGTCAGAGCTCTCAGAACCGTGGCCTTGTGAAGTTTCTGAGCAGGCAGATGGGGCGGCGGGGGGTGATCTGGTCCCAGTCCCAGGAGGCCGCCCCGAAGCCAGCATCAAGGCGAAGGCCACGTACAGATCAAACGGCTCCTTGAACCGCGAGGAAGGGCTTGCCCCAGCTCCATCTGGACCAGCCCGCACCATTGTTAACACAGGTTGAAGCCTCATCCTTCCGCACATCTGAGGCTTGCGTTGACTCCTTCTGCCCTGGAATTCTTTTGTTTGCTGCTGAATAAATAAACTACATTTCTTTGGAATTTCTCCTTCTCCCTCAAAGCCTTTTCTCAGCTGATCTTGGAGAAAGGCGACACTCTTGTCCCCGTCATCTTTTCGAGCTGTGCTGGATGCAGGGAAGCGTATGGAGAGCTGGGCGCTGGATGCAGGGAAGCGTGTGGAGAGCTGGGCGCTGGATGCAGGGAAGCGTGTGGAGAGCTGGGCCGGAGAGCCGCGGTTTGGGCAGGTTTCTCTCTGCCCTTGGGCTTGGGGTCGGACAGGGACGTTCAAGGAGATGCTGGGTGGTACATGAGTCAACATTCTTAAATGTTATTAGTTAGGGATTTGAGGTTTTTGTTTCAATCTGTTTTCAAACAAACATTATCATTAGTGAATATCATCACCCAGGACAAGGCTAAAAATTTTTCGAGCTAATCAATTTAAAGAAAAATATTAAGTAGGCTGGGCGCGGTGATTCACGCCTGTAATCCCAGCACCTTGGGAGGCCAAGGCGGGCGGATCACCTGAAGTCCCCAGTTTGAGACCAGCCTGGCCAACATGGTGAAACCCCGTCTCTACTAAAAATACAAAAATTAGCTGGGTGTGGTGGCGCACACCTATTGTCCCAACTGCATGGGAGGCTGAGGCAAGAGAATTGCTTGAACCCGGGAGGCGGAGGTTGCAGTGAGCCGAGATCGCGCCACTGCATTCCAGCCTGAGTGACAGAGGGAGACTCCTCGAAAAAATAAAAAAGAAAAGAAAAATATTCAGTAGAAAGTTGTCCCATTGGCAGGCAGATACGTCAAAGTCTTCAGGATCTTGCCTGCATGACTGAATTTTGGGAACTTCCATTGAGCCCAACACCCTTATTTTATGGAGGAGGAAACAGGGTCCCAGAGCAGTGGTGACGCATTCAAAGTCAGAGAGAGCTAGCTGTGGACACACGAGCATCAACCCTGCAGAATCCTGTTTCCAGAACTGGAATCACAGCGCCTCGGCGGGGCTCTTTCCACTATGAGATTTCTTTTTCCTTGCAAATGAATCGCTGCACTAAACAATTTTGCTTGTCAAATTATGCTGATTTCTTTCTTTTCTTTTTTTTTTTTTTTGAGATAGGATTTCACTCTTGTCACCCAGGCTGGAGTGCAACAGCGCAATCTCAGCTCACTGCAACCTCCACCTCTGGGTTCAAACGATTCTCCTGCCTCAGCCTCCCGAGTAGCTGGGATTGCAGGCATGTGCCACGACACCCTGCTAATTTTGTATTTTTAGTGGAGGCGGGATTTCTCCATGTTGGTCAGGCTGGTCTCGAACTCCCGACCTCAGGTGATCCACCTGCCTCAGCCTCCCAAAGTGCTGGGATCACAGGCGTGAGCCTCCGCGCCCGGCCTGCTGATTTCAAATATGCAGCTTACCTTATGTTTTACTTCCAGCAAGATGTCCACCAGCCTCTGCAGCATCTGATGATGGGCCCCGAGCTGCGTGGCAGACACACAAGGGGTTAGCTGAAAAGGCAATGGGTGGCGGGGGGAAGCTCACTCCACTGTAAATACACCACGTTTTAAAAGCAATCCTAGGCCAGGCACGGTGGCTCACGCCTGTGATCCCAGCACTTTGGGAGGCCGAGGTGGGCAGATACCTAAGGTCAGGAGTTTGAAACCAGCCTGGCCAATATGGTGAAACCCTGTCTCTACTAAAAATACAAAAATTAGCTGGGTGTGGTGGCACACTCCTATAGTCCCAGCTACTGGGGAGGCTGAGGCAGGAGAATCACTTGAACCCAGGAGGTGGAGGTTGCAATGAGCCGAGACCACGCCACTGCACTCCAGCCTGTGTGACACAGCGAGTCCTGTCTCAAAAAAAAAAAGCAATCCTAATGATGGATCACCACTTTCTTCATTAGATCTACACCCCAGCAAGTGATTACCTTTAAAAACACGCCTATCACAGAAAGCATTCTCTCCCACGACAGCTTCCTTGTAATTTTGGTATTTCACAGAATTCCAGTGAACTAAATGCAGCTGAAACACAATGGAAAGAGAACTTAAATTGATCAGCAAGAAATAAGACAGTCACTTCCCCTTCTGAATGGCTGACCTATGTGTCCACTTAATCATAATGAAATGGCCAGGCGTGGTGGCTCACACCTGTAATCCCAGCACCTTGGGAGGCCGAGGTGGGTGGATCACGAGGTCAGGAGATCAAGACCATCCTGGCTAACATGGTGAAACCCCGTCTCTACTAAAAATACAAAAAAAAAAAATTAGCCGGGCATGGTGATGGGCGCCTGTAGTCCCAGCTACTCAGGAGGCTGAGGCAGGAGAATGGCATGAACCCAGGAGGTAGAGCTTGCAGTGAGCTGAGATTGTGCCTCTGCGCTCCAGCCTGGGTGACAGAGCGAGACTCCGTCTCAAAAAAAAAAAAAAAGAACTAAGTTGTTGCAGCCAGATGTGTAAGATCCCAGCACCAGCAGCACCTCTGAGCTCCCAGGCACTTGACGAAGCCATGGGAAGGAAGAGCCTCAGTCTTCCTGGTGGTGGGAAAAAGGAGAGGATCATGTTAACCTCATCCAATAGAAATGGGTGGTTTCATTATTTTCTACTTCCTAGTTATCCTTGGACAAGGATTACCAGAAAAAACTCAGGCCTCGGCTGGGCGTGGTGGCTCACGCCTGTAATCCCAGCACTCTGGGAGGCCGAGGCGAGTGGATCACGAGGACAGGAGTTCAAGACCCGCCTGGCCAAGATGGTGAAACCCCGTCTCTACTAAAACTACAAAAATTAGCTGGGCGCGGTGGCAGGTGCCTGTAATCCCAGCTACTCAGGAGGCTGAGGCAGGAGAATCACTTGAACCTGGGCAGCAGAGGTTGCAGTGAGCCAAGATCGCGAGATCATGCGATCGCGCCACTGCACTCCAGCCTGGGGAACAGAGTGATACTCAGTCTCAAAAATAAATAAATAAATAAAATATCTGTTCATCAAAAACAAAGTTGCAGATAGAGATACTAAAATAAAAGGCATGTTGTTAAATGAAAGGAAGCACACAGAAGCCATTGTTGTGCTCATTCTTGGAACTATTTATAAATATGTGTATGATGATGACAATAGATATCACTCCCTATTTATAAAATGTCCAGAGGTCACCTCTGGGTGTGCGATTACAAGCAATTTTCATTTTTTGGTTTGGGTGCACTCTAGTTCCACATTAACTGCAGCATTACTTTCATAACAACAACAAGTTCAAAAAACAGAAAGAGTCCTCAACTTGAAAAAGCATCAAGAAGTCAGGTGAGTGGGTGAGCAGAGGTGTGATAAAGTGAATATGGCAAAAATGATCATCACAGGACTGAGACGTCAAACTCATAGATTCTTCTCGTTCATTTCTTTTCATTTTTTCATATGTTGCAAAAATTTCATAATAAAATATTTGGGGAAATCTATAAGGCATCACTTATCACCCAAAAAAACTACAAAAACCAATTCCCAGCATTGATCCGCACTCATTTTCTCTACTGACTCCCACTTTGGAATGTTGAAAATAAGACTGCTTTAAGAAGATGATCTTGGCTGGGTGCAGTGGCTCACGCCTGTTATCCTAGCATTTTGGGAAGCTGAGGTGGGTGGATCACTTGAGGTCAGGAGTTCGAGACTAGCCTGGCCAACATGGCAAAACCACATCTCTACTAAAAATACAAAAATTAGCAGGGCCTGGTGGCACGCACCTGTAATCCCAGCTACTCGGAAGGCTGAGGCAGGAGAATCGCTTGAGCCTGGGAGACGGAGGTTGTGGTGAGCCAAGATTGCACCAATGCACTCCAGTCTGGGTGACAGAGTGAACCCTGTTTCAAAAAAACAAAAAACAAACAAACAAAAGAAGATGATCTCTATTGCAAAGATGTTCAGCTTCTCAGCGGAGGGCCTTGTGGATTTGCTAGTCCCTACAGCTGCAAGCACACAGCTGAGTGAAGCGTGGCAAAGAGCTCAAGCTCTGACTTTGAATCCCAGCTGTCTGGCTTTGGCAAGTTCCGTAACCATTCAGAACCTCAGTCTCTTCTTCCGTTAAATGAGAGAACTTAAAGTGCCTTCTTCGTAGGAGAGGAGTGTGACTAAACGGGTGGGGCGGCCGACGGTTCTGGTTTGAGCACTGACAGTCCCAGGCCCCAGGAAATCCTTCACATCTGAGCGGCAGGCATGGCTTGTTCGCCCCCCACCATAGAGCCGGAGACATGGAAAGCGTCCAGATATGTGCCGTTAGGCCACGTCTACAAACCTCTGCGGGGTACACGTGGCCGTCCACTGTGTGCTCTGAGCCCCCCTCATTCACTGCTCCCCAGTGGAAGTGAAATTGCTTCAGTCTGTAGTGGTTTTCCAAGGGCCCGCCACTAATTCCTGGAAATAAAGGCAGCGAGACGTGTGTGTCATTTTGTCTGTTTGTTGAGCTGTGGTGTTACCTGAGGCATTGTCTACATTAGGGTTATATGAGTTCACTCGCAAGGGGTTGCTGTATGGTTGAAGTGACAAGCCAAAGGTGGGCTCCGTGAAAGGTGGGCTCTGTCTGTCCCATTCACTCTGCCCCCCGCCAGCCCAGCGCCTGCCCAGAGGTTCACAGTAAATGTGGAATGAAGGCAGGGTCCCAGTGCTGCCACTGGGTGGTGGTGAGGGCCTCATCTCCCTGCAGGCAGAAATCGATAAAGAAAGTTTCTGAGATGCCTGCCTGTCCTATAAGATTTCCAGACTTTAATTTAAAAAAAAAAGATGTCTTCCAAATATTTTTTAAAAGCAGCTTAAATCCTATCACCAAATAACATTATAAAATAACACAATGAGCAAAGTTTTTGTTTTGTTTTATTTTAAGACAGAATCTTACTCTATCGCCCAGGCTGGAGTACAATGGCATGATCTCAGCTCACTGCAACCTCCACCTCTGGGTTCTAGCGATTCTCCTGCCCCAGCCTCCTGAGTAGCTGGGATTACAGGCATGTGCCACCAGGCCAAGCCAATTTTTGTATTTTAAGTAGAGACAGGGTTTCACCATGTTGGCCAGGCTGGTCTCAAACTCCTGATCTCAGGTGATCCACTCGCCTCTGCCTCCCAAAGTGCTGGGATGACAGGTGTGAGCCACCGCTCCTGGGTGAGCAAGGTTTTTAAATAAGCAGACCCTGAGCTATAGCATCAGTCCTGATCTCTGGCAGTCCCTGCTTAATCTAGGCCCACCACAGGGCCAGCTTTTATTGGAACACTCCTTCCGTCCTAAGTCACCCTAAACACTCGCCTTGGAGTCAGCGCTCTCCACCTGCAGGACTTGGGGTGCCCCTCTCCATGGCACAGTGCCAGGTGCAGCCTCCCAGGAGCTTCCTTCTCCTGACACGTGGGGCTCAGCCATAAGCATCGCTCACTGAGGCCTCTGGCTCTGCCTCACAGAGTCATGGCTGCCATCCCCAGGTCCAGGTAGTGCTGGGAGTCTGCCTTTTAACGAGCTCCCCAGGGGTTCTGATGTGGGTGGCTTCTCCTGTGTCTAAGCACTTTGTCACTAACAGATTTCCATCAACAGCTGCTACAAATGTGGTACCTATTCCACACGTTTTCATTGAAAGGAGCACAGTGTGCTCCTGGGATGGCTGGGCAAGGCTGGAAGGCGCCAGCAGAACTGGAGCACTGATCACGAATTCGCGGTGGCCCGAGTGCCTCCCGTAGCTGTGGAGGAGCCTCGTGTCACCCGCCTTGCTCATGTCACCTCCCGCTGTGGCAAAAGCCAGGAAAGCACTGAGCGCATGACGAATGCCTTGGGGAGCTTGACACTGCTGACTCCTGGTGGTTTCCTGACACCAAAAGTACTTGGGCTGGGCGTGGTGGCTCACACCTGTAGTCCTAGCACTTTGGGAGGCCGAGACGGGTGGATCACTTGAGGTCAGGAGTTAGAGACCAGCCTGGCCAACGTGGTGAAACCCATCTCTACTAAAAATACAAAAATTAGCTGGGTGTGGTGGCGGGCGCCTGTACTCCCAGCTACTCAGGAGGCTGAGGCAGGAGAATTGCTTGAACCTGGGAGGTGGAGGTTGCAGTGAGCTGAGAACGTGCCACTGCACTCCAGCCTGGGCGACAGAGTGAGACTCAGTCTCAAAAAAAAAAAAAAAAAAGTACTCATAGTTGGAGGCACCAAGGTGTAAACTGGAAAATGGAAAATGGATTTGGCTTTGGTCCAGTCAGGGGCTAGGCAAGTGCTGGACCAAGCCACAGAGCTGCTCACTGCCCCTCTTCACTCAAAATCTCAGTGTTGGTCTGGAGCAACCTCGGAGTCATATGTAGTTTTAAAATTCTACCATTATGAGCAAGTCTTCTATTCTCCTTAAATATACACAGATGAATTACATCTCAATTTTTAAAAATACACAGAAAGAGTGCTTCACACAATCAGCACATAAAATCACTTTGTTAGGCCAGGCACAGTGGCTCACGCCTGTAATCCTAGCACTTTGGGAGGCCAAGGCAGTTGTATCACTTGAGATCAGGTGTTCAAAACCAGCCTGGCCAACATGCTAAAACCTTGTCTTTACTAAAAATACAAAAAATTAGCCAGGTGTGTTGGTGGGTGCCTGTAATCCCAGCTACTTGGGAGGCTGAGGCAGGAGAATCGCTTGAACCTGGGAGGTGGAGGTTGCAGTGAGCCGAGATCGTGCCAATGCACTCCAGCCTGGGCGATAGAGCGAGACTCTGTCTCAAAAACAAAACACAGGCGTGAGCCACTGTGCCTGGCCTCCAAAACACAATGTAAGGAACTTACAGAACCACAAAATGCAAGCACGGTGAGCTCTGTGCTCGCTTCGCCTCGGCCTGTGTCCGTGGTAGAAAGGGGGTTTGCAGCCTACCAGCCCCAGCGGCATCAAAGTGCATTGATGGGTGGCTGAGGGTGGAGCCTGCCAGGGGGTCTGCCTCTCGCTCTTGGGATGGGCTCACTCATGATAAGTTTACTGTGTGGAAATTCATGCATGTCTGTATCATCTCTTCTAGAATAGAAATGCCTAGAAGGCAGGGATGATGGATGCTTCATGGACAAGTTAGACTGGACCCAGCCTGGTAGATGTCATTTGTAAGACTGAGTTAAGTCCCATCCAGTTGCACTCTTAGGACAGAGGCTGTTTCTGGGCTGGGCATGGTGGCTCACGCCTGTAATCCCAGCACTTTGGGAGGCCAAGGTGGGAGGATCACCCAAGGTCAGGAATTCAAGACCAGCCTGACCAACATGGTCAAATCCCACCTCTACTAAAAATACAAAAAATTAGCCACGTGTGGTGGCAGGTGCCTGTAATCCCAGCTACTTGGGAGGCTGAGGCAGGAGAATTGCTTGAACCTGGTAGGCGGAGGTTAAAGTGAGCCAAGATCGCGCCACTGCACTCCAGCCTGGGCAACAAGAGCGAAACTCAGTCTCAAAAAAAACCAAAAACAAACAAACAAAAATGGCTGTTTCCGTCTGGACCATCACTGTATCAACACGACTTAGTGCAGGAAGGGGTCATTGAAGGCACACAACGAACCCTCACGGGATGAATGAATACAGGAATGAATGGGATTAGTCAGTTCATTGATTTATTCATCGAATCACTCGGTCGGTAAGCAGCTCTGTGTGTTACAGTGGAATCGAGCCTTTCCCACGGCAGTTTGGGAACCGCCTGGGATTTCTAGGAAAGTCCACAGAACACAGAAATAGTTAAAGACCTGGATTTGCAACTCAGCTCTGCTTCTAACTTGCTGTGTGACCCTGGGCAAGTAGCTTAGCCTCTCTGAGCCTAAGCCTCTCTACCTGTTAAACGAGAAGAGCGGGAAGGATAAATGGAGACAAGGCAGGAGGCATTTTGTAAAGTGTTGTCTGATGATGGCAGTGGTGGTGATTGTGCATCGCACACCATTCAGGGGCTCCGCAGCTTCATCTGTGTAAAGAGAGTTACTACACGTTTCTCCTGGTCCCAGCTCAAGCACTCTAGGGTTCTACGTAGGCACATAAATAGGGTTCCAAAGAGCGACGCCAACTGCATAAGGCATAAGTCCACTGACAGCCGATGCCTGCCAGACCCCCACCCACAAAACCTAGTAGAAAAGTCACCCTCCAGAATGTGGCCAACCAACAAGGGCCAGGAACAGGAGCTGCTGGGACCAGAAGGGACTTGTGAGCCCTGAGCCTCTGCAGGGTAAGGTGCTGTGCTAACTCTGGGGCTAGAAGACTTTCCCAAGGGTTTCCAGCAGGGCTGGAGCCCACAGGCATCTCTTCACCTTTCCCGACCCCGAGCTGTCCCAGAATTCTTCTTCTTCTTTTTTTTTTTTTTTTTTTTTGAGACGGAGTTTCACTCTGTCGCCCAGGCTGGAATGCAGTGGCGTGATCTCAGCTCACTGCAACCTCCGCCTCCCGGGTTCAAGAGATTCTCCTGCCTCAGCCTCCCAAGTAGCTGGTACTACAGGTGGGCACCACCACACCCGGCTATTTTTTTTTTTTTTTGTATTTTTAGTAAAGACGGGGTTTCACCATGTTGGCCAGGATGATCTCGATCTCCTGACCTCATGATCCGCCCCCCTTGGCTTCCCAAAGTGCTGGGATTACAGGCGTGAGCCACCGTACCCAGCCTGTCACAGAATTCTTTACTGCGGCAGCCTCTGATGGGCTGGATCCTCCGCCTCTCTACTCATTGGAGTAAGAGACAAGTCAGCCCTTTCCAATCTGCCTCCTGAGGGGAACCATGGGGCCCTCGGGACATGCGGCCCCTCCTCAGGCTGGCTCGGGGCATCTGCACCCCTGTACCTGAGCAAGGGACTTGCTTGAAACGGCGGCCACCCTGGGCTGGGGACCAAGCACGCTCAGGGGAAAACCCAAAAAGGCTACTGTGTCTCACTGGCTCTATGATACGCAAATGAGGAGGGAAGCGAAACGTTCGTTCTTCTAAGAGGGTAACTGCAAAGGAAGTCTGGGCCGCTGCGTTTTCGGGAACAGCAGGTGCGGTGGCCGATGGATAACTCGGGCTGGGCTGGAGCGGCCCCTGGTGGCAGTTCGGTGAAGAGGCACCCGGAACCTGGCAACGTGGCCCGCGCGGGGCGCACGCATATCAGGAAGACACAGAGGCCTTTTTACTGAAAATGCCAGCGGGTGCGGATTCCACAGGCTCCTCTTCAGCATCAGTCTAGTGTGGGATTCATACACCTTGAGCCTCTTTCAAGGTGAAACAGAGAATCTCACTGAAAACTTTAAATCCCACTGTAAATTCCAAAATTAGACCTGCGCCGCGAAGACCGCCCACCAGCAAAATGCCAAGCGTATTTCTTTAAAAACTGGAAAGCCGTGTTTCGCTGCTCTTCCTGTAGACAATACAGCATGGGGGCAGGAGTGGGGTCTGGAGTCGGACGCACGTTCAGAGGCTGGGGTCACTTCTCCCAAACCGTGTGCAGTCGGACGCACGTTCAGAAGCTGGGGCCGCCACTCCCAAACTGTGTGCTCTAGGTCCAGCTTTTGCACCCCTCCTAGCCTCAGTTTCCCCATCTGTAAAGTGGGGATGATCCTTGAACCCCCACCATAGGACTGCTGTTACGATTAAGTCACATGGGAAATACGAAGTCCTTAGCACAACGCTTGACATAAAGGAAGCACTCTAAAACAAACAAACAAACAAACAAAAAACAACGAACTGGAAGCCACTGAAGCCTTCATGGGGTGAAACAGCTGATTAAGGGGCAAAGGCTCTCGCTGGCCAGGTTCTGGCGTGTCCCGGGCACCACGCATCCTGTCCATGAGCTCACGTCGTTGTCGTGATGGAGAAGGCTTGGTGCATACCAGAGTGCGGCGGAGGAGCTGGCCTTCACTGGGCACCTGCTACCTGCTGGGCATTGCGAGGTAACTTTATGTTCCTCCCAGGATGAACTCCTCACAATGGCCCTACAGAGCAGGTCCTGTGAGTCCAACTTTGAGATGAGGAAATTGAGACGCAGAGAGGTTCGGTCACCTGCCCCATTTTAGCCGGCAACCTCACCCAGGTCTGACGGTCCAGGCCCTCAGCTTTTGTAGTAGGGTTCAGGCCAAACTCTGCTACTTGCCTTGCCAGTAAAGTTAGGGACCCAATTTAAGGCTGCAGACCTGGATAAAATAATCTCAAAGTGACTTCTTTTTTTTTTAGGTGGAGTCTCACTCTGTCACCCAGGCTGGAGTGCGGTAGGGTGCTCTCGGCTCACTGCAACCTCTGCCTCCCAGGTTCCAGTGATTCTCCTGCCTCAGCCTCCTGAGTTGCTGGGACTACAGACAAGTGTTACCACACCCCACTAAATTTTGTTTTTGTTTTTGTTTCTTTGAGATGGAGCCTTGCTCTGTCACCTGGGCTGGAGTGCAATGGCCAGATCTTGGCTCACTGCAACCTCCACCTCCTGAGCTCAAGCGATTCTCTCACCTCTGCTTCCCGAGTAGCTGGGATTATAAGCACCCACCAGCATGCCCAGCTAATTTTTGTATTTTTAGTAGAGGCAGGGTTTCACCATGTTGGCCAGGCTGGCCTTGAACTCTTGACCTCAGGGGATCTGCTGCTTCAGCCTCCCAAAATGCTGGGATTACAAGCATAAGCCACTGTGCCAAGCCTAAAGTGACTTTTCGTAATGACAATACAATGTCAGGATATTCTCCTTAATCAAAAAAAAAAAAAAAAAGGCAAGCCCAATTCACGAAAAGGGGTCTTTAAGCTGCCAGCCCCCATCCCCCAGACTCTGCTATCGGCAGGGCTGGTCCACCGGGCAGCACTGGCCACTGTTGCCTCAGCGTTCTGTGCAAGCAGGTGCGTCAGAACCGGCTCATGGAGATATAATTGAACGATTGCCTCAGCGCGTGCCAGACTCTCCAAACATAATAACAGATGACGTTTGGGGTCGGCTCCAGGCGGTGACGTGCTGGCCCCAGAGAATATTGTCTCTGCTATTACAACAGATGCTGTTAATAGCTATCTATTTGTAGTTCGGGGCTTTTACCAAGATGAGCAGGCTTTTGGCAGGCACGGGTTGTTTGAAGGCTTAAAATTAGTACAAGAGAAGTTTGAGATGTTCTAATTACTGGAAATTTCAAATAACACGATGCCGCAAGGGACCGGTCTGCTTCCGGTGCCACTCTCGGGGGTAATGCACGTTCCCAAGCTGTAAATGGGGAAGGCTGAGGGCTTCTGTGTGCCACCTCCCCAGGCAGGCAGGGGCCGCAGCCACTGCAAGCCCCTGCCCACAGAACTCGGCGATGACGGAACCTAGACTGCTCCCTGGAAGTTAGCCTCTGAGACCATCACATATTGGCACTGGTTTGAAAGCCAGGCAAATGTGGGCTCCAATCCTGGCTTCACACGGTGGGGCTTTGCAAGTTGTTTTATAGGTCTGTGGCCCAGACTAGACATTTGTAAAAGGATAATGATGCCTATGGCAAGGATTGAGTACTGTGATGCTTACAAAGTACCTCCCTAACAGTCCCTGGCATGCAGTGAGAGCTCAAATAATGGTAGCCACTTACTATTATTATGACTGGTGTTATTGTTATTATTAAAATTACTGTCATCGCCCAGGCACGGTGGCTCACACCTGTAATCCCAGCACTTTGGGAGGCTGAGGCGGGCAGATCACTTGAGGTCAGACGTTTGAGACCAGCCTGGGCAACATGGTGAAACCCGGTCTCTACTAAAAATACAAAAATTAGCCGGGGGTGGTGGCACGCGACTGTAGTCCCAACTACTTGGGAGGCGGAGGTGAGAGAATCGCTTGAAGCCGGGAGGTGTGGAGGTTGCGTCACTGCACTCCAGCCTGGGCGACAGAGGGAGACTCCATCTCAATAAATAAATAAACAATAAAATAAAATAAAATTGCTATCATCACTGGCATCGTCATCATCTCACTACAGCAGAGATCCGCAGTTCCCCGAAACAAATACCACGAGTCTCAAGGTAAGACCTGCACGTAAGGATGTCGAAAGATAAATATGTCTTAAGAACATGTCCATGAGAAGGGGCTTTGCCAGCCATGCAAGCATAAAAGAAGAAAAGTCCCTCATTCATCCAAAAACACCCGCTGAGTTTCTCCCGCGTGCCGGGCACCACGCTCAGTACGGGGGACAGAGGGAGGAGGCTCTAGGCTCTGACTTGCCCTTGCAGAGCTTGGAATCCAGGAGTGTCAGACGGTGGTAGAGATAAAAAGCTGTGTGTCTGAGAGGTGAGGGCGTGGGCTTTGGGGCCCTAAACTTGCTTGGGACGCCCGGGAGGGCCCCCGTGGAAGCGGCGTTTCAGTGGAGCCCTGAAGATGGGTTTCTATTTGTCAGGTGAAGATAATGGCAGCTCCAGGCAGAAAGGGACGACCAGCGGAAAGGACCCTGGTGAGAGCAGCCACCACGACGGAACAGGCAGAAGCACCAGCTGGCAAAGGCACTGTCAGGGGCAGCGGGAGATGGGATTGGAAGGGCAACAGGGTTGGCGCCCGTGGTGGCAAAAGGAAGGGGGGCCTTCGCCAACAAACCCCAACAGGGTTTTTTTTTTTTTTTTTTTTTTTTGAGACAGAGTCTTGCTCTGTCACCCAGGCTGGATGCAGTGGTACAATCTTGGCTCACTGCAGCCTCTGCCTCCTAGGTTCAAGCTATTCTCCTGCCTCAGCCTCCTGTAGCTGGGATTACAGGCACGCACCACCACAACTGGCTAATTTTTGTATATTTAGTAGAGACAGGGTTTCACCATGTTGGCCAGTCTGGTCTCAAACTCCTGACCTCAGGTGATCCACCTGCCTCGGCCTCCCAAAGTGCTGGAATTATAGGCGTGAGCCACCACAACCTGGGGAGGTCAATGCTGCAGTGAGCTGTGACGCAGCACTGTAGTCCAGCCTGGGTGACACAGTGAGATCTTGTCTCAAAAAAAAAAGTATTCAGCAAAATATATATTTGAAATAAATTTCATACCTACGAGTAAGTTTTCTAATATCCAATTATTATTTTACTGTTAACATGCTCAGAACTGTATAGCTCAGGGGTATGATTCTTCCCACTGACATTTTCAAAAGATGGTTTATGATTCCTTGATACAGTTACAGAAATGTTGGTTCTGCAGGGAAGATTATTTTACTACATTTTATAGATTTATTTATTTAATAGTGACCCAAAGATATACTATCCAGCAGCCAGTGAATGTAATGGTTAAGTTTGTTGTTAATGGAGATCTATAACTGGGGTAATTAATTGGGCAAGAAAACCAACATATGATCTCTTCTAGTTATCTGGGATAAGGTACTTCATGTAGTAAAGTTAGAAATGGGTTGTCTTAATTGTTTTATACATCCAACTCATATTAAAATTTGTGCCTGGGTGCAGTGGCTCATGCCTGTAATTCCAGCACTTTGGGAGGCCTAGGCGGGCAGATGACTTGAGCCCAGGAGTTTGAGACCAGCCTGGGCAACATGGTGAGACCCCATCTCTACAAAAATACAAAAATTAGCCAGGTGCAGTGGCGCCCGCCTGTAGTCCCAGCTACTCAGGAGGCTGAGGCTGGAAAATCACGAGCCCAGGAAGCAGAGGTTGCGATGAGTCAAGATCATGTCACTGTGCCCAGGCTGGGTGACAGTGAGACCTTGTCTCAAAAAAAAAAAAAAAAAAAAAAAACTTGCAACACAAGTCCACATTTTGCACAAAGAAGAAACAATGACAATGAAGTTCTAGTATATGAAAGGAAAAGGGCTATTCCTTCCACTCAGCCCACTAAGCATGCTTGCATTCTTTCTTCAGCAAACATTTTTGAGTGCCTACTGGTATTAGCACTGAGCTGGGAACTGGGATACAAAGAGTCCTAATATATATATATATATATATATATTTTAAGAGACTTGCGGTATTGCCCAGGCTGGGATGCACTGGCATGACATGATCATACCTCACTGCAGTCTCTTGGGCTCAAGCGATCCTCCCACTTCAGTCTCCCAGGTAGCTAGGACACGGGTGCATACCACCATGCCTGGCTAATTTTTTTTTTTTTTTCAGATGGAGTCTCACTCTGTCACTCAGGCTGGAGTGCAGTGGCGTGACCTTGGCTCACTGCAACCTCCACCTCCTGGGTTCAAGAAATTCTCCTGCCTCAGCCTCCTGAGTAGCTGGGATTACAGGTGTGTGCCACCACGCCCAGCTAATTTTTGTATTTTTTGTAGAGACAGGATCTCACCATGTTGCCCAGGCTGGTCTTGAACTCCTGGGCTCAAGTCATCCACCAGCCTCAGCCTCCCAAAGTGCTGGGATTATAGGCATGAGGCACCCCACCCAGCTCTTAAAACTAATTTTAAAACTGCTTTTTGAAAACAAGTGCTTTCCATATTTACTAAAGCAACAACCTGGAAATTCTCAGGCAAGAACTGGCTCCTGCTTGTTTAATGACCTCTTTTCATATTAGGACTAAATTGGTGGTTTTATGCCATGTTAAAGATTAGGCTACTTAGGGAGAAACGAGCTAATCTTATGTATTATACTTGGGGCTGGTGGACTTTGTTCTTTCAAAGTATCAATTCTGTATCATACTCTTGATTCTGCTGTAGCTCTGAAATGCTCCATTGTAAGTTTCTTATTCTTTTTCTTTGTTTGTTTTTTCTTTTTAAAGGCATGGCCTCACTGTGTTGCCCAGGCTAGAGTGCAGTGTCAGATCATAGCTCACTGCAGCCATGACTTCCGGGGCTCAAGCAATCCTCTCCTCTCAGCCTACTGAGTAGCTGGGACTATGGGAACATGCCACCATTTCCAGCTAATTATTATTATTATTATTTTTTGGTAGAGACAGGTCTCACTATGTTGCCCAGGCTGGTCTGAAACTCGTGGGTTTAAGCAATCCTCCCTCCTTGGCCTCCCAAAGTGTTGGGATTGTAGGCGTGAACCACTATGCCCAGCTGTAAATTTTTGTATTAATGTTTTTCCATATTATTGACCTATAAAGCCATTGAAGCATAGTGCCTTGAAAGGAAAGCAAAAAAGTAAAAATAATAATAATTTAAAAAACCCTCCTCTGAATTGCTCATGTAGCCTACTATTGGGTCAACTAGAAGAGTGAGAAATAGCCAGCAGTTAGAACATTCCACATATTCTGAGTGTCAAATTTTATTACTTTGGTGAGACATGACTTCCCGCTTTCAGCACTATGGGTTTTTTGTTTGTTTGTTTTCAAGATGAAGTCTTGCTCTGTCACCCAGGCTGGAGTGCAGTGGCGCGATGTTGGCTCACTGCAACCTCTGCCTCCCAGGTTCAAGTGATTCTCCTGCCTCAGCCTCCTGAGTAACAGGGATTACAGGCGCATACCACCACACCCAGCTAATTTTTGTATTTTAGTCGAGACCGGGTTTCACCATGTTGGCCAGGCTGGTCTCGAACTCCTAACCTCAAGTGATCTGCCTGCTTCGGCCTCCCAAAGTGCTGGGATTATAGGTGTTAGCCACTGTGCCCGGCCAGCACTATGTATTTTAGAAGACAATATTAAAAAACATGCACAAATTACAACTCCAAAAAATTGTGTACATATAATCGTATTCATTTGTTAGGATTGCTGAAATGAACATTGGGATAATCACTGTGTCTTTGACAAGGTTCTTTAAATTAAGTCCAGTTGCTAACTGTAATGAACATGAGTACTTGTGGCATTCTAAATTATTAAAAATATTTGGCCCAAAAGATTATGGCTCATGCCTGTAATCCCAGCACTTTGGGAGGCTGAGGCAGGAGTGTCGCTTGAGCCCAGGGGTTTGAGACCAGCCTGGGAAACATTTTTTGTAGAAACAAGGTCTCACAGTTGCCCAGGCAGGTCTTGAACTATTAGATACTTGATGGGATTTGTCAGAGGCGATCCCTTCCAGTTGAGAGTGTCTTAACTCATTTCTACTAAAAGCATATGACCATCTTCTTAGAAACTGAGGTTTTTCCTTCTGATAAATTTGTATTAGAGACACCATTTTATTTATTTTTATTTTATTTTATTTTTGAGACAGAGTCTCGCTGTTTCACCCAGGCTGGAGTGCAGTGGTGTGATCTCAGCTCGCTGCAGCCTCTGCCTCCTGGGTTCAAGTGATTCTCCTGCCTCAGCCTCCCAAGTAGCTGGGACTACATGCATGAGCCTTAATGCCCAGCTAATTTTTTTTTTTTTGTACTTTTAGTAGAGACAGAGTTTCACCATGTTGGCCAGGCTGGTCTCAAACTCCCGACCTCAAGTAATATGCCTGCCTTGGCCTCCCAAAGTGCTGGGATTACAGGCATGAGCCACCGCGCACTGCCACCATTTTATCTTGAAGAGATTTTTAGTTCATATCTAAGTAAAAAATCCTCAGCTCCAAACTCACTAGCTGTGTAACTTTGGCCAATTTAATTAACCTGTCTAAGCCTCAGTGTCTTCTTCAGGGGTGTTGTGAAATTAGTAGCAATGAGGGAAATGTTCCAACAGGGTGCTATGGATTAAATTTTGTCTTCCCCAAATTCATATGTTGAAGCCTTAAACCCTAAAGAGATGCTGTTTTGAGATGAGGCCTTTGGAGGTGATTAGGTTTAGTTGAGGTGATGAGGGTGGGCCTGCATGATGGGATTAGTGTCCTCATAAGAAGAGACATGAGGCTGAGCACAGTGGCTCATGCCTGTAATCCCAGTGCTTTGGAAGGCTGAGGCGGGTGGGTCACAAGGTCAGGAGATGGAGACCATCCTGGCCAACATGGTGAAACCCTGTATCTACTAAAAGTACAAAAATTATCTGGGCGTGGTGGGGTGTGCCTGTAGTCCCAGCTACTCAGCAGGCTGAGGCAGGAGAATATCTTGAACCCGGGAGGTGGAGGTTGCAGTGAGCTGAGATCGCACCACTGCACTCCAGCCTGAGGGACAGAGCGAGACTCTGTCTCAAAAAAAAAAAAAAGAAGAGACATGAGAGAGCTCCCTTTCTCTCTCTTTCTCCCCCCATTCCCCTTCCTTCTCCCTCTCCCTCCTTCTCCCTCCCTCTCCCTTATCCTCTTCCCTCCTTTTCTCTCTCCCATACAAGAAGCTAGTTTCCTGTCTACAAGCCAGGTAGACAGTCTTCACTAGAATCCAACCATGCTGGCACCCTGATCTCAGACTTCCCAGCCTTCATAACTGTGAGAAATAAATGTCTGTTGTTTAAGCCACCTAGGCCGGGTCTTGGGGCTCACAATATAATCCTGGCGGTTTGGAAGGCCAAGGTGGGAGGAGGCTGAAGCCCAGAGTTCAAGACCCGCCTGGGCAACGGTGAGACCTTGTTTCTACAAAAAAAAGTTTAAAAAAATTAGCTGGGCTTGGTGGTGTGTTCTTGTAGTCCTAGCTGTTTGGGAGGCTGAGATGGAAGGCTCACTTGAGTCTGGGAGATTGAGGCTACAGTGAGCTATGATTGGTCTACTGCACTCTAGCCTGGGTGACAGAGCAAGGCCCTCTTAATAAATAAATATATAAATAGCTACCCAACCTGTACTATGATATTTTGTTATGGCAGCCCAAGCTAAGACATAGAGCCAGGCAAATAGTAAGCCTTCGATGCATCTCACACCATTATTCTTAAAAGGGACATGTCAGGCTGAGCCCAGAAAGGAGAAATTCCCTCTCTATTCTTGAAGTAGCAACAGTTTATAGGGACTCAAGTTTTCTTTTCACGAATTCGAAAGAAACTATACGGACACATTCACCTTACTGAGGTTTCTCTGGCCTTGTCCATTCTGAGCTCCTGTTTTTTCTGCAGAGGTGCTCATTGATACTGACTTGGTGATCTTGAAAGGATTCTCTGTATTTCTCTTTTTTTAAATAGAGATAGGGTCAGTCTTGCCATGTTTACCAGGCTGGTCTGAAACTCTTGGCCTCAAGTGATCCACCTGCCTCAGCCTCCCAAAGTGTTGGGATTACAGGTATGGACCACTGCGCTGGGCCAGGGTTGTCTGTTTTTATATGAATGACCATAAAGTTATTTCACTGATGCCATCAGGAAGCAACCTTATTAATTTTATGTATTTTTGAGCTGATGTTGATAGCAGAAGAGTGGAAAGGAGTCAGACTTTGCTTTAGTCTCGTGATGTAGAAGATCCTAAAGATAGGATTCAAGGTGAGAGTATGATCATTTATATGGCCCTCTTCACCTCACAGAGCTGAATTTACCAATAATTTGGCAGGTATAAGCTAGGAAAATGAAGTAAAAGGGTCCAGACAGTAATATTTTAGAATTCTGTTACCTGCGGGTGGATACTTTCTTCTTTTGAGAATAGAAGATTAGGCTGGGTGCAGTGGCTCATGCCTGTAATCCCAGCACCTTAGAAGGCTGAGGCAGGCAGATCACTTGAGTCTAGGAGTTTGAGACCAGCCTGGGCATCATAGCAAGACCCCGTCTCTACTAAAAATACAAAAAAAAAAAAGTAGCTGGCTGTGGTGGTGTGTGCCTGTAATACCAACTACTCAGGAGGCTGAGGTAAGAGAATCACTTGAACCCAGGAGGTGGAGGTTGCAGTGAGCCAAGATTGTGCCACTGCACTCCAGCCTGAGTGACAGAGCAAGACTCTGTCAGAAAAAAGAAAGAAAAGAGAGAGAGAGAAAGGAAGAGGGGAAGGGAAGGAAGGGAAGGAAGGAAGAGAGAGAGGAAGGAAGGAAGAGAGAGAGAGGAAGGAAGGAAGGAAAAGGAAGGAAGGAAGGGAACAGAAGATTAGTTGAGCATAGTGGCTCAGTGCCTGTAATCCCAGCACTTTGGGAGGCCGAGGTAGGCAGATCATTTGAGCCTAGGAGTTCAAGACCAGCCTGGGAAACATGGCAAAATCCCATCTCTACAAAAAATAGAAAAATTAGCTGGGCATTGTGGCATGCATCTGTAGTCCCAGCTACTTGTGGGGCTGATGCAGGAGGGTCACTTGAGCCCAGGAGGCAGAGGTTGCAGTGAAGTATGATTATGCCACTGCACTCCAGCCTAGGTGGCAGAGTGAGACTCTGTCTCAAAAAAAAAAAAAAAAAAAAGAAGATTGTGAGCAAAAATTGAATGCAATTTTTTTCATAAGCAGAGGTGTAATGGTTATTATTACAAAAGATGATATTAAATTTATTTATGTATTATCTCTTTGCCTCCACCAGAATGTAAGCTTTGTTGAAGGCAAGGATCATTGTTGATTTATTTACTCTGTATCCCAGGCATCTAAAACAGTAAGTGTGCAATAAATATTTGTTGAATGAATCAAAGCATAAGCAAGGCTTCAGATTCATTTTTCTATCAGAGATTCATTTAAAAATGTTAAGGAAATGAGAGGTGAAGACATCCTAAAGGCATAATACTCAAAGTAGTCAGTAGGTTCATTGATAACCCAGAGGAAAATATATAATATTATAGAGGAAAAGAAATTCTCTGAAATCATGGCATCTCTCCTAGCTTGGGATAACATTTTAGCAGAAAGACCGAAGAACTCTTCCAAGAAACATCAAGCAATTAAATGAAGTAGTAGAAAAATCACCAGTACTTTAAAGTAGATGAAGCCATTAAAATAGTTGCAGCTTCAGTAATCACCATGTAAGCCTGTAAGTGGTGGGTCTTAGACCACAACATGGTAGTTATCAAATTGCTTTATTCATCGAAATGTTCATTCTCCTGGCTGCCCTTGAACTTCCAGCCTAAGGCTTTCTCTCTGCAGGGTTGTCAGCATGCTCATGCAAGGCTTTGCCTCTGCAGATTATCAGAGGTGTACTCCATGCCCCTCTCACCATGAAAAAAGGGAGAAAAAGACAATTTCGTCTCAGAGATAGAAAATCTCCCAGAGAGAACCCCTGGCAGCTGGAATCCATTTTTTTCCCCCTGAAGCTGGAATCTGTTATAACTACAGAACACTGAAGGATAATGAGGTTCTGCTGCTAAGCAAATGCTGGGACAAAAAGCACAGAGGTGCTGCAGCCAGGCAGAGACTGGGCTTTTCATGAAACCCTGTGTCTCTGAGCACATATTGCAATAATTCTCTGACTAGCTGCTCAAGGCCTTGGCTTCGTGGCTTTTTACTCCGTTTAAAGGTCTTGATCAGGCCACTTCCGTTTTTAATGTTTGAGAAATGTCTGATTTATGCTGCTTCAAAGTGGAACTTGGGTTTCTATTACCTTTTTGGCACCTTGCACCCATTGTTGGCCTAATTCTGCTGTCTCGTCTATCTTGTGGTTCCTATCAGTAAACAAAGTCCAGGAGAGGCGTCATGCTTGTGAACACCTCCAACATCAAGTTCAAAAGTACAATCATGACCTTGTCCTGTCGTTCTCAGAATCTGGGCTCAGCTATTTCAAACCTCCCATGTCTTCACTGGTAGTGGTCAATTAGAAATCACTGAATCCTTTCCCTAGAGTGGTCAGAGACAGCCAGTTTATGGTAATTTGGGCACAAGTGCCAATTGGAAAGGTGCATTATTCAAACCACTTTGGCTACAAGTGACAGAAATTCAATGCAGGTTAGCTTAAATAAAAAAGGAATTCGGGCTGGGAACAGTGGCTCATGCCTATAATCCCAGCATTTTGGGAGGCCGAGGCGGGTGGATCACCTAAGGTCAGAAGTTCTAAACCAGCCCGGGCAACACGGTGAAACCCTGCCTGTACTATAAATACAAAAAATTAGCCAGGCATGGTAGTGCACGCCTGTAGTCCCAGCTACTCTGGAGGCTGAGGCAGAAGAATCACTTGAACCCGGGAGGTGGAAGTTGCAGTGAGCCAAGATCACGCCACTGTACTCCAGCCTGGGCGACAGTGAGACTCTGTCTCAAAAAAAAAGAAAAAAAGAAAAAAAAGGGAATTTATTGGCTTCTGTAGCTGAAAAGTCAGGCAGATTTGGATCTCAAATTATGTCATTAACTAGTTTCTCTGACTTACCCTCTGCGTTGTGTATAAGCTTTTCATCGCATGGCAGCAAGATACCTCCATGTTCACATAGGGCTAACAGCCCAAGATGGTGAGGAAACATGCACTTTTGTTCCAGTAGCACAGAAAAAGTCCCCAGGTGGACGCTAATGGGCACTGTATGAGTCAAGTGCTCATGGCTGAGGCAGTAGTTGTACCTTGACACATGAAGTCCTCTGACCAGATCTGGGCATGTACCTGACCTTGGGGATGGAAGTGAGGCAGTCCAGCTCCACCAACTCGTAAGGACTGAGACAGTTTACTAGGGAAGAGGGGAAAGCGTGTTTCTTACAGGAAGAAATGCGGGCAGACAAAACACCATATACCCCTTAAATTAGGTTTTCCACAGATAATTGAGGTGGAGCAGAAGGGTAACCACATTTTGACAGCATCATCAGTATGTGGTGAGTGGCCCAGCATTTGACCCTGGCCTCTGTGGTCATCTCAGAGCCCAGAAAGTAGCAGCAGAAGAGCAGAGCATGGGTAGGTAACCATCAGTTCTTGGATAACTGAAGGGTGATCTTGAGGAGCAGTGAGTCTGTGGGATGGCCATGCCTAACAAATGTCATCCAGTTCAGAGCACCAAGGACATTCCCAGCTATGGCTTTTATCTTTTATCTTCTTCTTCTTCTGGTTTTGCTCTGTCACCCAGGCTGGAGTGTAGTGGCATGATCTCGGCTCACTGCAACCTCTGCCTCCCAGGTTCAAGCAATCCTCCCACCTCAGCCCCCTGCGTAGCTGGGACTGCAGCTGAGCGCCACTACACCCAGCTAATTTTTGTATGTTTTGTAGAGATGGGGTTTCACCATGTTGATCATGCTGGTCTTGAAGTCCTAGGCTCAAGCAATCTGCCTGCCTTGGGCTCCCACAATGTTGGGATTACAGGCATAAGCCACCATGCCTGGCTCCAGCTGTGGCTTTTAGAGGAGGAGGTAGTGGTGGCCGGAGGTTTTGCACATGATTCTAGGCAGAACCCTCCTAGTTAATGCCTACTTGTCCTTTAGAACTCAGCTCAAATATTTCCTCTGGGGAGCATTCTCTGGCCTCCACTTGCCCAGCATGAGCCAGACCCTCTAACAATGAGCTCTCATTTAATACCTTGTTTTTCTATCATAGCACTTTCTACAGTCATCTTATATAATCATGTGTAAATCAAACTTATGACTATTTAAATAAGACCTATCTCGCACACTAGGAGGTAGGTAGGCTCCATGAAGATAGAGACTTTAGCAGTTTCACCTACCATTGAATACCCAGTATTTAGTCCAGTGCCTAGCACATTAATAATCACATGGGACCTATTTTTTTTAGATGAATAAGTTATATACAGAGGTTCTGGTAATAGCCATTGGTTCTAGTATGAAAATGTAACAAACTGCCTCCTCTTCTTCTATCATATAGTTTGACTTTTTCACATCTTTCCTCAATTGGTAGAATTAATAAGGTGCTATTTTAGATAACCCATGTCACCAAAAAGAAGCTGCAGACTGGACAATCAGCCTCTAAGTAATCAAGGGCCCCCTTTTACTGTGCATGATTTAAATGAAAAATACAATCTATCTGGAATGTAACTGAGAACCATAGGAATCTTTGGGCTTCGTGAAAGTTCTTAGCAGAAAATCAGGCCATGTCACTTCTGAATAATATTATTAACCCTGGTTTCCTCTTGTAACCTCTAAGTGTGTTGAATGGAAGTAAGTTTAGTACTAGAAAGGAATGCACAGATCCTACCACTTTGTTTAAAACCTGTTGGATGGGCCAGATGCAGTGACTCACCCCTGTCATCCCAGCACTTTGAGACGCGAAGGCGGGGGAATTGCTTGAGGCCACAAGTTTGAGACCAGCCTGGGCAACATAGCGAGACCCTGTCTCTACAAAAAATAAAAAAATTAGCTGGGTGTGGTGGCACGTGCCTGTAGTCCTAGCTATTTGGGAGGCTAAGGTGGGAGGATCACTGGAGCCCAGGAGTTCAAGGCTGCAGTGAGCCATGATTGTGCCACTGCACTCCAGCCTGGGCAACAGAGAAAGACTCAGACTCTAAAAAAAAAATAAAAACCTGTTGGATGGTAATTTCAAGATAAATTATTACAAGTACACACATGTACGTGCCTATCCTTTGTGCCTTTGTCCCCATCCTTGGTCCTCTGTTGTAGCTGTTGCATTTTTCACCAGGCATTGTGATCACAGGTTGACATGTCAGCTTCCTCTGGTATGAGCAACTGGAAGGTAGGGGTGACTCAGCTATCCATAATTTGAAAGAATCAAAACTGTTTGATAAAATATCTTACTTTTTTTTTTCTTTTTGAGACTGAGTCTTACTCTGTCACCCAGGCTAGAGTGCAGTGGCACAATCTTGGCTCACTGCAATCTCCACCTCCTGGGTTCAAGCAATTCTTCTGCCTCAGCCTCTGGAGTAGCTGGGATTACAGGTGGCTGCCACCACACCCGGCTAATTTTTATATTTTTAGTAGAGACGGGGTTTTACCATGTTGGCCAGGCTGGTCTCGAACTCCTGACCTCAAGTGATCCATCCGCCTTGGCCTCCCAAAGTGTTGGGATTACAGGCATGAGCCACTGTGCCTGGCCAAAATCTCTTACTTTTTAAATGGTTTCATAGATAAAACTTTTCCGAATCCTTTGTTAAACAAATTTGAATTAATAAGAAGCCATTGGAGAAACTATGTTCTCTATCTTCTTTCCCCCCTAGTGCAGTTTTAGATCTTCATGATGCTATGTTTAGTTTGATTTGCCTGGTCCCACTGGGCATTGCAATAATTCATATTCTGGCGTGGAGCCCATTTTCAGTCAGAAACAAGACAGACTACATGGGGACTCTTCAAGGCCAACACCGGCTGTTATGGGATTCAAACAAAACTTCAAGTGTTTGTTCTTATAGAGTTTACATCGTACCAGAAGGCAAAACTGTTCATTTTAACCTCTAATTTGTTTAGAAAACAAAGCAAATAAAACAAAAAAGAAATCCTACAAGTTTTAGAGCTTTTTGACTCTAAATTAGAAAGTTAAATATCAGGTGTAAGGCCTGTCCGTTGGCTATTTCCAAGCAGTCTTGTAGCTTGGACACAGCTGTAACTCTTCATCAATGAATTTCCATATGTGGATTGGTTTGGGTTTCCCAGAGCCCACTGGGAAAACCAACCACATGGGCTGTGCATGCCACTTCCTTTTATTTTATTTATTTTTTTATTATTTATTTATTTTGAGACAGAGTTTCACTCTTGTGGCCCAGGCTGGAGTACAATGGCGAGATCTTGTCTCACTTCAACCTCCGCCTCCCAGGTTCAAGCAATTCTCCTGTCTCAGCCTCCCGAGTAGCTGGGATTACAGGTGCCGGCCACTACGCCTGGCTAATTTTTGTATTCTTAGTAGAGACGGGGTTTCACCATGTTGGCCAGGCTGGTTTTGAACTCCTGACCTCAGGTGATCCACCCACCTTGGCCTCTCAAAGTGCTGGGATTACAGGCATGAGCCACTGCACCCACCCTATTTTTTATTTTTTTGAGAAAGAGTCTTGCTCTGTCACCCAGGCTAGAGTGCAGTGGCACAATCTTGGCTCACCGCAACCTCTGCCTCCCAGGTTGAAGCAGTTTTCATGCCTCAGCCTCCCGAGTAGCTGGGACCACAGGGGTGTGCCACCACAACTGGCTAATTTTTTAAAATTATTCTTCTATTTTTAAAATTTTTATTTTATTAATTTATTTTTCAGAGACAAGGTCTCGTGCTGTTGCCCAGGCTGGAGTGCAGTGGTGCGATCACAGCTCACTGCAGCCTCAATTTCCCGGGTTCAAGAGATCCTCCCACCTCAGCATCACAAAGTGCTGGCATTATAGGCATGAGCCACCATGCCCAGCCCCTTTTATTTTTTAAACCTCATGTTGCTTCTCTGACCAATTTTATTAGTGAGACAACAGTTTTTTGTTTTTCATTAATGCTGCATCATCATCATCTGTAGATTCACCTGTGATTTTATAGCGGAGAAGGTCACCACACAACGTGATTTCAAAATAAATTATAAACTATTGTAATCAAGACAGCATCGTGCTGACATAAAAACAGACCAGTGGGCTGGGTGCTGTGGTTCACACCTATAATCCCAACACTTTGGGAGGCCGAGGTGGGTGGATCACCTGAGGTCAGGAGTTTGAGACCAGCCTGGCCAACGTGGTGAAACCCCATCTCTAATAAACATACAAAAAATTAGCCAGGTGTGGTGGTGCATGCCTGTAATCCCAGCTACTGGGGAGGCCGAGGCAGGAGAATTGCTTGAACCTGGGAGATGGAGGTTGCAGTGAGCAGAGATCATGCCATTGCACTCCAGCCTGGGCAACAAGAGCAAAAACGCCATCTCAAAAAAACAAAAACAAAAACAAAAATGAAAAACAAACAACAACAACAACAACAACAACAAAACCCCAGACCAATGGAATAGGATAGAAAGCCCAGAAAAAAACACAGGCATTTACAGTCAATTGATTTTCAACAAAGGTGTCATGAACACACAACAGGGAAAGGACAGTCTCTTCAATAAATGGTGACGGGAAAACTGGATATCCACATCCAGAATGAAATTGGACCCTTTGGCCAGGCACAGTGGCTCATGCCTGTAATCCTAACACTTTGGGAGGCTGAGGCGGGCAGATCATGAGGTCAAGAGATCGAGAGCATCCTGGCCAACATGGTGAAACCTCGTCTCTACTAACAATACAAAAATTAGCCGGGCGTGGTGGTGCATGTTTGTAGTCCCAGCTACTCGGGAGGCTGAGGCAGGAGAATCACTTGAACCCAGGAGGCAGAGGTTGCAGTGAGCCAAGATCACGCTACTGCACTCCAGCCTGGTGACAGAGGGAGACTCTGTCTCAAAAACAAACAAACAAACAAAAAAACCCCAGAAATTAAACCCTTAGCTCTCACCGTATATAAAAATCAACTCAAAATGAAGTAACAACTTAAACATAAAGCCTGAAACTGTAAAACTGCCAGAAAAAAACAAAAGAGAAAGCTGCAGAACATTGGTCTGGTCAATTATTTCTTGGGTAGGACTCCAAAAGCATAAGCAGCTAAAGCAAAAATAGACAAAAGAGATTAGGTCAAACTAAAGAGCTTCTGCACAGCAAAGGAAATAATTAACAAAGTGAAGAGACAATCCACAGAGTAGGGTAAAATATTTGCAAACTATATATCTGACAAGGGGCTAATATCCACAATATATAAGGAACTCAAAAGAACTCAATAGTGAGAAAACATGACTAAAAAATGAGCAAAGGATGTGAACAGATTTTCTATTTCTCAACAGAAGACATATGAATGGCCAACAGATATATGAAAAAAATGTTCCACATCGCTAATTATCAAGGAAATACAAATTAAAACCACAATGGAGGCCAGGTGTGGTGGCTCATGCCTATAATCCCAGCACTTTGGTAGGCTGAGGGCAGGCGGATCAACTGAGGTCAGGAGTTCTAGACCAGCCTGGCCAATGTGGTGAAACCCCCGTGTCTACTAAAAATATAAAAATTAGCCAGGCGTGGTGGCGGGCACCTGTAATCCCAGCTATTCAGGAGGCTGAGGCAGGAGAATTGCTTGAACCCGGGAGGTGGAGGTTGCATGAGCCGAGATCATGCCATTGTACTCCAGCCTGGGTGACAGAGAAAGACTCCATCTCAAAAATAAATAAATAAATAAATAAATAAATAAATAAATAAATAAATAAGTCCACAATGAGGTATCACGTCACACCTATTAGAACGGCTATTTTGGCTGGGCGCAGTGGCTCACGCCTGTAATCCCAACACTTTGGGAGGCCAAGGCAGGCGGATCATGAGGTCAGGAGATTGAGACCATCCTGGCCAACATAGTGAAACCCTGTCTCTACTAAAATACAAAAAATTAGCTGGGTGTAGTGGCAGATGCTGTAATCCCAGCTACTCAGGAGGCTGAGGCAGAGGAATCGCTTGAACTAAGGAGGCAGAGATTGCAGTGAGCCAAGCTCATGCCACTGCACTCCAGCCTAGGTGGCAGAGCAAGACTCCGTCTTAAAAAGAAATGGCTATTATCAAAAAAGTAAGAGGTCAGCATGGTGCCTACGCCTGTAATTTCAGCACTGGAAGGCTGAGGTGGGCAAATCTGCTTGAGGCCAGGAGGTCAAGACCAGCCTGGGCAAAATTACTAAACCCAGTCTCTACAAAAAGAAATAATAATACAAAAAATTGGCCAGGCATGGTGGTCCATGCCTGTAGTCCCAGCTACTCAAGAGGGTGAGTGGGAGGATCACCCAAACCCAGGAGTTCGAGGCTGCAGTGAGTTGTGATCAAGCCACTGTGCTCTAGCCTGGGCCACAGAGTGAGACTTCTACCATGGTCAGTTTCAAGATATCAATGTGATATCACTGAACACAAATTTGGAAATTGATGAGTAGTCACATACCATTATAAAGTATTTCCACCACGCTGTCTCAAAAGAAAAAAAAAATGACAGGCCAGGCGCGGTGGCCCATGTCTATAATCCCAGCACTTTGGGAGGCCAAGGTGGGTAGATCACTTGAGGTCAGGAGTTCAAGACCAGCCTGGCTCACACCTGTAATCCCAGCATTTTGGGAGGCCAAGGTGGGAGGATCACTTGAACTCAGGAGTTCAAGATCTCAGCCTGGGCAACATGGTGAAACTCCATCTGTACAAAAAATACAAAAATTGGCCAGGCACGGTTGGTCATGCCTGCAATCCTAGCACTTTGGGAGGCCAAGGTAGGTGGATTGCCTGAGCTCGGGAGTTCAAAACCAGCCTGGGCAACAGCGCGAAACTTCATCTCTGGTAAAAACACAAAAAATTAGCCAGGCGTGGTGGTGGGCACCTGTAATCCCAGTTACTCAGGAGGCTGAGGCAGAAGAATCGCTTGAACCTGGGAGGCAGAGGTTGCGGTGAGCCAAGATCGTGCCATTGCACTCTAGCCTGGGCAACAAGAGTGAAACTCCAACTCAAAAAAAAAAAAAAAAAAATTAGCCGGGCATGGTAGTGCACATCTGTAGTCCCAGCTACTCTGGAGGCTGAGGCAGGAGGATTACTTGAACCCAGGAGACCGAGGTTGCAGTGATTGGAGATCACGCCACTGCACCCTAGCCTGGGCAAGTGAGACTCCGTCTCAAAAAAAAAGAAAAAAAAGAAAAAGATCAGATTTGGGAAATTCAAGACCAGAATTAGAGAATAACCCAGATTTATATGGCACACTCTTAGGGTCAAGAAAAGGGAATTCAATTTCAGTGATTTTAAAGAGGTTTTTTGGAAGTATATAGTAGGCAAACTCATAGGCATCCAGGAACAGGAAATCATGGTTAAGCTATACAAAGACTGGAGTGGGAAAGCAGGGACTGAGGTGACTTTTGCTGTTTCTGACACCTCTGCTTCATTTCTCTGTCTCTCTTTTTCTTCTTCTCCCATTTTTTTTTCTTTTTTTTTTTTTTTGATAGAGTCTCACTCTATTGCCCAGGCTGGATGAAGTGGCATAATCTAGGCTCAATGCAACCTCTGCCTCCTGGGTTCAAGCCATTCTCCCACCTTAGCCTCCCAAGTAGCTGGGATACATGTGTGCAATTGACCACATCCAGCTAATTCTTTTGTATCTTTAGTAGAGATGGGGCTTCACCATGCTGGCCAGGCTGGTCTCGAACTCCTGGCCTCGAATGATCCACCCACCTCACCCTCCCAAAGTGTTGGGATTACAGGCATGAGCCACTGCACCTGGCCCCTTCCCCCACCCCACCAACACACGAGTTCAGTCGCCCACCTTCATCTAACTGATTCAGATTCTCTGTGCCTGTTCAGATTTTCTTAGCCAAGAGTGATCATCAGCTCAGATGGACATGTGTAGACATTGGTGTGCTGGAAATGCTTAAAACTGACTCTTCGAAAAAAAAATATTATGCATTCTATACATATGTAACTTACTATAAATTTTACGAATCAACAGAGTCACAAAATCCAGACTGAATAAATGCTTGATTACTATTCAAGTTACTCCTGTCATTGACCAAGGAGTGTAGTTCCAACCTAAATGTTGTTTTATATTTTTGTTTATCTTAATGAGTAAGACAAAAGTGAAACAATGAAGACCCACTTCAGAACTTCACTTGGTCACTAGTGATGTGAGCAACTTCTTTGCTGAATTAAATGATAGGTTTTGAATACTGGGAAGAATATTTCCTTAATTAGTTGTGCATTTGCAGTGTAATGGCTAAAGAAATGACAGTTTTGGGTTCAGTCTTTACAAGCATCTTTTTTACTACTTTCTTAAGTCTAGACCCGGGGTAGGCAAACTATAGCCTGTGGGCCAAATCCAACCCATGGCCTGTTTTTTTGTACAGCCTGAGATCTAACCACCAAAGAAGCAGAGACTGTACATGGCTCACAAAGCCTAAAATATTATCTGGCTCTTTATAGAAAAGGTTTGCTGACCCCCTTGTTCAGTCAATTAATAAACCAACACAATAATTTATACTGATTTCCATTGTATAAATACTTCTACCATGGCCAGTTTCAAGATATCAATGTGATATCACTGAACACAAATTTGGAAATTGATGAACAGTCACATACCATTATAAAATATTTCCACCAGGCTGGGCATGGTGGCTCATGCTTGTAATCAAGGAGTTCAAGACCAGCCTGGGCAGCGTAGTGAGAACTCTACAAATAAATACATAAATAAAAATTAGCGGGGTGTGGTGGCATGCATCTGTAGGCCCAGCTACTTGGGAGGCTGAGGCAGGAGGATTGCTTGAGTCAGGAGTTCAAAGTTGCAGTGAGCTGTGATCACACCACTGCACGTCAACATATATATATCAGATATTAATAACCTTTAAGAGCATAAATAGGCCAGGCACAGTGGCTCATGCCTGTCTATAATCCCAGCACTTTGGGAGGCCGAGGCGGGTGGATCACTTGAGGTCAGGAGTTCAAGATCAGCCTGACCTATATGGTGAAACCTCATCTCTATTTAAAAAAATACAAACATTAGCCAGGTGTTGTGGCGGGTGCCTGTAATCTCAGCTACTTGGGAGGCTGAAGCAGGAGAATCACTTGGACCCGGGAGGCGGCGGGTGCAATGAGCCAAGATCGCACCACTGCACTCTAGCCAGGGTAACAGAGCAAGACTCCGTCTCAAAAAAAAAAAAAAAAAAGATATAGACATGTTGGCTGGGCGTGATATCTCACGCCTGTAATCCCAGCACTTTGGGAAGCCAAGGTGGGTGAATCATTTGAGGTCAGGAGTTCCAGACCAGCCTGGCCAACATAGTGAAACCCCCATCTCTACTAAAAATACAAAAATTAGCCAGGGGTGGTGGCAGGCACCTGTAGTACCAGCTACTTGGGAGGCTGAGGCAGGAGAGTTGTTTCAACCCAGGAGGTAGAAGTTGCAGTAAACCAAGAGTGTGCCACTGCACTCCAGCCTGGGTGACAGAGCAAGACTCCATCTCAAAAAAAAAAAGAAAAAAGAAAAAAAAAAGAAAAATATAGACATGTTATCAGGCACAGTGGCTCATACCTGTAATCCCAGCACTTAGGGAGGCGGAGGTGAGAGGATTACTTGAGCCCAGGGGTTGGAGACCTGCCTGGGCAACATAGCAGGACCCTGTTCTCCCAAAAGGAAAATAAATAAATAAATAAATAAATAAATAAATAAATAAATAAAGATATAGACATGTTAAAAGTAAAAAGACTTAGGTTGGGTCCAGTGGCTAATGCCTGCAATCCCAGCACTTTGGGAGGCCGAGGTGGGCAGATCACTTGAGGTCAGGAGTTTGAGACCAGCCTGGCCAACATGGTAAAACCTCATCTCTACTAAAAATACAAAAACTAGCCGGGTATGATAGCAGGCTGCTGTAATCCCAGCTACTTGGGAGGCTGAGGCAGGAGAATTGCTTGAACCTGGGAGGCAGAGGTGCAGTGAGCCGAGATTGCGCCACTGAACTCCAGCCTGGGCAATAGAGTGAGACTCAGTCTCAAAAAAAAAAAAAAGTGAAAAGACTTTAAAAAAATAACAGGCAAGGTCGGGCACGGTGGCTCACGCCTGTAATCCCAGCACTTTGGGAAGCCGAGGCGGGCCTATCACAAGGTCAGGAGTTTGAGACCAGCCTGGCCAATTGGTGAAACCCCCTCTCTAATAAAAATACAAAAATTAGCTGGGCACTGTGGCAGGCGCCTATAGTCCCAGCTACTCCAGAGGCTGAGGTGGGAGAATCTCTTGGACCTGGGAGGCAGAGGTTGCAGCGAGCCGAGATCATGCCATTGCACTCCAGCCTAGCGACAGAGCGACACTCTGTCTAAAAAAAACAAAAACAGAAACAAACAAAAAACAGGCAAACGCACTAAGCAAAGTTGCAGTAACTGTATTCATAGTAGACAAAGTAGACTTCAGAAGAAGGAATGTTATCAATGATAAAGAGGAAGACCATATTATGAAAAATGGGTCAATTAATCAAGAAGATAAAATAATCCTAAACATGTATGTGCATAACAACAGAGCTTCAAAATTCATGAAGCAAAAGCTGATAGAAGAGAATGGAGAAATAGACAAATCCACAATTACAGGTGGAGATTTCAATACTTCTCTTTTAGAAATTAACAGAAAACACTGGGCAGGGTGGCTCACATCTGTAATCCCAGCACTTTGGGAGGCCGAGGTGGGATGATAGTGTGAGCTCAAGAGTTAGAGACCAGCTAGGGCAACATAGTGAGATCCTGTCTCTACTAAAAACAACAACAACAGCAACAACAAATTAGTCAGACATGGTGGCATGTGCCTATAGTCCCAGCTACTTGGGAGGCTGAGGCAAGAGAATCATTTGAGCCCAGGAGGTTGAGGCTGCAGTAAGCAGTGATCATGTCACTGCACTCCAACCTGGGCAACAGAGCAAGACCCTGTCTCAAAAAAAAAAAAAGAAAAAACCCCACAAAGACAAAACACCAAAATCAAACAAACAAAAAAATAAATCAACGGAACAAGTAGAGAGAAAACCAATAAGTATATAGAAGATGTAAGCAATACTCTAACAAAACTTGGACCAATTGACATTTATAGAACACACTGCCCAACCACAAGAGAATACATGTTCTTTTTCAGTCAAATGGAACATTTACCAAGATAGACCATCTTCTGGGAAATAAAGCAAACCATAACAAATGTAAAAGAATAGTAACCATATAAAGTATCTCCTTTGATCACGATGGAATTGAATTAGAAACCAATAAGAAATATACTTGGGAAATTCTCAAATATCTAGAAGTTTTAATATACACTTAGAAATAACTCATAAATCAAAGAGGAACTCACAAAGGAAATTAGAAAATGTTTTGAATTGAACAGAAGTAAAAACTTCTGTTCAAAATTCATGGGATGTAACAAAAACAGTGCACAGAGGGAAATGTTTGGCATAAAATGCTAATATTAGAAAAGGGTCTTGGCCAGGTGCAGTGGCTCATGCCTGTAATCCTAGCACTTTGGGAGGCCGAGGCAGGAGGATCACTTGAGCCCAGGAGTTTGAGACCAGCTTGGGAAACATGGCGAAACCACATCTCTACAAAAAATACAAAAATTAGCCGGACATGGCGGTGTGTGCCTGTAGTCTCAGCTACTTGGGAGACTGAGGTGGGAGGACCACCTGAGCCCGGGAAGGTCAAGGCTGCAGTGAGCTGTGATCATGCCACTGCATTGCAGCCTAGGTGACAGGCAAGACCCTGTGTGAAAAAAGAAAAAGAAGAAGCAAAACAAGAAGAAAGGGGCTCAAATCAATGATCTGTGCTTTTATTAAGAAGTTAGAAAAATGAGAAAAAGAGCAAATCAAACCCAATTTAAACAGAAGGAGGAAATAATAAGATCAGAAACCAATAACATTTAAAAAACAAAATCAATTATGCCAAAACTGTTTCTTTGAAAACACCAATAAAAGCGATAAACGTCTTGCTAGACTAGTCAAGAAAAAAAGAAGACATGAATTTCCAGTATCAGAAATGAAAAACAAGGCATCAGTCCAGATTCTGCAGATATATAAAGGATAATACGGAAATATTATGAAATCTTTATATCAATAAATCTGACAACTTAGATCTTTTCCAAGAAAACTCCAGACCCAGATGGTTTTACTGGTAAATTCTACCAAATATTTAAGAAAGAAATAATACCAATTTAACACAAACTCTTTCAGAAGATTGAAGAGAACACTTCCTAGTTCATCTTATCAGTATTACCCTGATACTTTAATCAAAGACATAAGAAAACATAGACCAGTATTCTTCATGAATATAGATACAAAAGTCTTCAACAGAATATCAGCAAATCTAATCTAGCTAATATGAAAAGGAAAATAAATACAACTAAATGGGGCTAATTGTGGAATGCAGTGTTGATTCAACACTCAATGTTGAAATCAATCAGTGTAATTTACCATATCAACAGAAAAAGAATAAAAGCCCCATGACCATCTTACGTGATGTAGGAAAAGCATTTGATGAAATGCAACATCCACTCACGCTAAAAACTGTCAGCCCACTAAGAGTAGAAGTGCAATTCCTCAACCTGACAAAGTCCTCTACGAAAAAATGTGTGGCTGATATCCTGCAGAGGTGATATTACTGAATGCTTCTGTCCTAAGATTGGGAAAAAGGCAAGGATGTTTGTTTTTTCTACTTCTATTACAAATTATACTGGAGATCCTAGCCAGTAAAATAAGACAAGAAAAATAGATTAAAGGCATACAAATTGGAAAGGAAGAAATAAAACTCTATTAGGAAATGTTTAGCAAAGTCACAAGATACAAGGTCAATATATAAAAATCAATTGTATTTCTATATACTGGGAATGAACAACTGGAAATTTATATTCGTTATTTATTTATTTGAGACGGAGTTTTGCTCTTGTTGCACAGGCAATGTCTGTCTGGGCAATTGTCGTGCAATGGCGTGATCTCGGCTCACTGCAACCTCTGCCTCCCGGGTTCGAGTGATTCTCCTGCCTCAGCCTCCCAAGTAGCTGGGATTATAGGCATGTGCCACCACACCCAGCTAATTTGTATTTTTAGTAGAGATGGGGTTTCTCTATATTGATCAGGCTGGTCTCGAACTCCCTACCTCAGGTGATCTGCCTGCCGAGACAGTATCTTGCTCTGCTACTCAGGCTGGAATGCAGTGGTGCAATCATAGCTCACTGCAGCCTCAATCTCCTGGGCTCAAGTAATCCTCCCACCTCAGCCTCGTGAGTAGCTGGGATTACAGGTGCATGCCACCATGCCCAGCTAATTAAAAAAAAATTTTTTTTTTGTAGAAATGGAGTCTCACTATGTTGCCCAGGCTGGTCTCAAACTCCTTGCCTCTGGCCAGGCGCGGTGGCTCATACCTGTAATCCCAACACTTTGGGAGGCCGAGGTGGGCAGATCATCTGAGACCAGTGGCTCAAGACCAGCCTGGCCAACATGGTGAAACTCTGTCTCTACTAAAAATACAAAAAAATTAGCAGGGAGTGTTGGTGCACGCCTGTAGTCCCAGCTACTCAGGAGGCTGAGGCAGAATTGCTTGAACCTAGGAGACTAAGGCTGCAGTGAGCCGAGATCATCCCACTGCACCCCGGCCTGGGCCACAGAGAGAGACTTAGTCCCTGCTCCAAGAAAAGAACAAAAATGAATCTCAACCCATACCTTGCACCAATGGATTTTAGACCTAAATGTAATATTTAAAACCATACATCTTTTAGAATAAAACATAGGAAAAAATCTTTGTGACTCTGGAATGAGAAAATTTTCTTAAATATGATACCCAATTGCAAATCATAAGTGAAAAAATTAGTAAGTTTGATTTCAAAATTTAAAACCTCTGATCTTTGAGAGACATGGTTAAGAAAATGAAAAATGTGAACCACAGACTGGAAGAAAATATTTACAAAACAAAATGCCTATTCGATAAAAACTTCTATGTAGAATATGTGAAGAACTGTCACAATTCAATTATAAAATGACAATCAACCTAACTTAAAAAATGGTGGTCTGGGCACAGTGGCTCTTGCCTGTAGTCCCAGTACTTTGGGAGGCTGAGGTGGGAGGATCACTTGAGGCTCAGAGTTCAAGACCAGCCTGGGCAATGTAGGGAGACATCATCTCTACAAAAAATTAACAATTAGCTAGGTATTGTGGCATACACCTGTAATCCCAGTGACTCAGGACGCTGAAGTGGGAGGACTACCTGAGCCCAGGAGTTCAAGGTTGCAGTGAGCTATGATGATCATGTCACAGAACTCCAGCCTGGGTGACAGAGGAAGATCTAGTCAAAAAAATAATAATAATAAAAATAAAGGCAAAGTTTGTAATTAGGCTTTGTTTCCCTACCCAAATCTCATCTTGAATTGTAATCCCCATAATCCCCATGTGTCAAGGGCAGACTAGGTGGAGGTATTTGGATCATGAGGACAGTTTCCCCTATACGGTTCTCATGATAGTGAGTGAGTCTCAGGAGATCCGCTGGTTTTATAACCATCTGGCATTCCCTGTGCTTGCACTCACTCCATCCTGCTGCCCTGTGAAGAAGGTGCCTACTTCTCCTTTGCCTTCTGCCATGATTGTAAGTTTCCTAAGGCCTCCCCAGCAATGTGGAACTGTGAGTCAATTAAACTTTTTCCTTTATAAGTGACCCAGTCTCGGGTATTTCTTCATAGCAGTGTGAGACCCAACTAATACAGTTTGTATTCCATGGATGACTTGAAAAAACAAAATAAAAATGGGCAAAGATTTGAACAGACACTTCACCAAAGAAGATATACAAATGGAAAGTAAGTCCATGAAAAGATGCTCAACATTATTGGTCATTAGGAAAATGTAAATTAAAGCCCTAATGAGTCACCCGTACATAACAATTAGAATAGCTAAAATAAAAACTGAATACCAAGTGCTGACAAAGGATGTGGAGCATCCAGAACTCTCATACATTCTTGGTAGGAATTAAAATGATACATCTACTTTAAAAAACAGTTTGGCAGTTTCTTTTAAAGTTAAATATACAGCTGACATATGATCCAGAAATCCCACTGCTAGCTTTTTTCCCAAGAGAAACAAAAACTTATGGCCGGGCGTGGTGGCTCACGCCTGTATTCCCATTTGAGATCAGCCTGGCCAACACGGTGAAACCCTGTCTCTACTCAAAATACAAAAATTAGCCAGGCCTGGTGGCGCATGCCTGTAGTCCCAGCTACTAGGGAGGCTGAGGCAGGAGAACAGCTTGAACCTGCGAGGCAGAGGTTGCAGTGAGCCGAGATCGTGCCACTGCACTCCAGCCTGGGTGACAGAGCGAGTCTCCGTCTCAAAAACAAACAAACAAACTAACTAACTAACAAAAACAAATGGAACAGAATAGAGAGTCCAGACATATATGAAAAATTAATATGAAATGTGACTTTCTTTTAGGTTATCTCAACATATTATTTAAAAATAATTATTTTTGGGAGGCTGAGGTGAGCAGACCACGAGTTCAAGAGATCAAGACCATCCTGGCCAACATGGTGAAACCCCGTCTCTACTAAAAAATACAAAAATTAGCTGGGCGTGGTGGTGCATGCCCAGCTACTCTGGAGGCTGACGCAGGAGAATCGCTTGAACCCGGGAGGTGGAGGTTGCAGTGAGCTGAGATTGCGCCACTGCACTCCAGCCTGGCAACAGAGTGAGACTCTGTCTCTAAATAAATAAATAAATATCTCATTAAAAATAATTTTAAGACGTTTAAGGCCAGGCGCGGTGGCTCACGCCTGTAATCCCAGCACTTTGGGAGGCTGAGGTGGGTGGATCACGAGGTCAGGAGATCGAGACCATCCTGGCTAGCACGGTGAAACCCCGTCTCTACCAAAAATACAAAAAAATTAGCCGGGCGTGGCAGCGGGGGCCTGTAGTCCCAGCTACTCGGGAGGCTGAGGCAGGAGAATGGCGTGAACCTGGGAGGCGGAACTTGTAGTGAGCCGAGATTGCGCCACTGCACTCCAGCCTGGGCGACAGAGCTAGACTCCGTCTCAAAAAATAAATATATAAAAAATTAAAAAAAAGACGTTTAAGTACTTTTTAATTATATAAATTACATATTACTTTTGCTGAAGATTCTGAATCAGTATACCTGGGATAGCCAAGGAAGCTGCATTTTAACCAGCACCACAGGTGATCCTGACGCTAGTGATCTGAGGCCTGTTTTGAAAAACACTAATGCGCTGGCCAACATGGTGAAATCCCGTCTCTACTAAAAATACAAAAATTAGCTGGGTATGGTCGCGAGCGCCTGTAATCCCAGCTACTTGGGAGGCTGAGGCAGGAGAATCACTTGAACCCAGGAGGCAGACGTTGCAGTGAACCGAGATTGTGCCACTGTACTCCAGCCTGGGTGACAAGAGCTAAACTGCATTTCAAACCAAACCAAACGAAACCAAACCAAAAAAACCACTAAGGCGGCTGGGCACAAGAAGAATTGTCTTGGGCCGCACATAGAATACACTAACACTTGCTGGGCATGGTGACTCACGCCTGTAATCCCAGCACTTTGGGAGGCCAAGGTGGGCGGATCACCCGAGGTCGGGAGTTCGAGACCAGCCTGACCAACATGGAGAAACCGCGTCTCTACTAAAAATACAAAATTAGCCAGGCATGGTGGTGCATCCCTGTAGTCCCAGCTACTCGGGAGGCTGAGGCAGGAGAATTGCTTGAACCCAGGAGGCGGAGTTTGTGGTGAGCTGAGATCACATCATTGCACTCCAGCCTGGGCAACAAGAGCGAAACTCCATCTCCAAAACAAAACAAAACAAAACAAAAACCTCTAAGATCAGACGCAATGGCTCATGCCTGTAATCCTGATACTTTGGGAGACTGAGGCAAAAGGATCCCTTGAGGCCAGGAGTTTCAGATCAGCCTGGGCAACGAGGCAAGACCATCTCTGCAAAAATATCTTTTTTTTTTTTTTTGAGATGGAGTTTCACTCTTGTTGCTCAGGGTGGAGTGCAATGGCACAATCTTGGCTCACTGCAACCTCCACCTCCTGGGTTCAACCAATTCTCCTGCCTCAGCCTCCTGAGTAGCTGGGATTACAGGCACGCACGTGCCAACACGCCTGGCTAATTTTTTGTATTTTTAGTAGAGACGGGGTTTCACCATGTTGGCCAGGCTCGAACTCCTGACCTCAGGTTATCCACCCGCCTCGGCCTCCCAAAGTGCTGGGATTACAGGGGTGAGCCACTGTGCCCGGCTTGCAAAAAAAAATTTTACAAAAGTAAATAAACACTAGGAGGCGGTAAAGCATTGTGGTGAAGAATGAGGGTTCTGCAACCCGACTGCCTAGTTTAAAATCCTGCTTCGGCCAGGCACGGTGCTGTAATTCCAGCACTTTGGGAGGCTGAGGTGGAAAGATCACTTGAGCCCAGGAATTCGAGACCAGTCTGTGCAATGTAGCAAAACCCGGTCTCTACAAAAAATACAAAAATTAGTTGGGCATGCCTGGGTATGGGTGCGTGCCTGACGTCCCAGCTGCTCAGGAGGCTGAGGTGGGAAGATCACTTGAGCCCGGGAGGTAGTGGTTGCAGGGAACAGAGATCATGCCACTGCACTCCAGCCTGGGTGACAAAGACCCTGTCTCACAAAAAAAAAAAAAAATTCCTGCCTCAACCACTTATTTATTTATTCACTGTAAAAGCAATGGAAGCTTTCTCTGCCTTAGATTATTTTCTATAAAAAGCTGGTAATAATAGTATCCACCTCATTTGATTGTTAGGAGGATTAAAAGAGATGGCAGACCAGGCGTGCTGGCTCACGCCTGTAATCCCAGCACTTTGTGAGGCCAAGGCAGGTGGATCACTTGAGGTCAGGAGTTTGAGACCAGCCTGGCCAACATGGTGAACCCCCGTCTCTGCTAAAAATGCAAAAGTTAACCAAGCGTGGTGGTGCACGCCTATAATCCCAGCTACCCAGGAGGCTGAGGCAGGAGAATCGCTTGAACCCTGGAGGCGGAGGAGGTTGCATGAGCTGAGATCGAGCCATTGCACTGCGGCCTGGGTGACAAAGTGAGACTCTGTCTCAAAAAAAAAAAAAAAAAAGATGGCATATGGAAAGCACTAGCACAATGTCTGGCGCTTAGTGGTGCTGTCACTGTTCTAAGTGACATGCGGTACCCTTGCAGTGCTGTTGTAGGAGGCTTTCTTTCATGGAGAGTAGGCTGTGGCCCAGATCTAGAATGTCATGGAGTAAAAATATATCTATTTCCATTTCATTTCTAGAGTTGTTTTTTTTTTTCCCTCCCAGGTACTTCACAGTAGACCGGGCAAGCCTTACAGTATGAAACAGAGCAGGTGTGTGTGTGTGTGTGTGTGTGTGTGTGTGTGTGTGTGTGTGTGATGAACATACAGGGGTAAGAAAGGCAAGGATTTTTATTTCAGGTCATAAGAAGGTGATAATTTGTCAAGCACATAGTTCTCAAAGGAAAAGATCATCTCCCTTTATAAACATTGTCACAGGTATGGTACTATTTATAATAAATTCTTGTTTTACGGAGGATTATGGAACTCTGAATTTGTGAGACTTGGTTTTTTAAAGAAAACAAAGAAAATTATACCACTTCTGTTGCATTACTAAGTACAGATGTATTTATATTAGAATTTGGAAAAAATTCACATAATTCATAATTCACCAAAGAAAGTAAGCAGGTGATGGTCCATACCTTTACGCATGGGTGGTCTTGATTGATTAGTATTTATTTATTTACTTACTTTCTTTTTATTTTTTGAGACAGAGCTTCGCTCTCTCACCCAGACTGGAGTGCAGTGGCATGATCTCAGCTCACTGCAAACTCCCCTTCTGGGTTCAAGCGATTCTCCTGCCTCAGCCTCCCGAGTAGCTGGGACTACAGGTGCGTACCACCACACCCGGTTAATATTTGTATTTTTAGTAGAAACAGGGTTTCGCCATGTTGGCCAGGCTGGTCTCGAACTCCTGACCTCAAGTGATCCACCCACCTCGGCCTCCCAAAGTGCTGGGATTGTAGGCGTGAGCCACCACTTCTGGCCAATTGATTACTATTTTTAAAGACAAGGTAGTTGGGATTATGTGATTTTTCCAAAATCACGTGGAAAGTGTAAAGGAAATACTAGAATGTGGGCTTCCTGCCTCTTGATATAAATCAAGCATGTCCAACCCATGGCCTGTGGGCCACATGCGGCCCGGGATGGCTTTGAATGCAGCCCCACACAAATTTGTAATCTTAAAACTTCATGAGATTTTGGCCCGGCGAGGTGGCTCACACCTGTAATCCTAGCACTTTGGGAGGGCGAGGTGGGCAGATCACCTGAGGTCAGGAGTTCCAACTCCTGACCAATATGGCAAAACCCCGTCTCTACTAAAAATGCAGTGCATGGTGGTAACGTGCCTGTAATCCCAGCTACTCGGGAGGTTGAGGCAGGAGAATCACTTAAGCCTGGGAGGCGGAGGGCAGAAGTTGCAGTGAGCCCTGATTGTGCCACTGCACTCCGCCTGGGCAATTGTCTCAAAACTGTCTCAAAACAAACAAAACCACATTATGAGTCTTTTGCATTTTTTTTTTATGAGAAGGAGTCCCTCTCTGTCACCCAGGCTGCAGTGCAGTGGTGTGATCTTGGCTCCCTGCAACCTCCACCTCCCAGGCTCAACCAATTCTCCTGCCTCAGCTTCCCGAGTAGCTGGGACTACAGGCGTGTGCCACCATGCCTGGCTAATTTTTGTATTTTTAATAGAGACAAGTTTTCACCATGTTGCCCAGGCTGCTCTTGAACTCCTGGCCTCATGTGATCCACCTGCCTTGGCCTCCCAAAGTGCTGGGATTACAGGCATGAGCCACCATGCCCAGCAAGTGTTAGTATATTCTGTGTGTGGCCCAAGACAATTCTTCTTCTTCCAATGTGGCCCAGGGAAGCCAAAAGATTGGATACCCCTGACCCCTGATGTAAATGTTTACTCCAATGTTGATGGTAAAGATAGAGCTGGTGGCCAGGCACAGTGGCTCACACCTGTAATCTCAGCACTGGGAGGCCAAAGTAGGCCGATTGCTTGAAACCAGGAGTGTGAGACCAGCCTGGGCAACATGGCAAGACTCCATCTCTATGAAAAAATACAAAAATTACCCAGGCGTGGTGGCATGTGCCTGTGGTCCCAGCTACTCGGGAGGCTGAGGTGGGAGGATCACCTGAGCTTGGGGAAGTGGAGGCTGCAGTGGGCCAAGATCACACCATTGCACTCCAACTTGGGTGACAGAGTGAGAACCAGTCTCAAAAAAAAAAAAAAAAAATATATATATATATATATATATATCTCCCCATATGTGTATATACACACCACATATATACATCATGGAGCCATATATGTATACATACGTATATGTGTGTGTACAATAAATTTGGAGGGCTAGGCGCAGTGGCTCACACCTGTAATCCCAGCACTTTGGGAGGCCGAGGCGGGGGGATCACCTGAGGTTGGGAGTTTGAGACCAGCCTGACCAACATGGGAAACCCCATCTCTACTAAAAATACAAAATTAGCTGGGCGTGGTGGCACATGCCTGTAATCCCAGCTACTTGGGAGGCTGAGGCAAGAGAATCGCTTGAACCTGGGAGGTGGAGGTTGCAGTGAGCCAAGATCACGCCGTTGCACTCCAGCCTGGGCAACAAGAGTGAAACTCCATCTCAAAAAAAAAAAAAAAAAAAAAGATTTGAGCAAAGACATGCAAAGTCACCTTTAAAAAAGGCAGGTCCCCCAGCAGCCCATTTTTTTTTTCCTCCCATCACATTTAAGTCATGTGTATGGGATCATGAAGGAGGTGATAATTTGGGGTTTTGTCAGTGTATGTTTCTGAGAGTGAATGGTTCACAGCTGACGAGTATCCAACAGAACCAGTTACACAGGAGATTGAGGAGTGGCTGTCATGGCTGTGACAGTGCATGATCTCAAGTTTTCAATCTGAGACCTCCTAAGGAAAAAAGGAAAAAAAAAAAAAAAAAGGCAGGCCTCAAGCCAAGACTTGACTTCAAATTGACTGAAGTATAACATAATTGTAGAAATAACAGCTCATTGCGGTTGGAGGGTGAGGAGGAGGTTGGTCAGCCATAAAAACATAATTTTTGTAATTTTTTGTAGAGACAGGATTTTACCATATTGCTCAGGCTGGTCTCAAACTCCTGGGCCTAAGCAATCCACCTGTGTCGGCCTCCCAAAGTGCTAGGATTACAGGCATGAGCCACCATGCCCAGCCTATATGTATGTTTTAAAGTGTGGTTCTCAGACAGCAATTTTATTTCTCTATTTCCAGAGATTTTTCAGGGCGATTTTATGATTAACTCCATATACAGCTTAATATGTCAAAAAGACCTGACTTAAATTTTTTTCTTGAAACAGCCTTTAACATATGTCAAAAATATAATATATTCCTGATACTTGTGTCCAAGCAGATATAAGTTCTAAATAGGGCAAAGGATCTAATGAATGCTTGATGTCCTCAAATGTGCTATGATTTACCATCTGTCAAGATGAAAATACACCCATGTATATGCAGCTATTTAAAGTATCATAGGCTGGGTGCAGTGGCTCACACCTATAATCCCAGTACTTTGGAAGGCTGAGGTGGGTGGATCACTTGAGGTCAGGAGTTTGAGACCAGCCTGGCAAACATGGCAAAACCCCATCTCTACTAAAAATACAAAAATTAGCTGGGTGTGGTGGTACATGCCTGTAATCCCAGCTACTTGGGAGGCTTAGGCAGAATTGCTTTAACTCAGGAGGCGGAGGTTGCAGTGAGCCGAGATGGCACCACTGCACTCCGGCCTGGGAGACAGAGCAAGAAAGAAAGAAAAGAACGGAAAGAAATAAAAGAAAGAAATAAAGGAAAGGAAGGAAGGAAGGATAGAGAAAGAAGGAAGGAAGGGAAGAAAGAGAGAGAAAGAAAGAAAAGAAAGAATCATAATGGGGTCAGGCGTGGTGGCTCATGCCTTGTAATCCCAGCACTTTGGGAGGCTGAGGTGGGTGGATCATGTGAGGTCAGGAGTTGGAGACCAGCCTGGCCAACATGGTGAAACTCTGTCTCTACTAAAAATACAAAAATTAGCTGGGTGTGGTCGTGGGTGCCTGTAATCCCAGCTACTGGGCTGAGGCAGGAGAATTGCTTGAACCAGGAGGCGGAGGTTGTAGTGAGCCAAGATTGTGCCATTGCACTCCAGCCCGGGTGACAAAGCAAGACTCCATCTCAAAAAAGAAAAATAAATAAAATAAAGTATCATAATGGGCTGGGAATAGTGGCTCACGCTTGTAATCCCAGCACTTTGGGAGGCCGTGGTAGAAGTATCACTTGAGGACAGGAGTTAATGTTGTCCTGAAAAGATGGGCTTCAGAGGGAATTGAAGGAGAGGAAGTTGAAGAGGAAGCACTAGTCCACATAGCAAGATCCCATCTCTGTGAGAAAAAAAAAAAAGTATAATAATGGAGAAATTCCAGCACATGAATCAAACAGGATGTTGCAGATTCTAAACATGAATCCAATGTACTGTCAAAACTGTACAAGGATAACTTAGATTTTTTTTCCTGAAGCCTTCCTTCATTGAATAATTATAATGAACATTGTAGATGTGGTAATTATCTGTAAATATGTCTCCTTATGAAAGCAAAAACTGGATATAATGAACCTAAAGCAATTTGTTTAACTTGTAAGATGTCTGTCCAAAAAGTAGCAAATTTGGCTCCACTGTCATTTATAGTTTTGGTTATAAAAATGGATTTATGTTGGACGGAGAACAGCATGCTCTACATTCACACATAACAAACTACACTTTATTGTGGTTCCTGAGCAAAGCCAGCTTCTCCATGCCCTCTGGGGTGGTGTGAGAGGGGGAAGCTGGAATCTGAATGGGAAAAATTCTTCATGGTGGGGGAGAGCTGCTAGCCTCTGATGCCTGCTGCTGTCACATCTCAAACTTCTCCAAAAGACTTGAGCGTAGAAAGCTAATGAACTTAGGCCGGGCACGGTGGCTCACACCTATAATCCCAGCACTTTGGGAGGCTGAGGCAGGTAGATCAGTTGAGCTCAGGAGTTTGAGACCAGCCTGGGCAACGTGACGATACCCTATCTCTCAAAGAAATACAAAAATTAGCTGAGTGTGGTGGCATGTACCTGTAGTTCCAGCTACTCAGGAGGCTGAAGCAGGAGGACAGATTCAGCCCAGGGGGGCTGCAGTTAGCTGTGATCATACCACTGCACTCCAGCCTGGGAGACAGAACATTACACTGGTCTGAAAAAAAAAAAAAAAGAAAAGAAAAGCTAATGAACTTAGAAATAAAGTTTCTATTGTAGAAAAACTTAATAGCTGTTATCAGTATTGACTTTGTCAATTTCAAGAAACTGTATAGCACAAAGAATTCTTGGTAAGAGGAGACCATAAAGGGAGATGAAAACTGTAGCGGGAGTCTTACAATGCCACAGTTTTGGTGATCTGATAGCCAAATGCCTTTCCTCTGATTGAATGAGTTGTGCACACAATAAATTTGAGGAAGATCCTGGGCTAACTTGTAAAACAAGCTCAGATTAGCTGTGGCTATTAAAAAATCAGTCATAGTTTTCACTAGAGAAGGGAGATATTTCTGTCTGATTTTCAGGATGGTTGATTACTCAAGTATCCTCTTTCGTAAATGTATTCTTCCTCATTTTCTGATCAGTTTTGGTTGTGCAAAAAGAAAACAGTGGTTTTATTTCATGCCAGCAGAAATGTGGTTATTTTGTGGTATGTTTTACAAACACTTTAAGATCACTTATGTTTATGTATATACACATTTGGTCTATCGTAAAAAATTTACATTTTAAGTTTTAAAAGATTTCTCATAATACAGGACACTTCCCCCATGTATTTCATATAAACCATAAGTTTTAATGTTTCATATTTATAAAATAAGAAGCCTTTATAATTTCAAAATAAATACCCACGGTGAATTTGGTGGAGAGGAAGCAGTCATTTAGAAGAGCAAGCCCACATACATGCAAAAGAAAGCAATTAAGAGGCCAAGGACAGGGTTGTTTCGAAAGGATATTTAAAACTAGATGAAAGATATTTGGACCTTCAAAAATGCCCTAGAAACTGAATGAAAGCAACAGCCTTCTGTCTTTTGTCAGAGCTCTGACTCATAGACCTGTTATTGGAAGGACATTATTTAGTTGAAATATATATTTAAAAATACTTATATTCCTTTAAGTAGCTTATACTGTATGTGAAGATGTCTTTTAAGGATTCAGAAGCACAGGCAGAAGGATCTGTATAAATACAGAAGTGGGCTGGGCGTGGTGGCTCACGCCTGTAATCCCAGCACTTTGGGAGGCTGAGGCGGGGTGGATCACCTGAGGTTGGGAGTTCGAGACCAGCCTGACCTACATGGAGAAACCGCCTCTCTACTAAAAATACAAAAAAAATCAGCCAGGCATGGTGGCGCATGCCTGTAATCCCAGCTACTCAGGAGGCTGAGGCAGGAGAATCGCTTGAACCCGGGAGGCGGAGCTTGCAGTGAGCCGAGATCCCGCCATTGCACTCCAGCCTGGGTAACAAGAGTGAAAGTCCATCTTGAAAAAATAAAAATAAAAAAAAAGCACAACTTAGGTGGTACAAAACATGTGTATTAAAATGCCTAATTTAGAGGCCAGGCATGGTAGCTCATGCCTGTAATCCTGGCACTTTGGGAGGTCGAGGCAGGCAGATCACTTGAGTCCAGGAGTTCAAGACCAGCCTGGGCAACATGGCGAACTGTGTCTCTATAAGATAACATAAAAAACTAGCCGGGCATGGTGGTGTGTGCCTGTAGCCCCAGCTACTTGGGGGGCTGAGGTGGGAGGATCGCTTGAGCTAGGAGGCGGAGGTTGCAGTGAGCTGAGATTGTGCAACTGCACTCCAGCCTGGGCAACAGAGACCCTGTCTCAAAAAATAATAATTAAATAAAATAAAATGCCTAATTCACACAGTTCTGTTGGAGAAACTGATTCATTTGGTGGAGCCCAGGATTTAGGTTGAAGGACTCTCCCTAATTAATTTGTCTTATAGTAGACTAAGTTTAAAGTAGATGGCTGTTCATCTCTTGGACTGCTTAAGTAACTTGTCCAAGGAGAGCTAGGTTTACATCTGCCTTATGATTCCATAATAACCACCACAGCTACTATCTGAGAGCTGACTATATATATAGGGGATTGTGCTGACAGCTGCCCAGACAACTCATTTCGTTTTCTCCAGGACTCTGTGAGTGTATGTGAGGGACACTGGGATTCCTCACATTCTAGAAGGCTCTGATGAGCAGTCGGAGGTAGCAGGTGGGACTCTACTCCAGAGGTTGAGCTCGGACACTGGAGTGGACACTGGACCAGATTAAGAACTAGCCAAAACAGGGCCTGGGCGAAAGTAGTTTTAATCAGACATGCTCACCAGTGTGCCATGTCGATTTACCACTGCCATGGCAACACTCGACAGTTACTGTCACTTTCCATGGCAGTGATCCAATGACCTAGGAGTTACTGCCCATTCCCTAGAAATTTCTGCATAAACAGCTCTTTAATCTACATGCAATTATTTATTTATTTATTTATTTTTTGAGACAGAGTCCTGCTCCATTGCCCAGGCTGGAGTGCAGTGACATGCGATCTCGGCTCACTGCAACCTCTGCCGCCCGGGTTCAAGCGACTCCTGCCTCAGCCTCCTGTGTAGCTGGGATTACAGGCGCCTGCCACCACACCTGGCTATTTTTTGTATGTTTAGTAGAGATGGGGTTTCACCATGTTGGCCAGGCTGGTCTCGAACATCTGACCTCATGATCCACCCACCTCAACCTTCCAAAGTGCAGGGATTATAGGCATGAGCCACCATGCCCAGCCTCCCACTTTTAGTTTCAAGTACAGGCTGGGTACAGTGGCTCTCGCCTATAATCCCAGCACTTTGGGAGGTCGAGGCAGGCAGATCATGAGGTCAGGAATTCGAGACCGCCTGGCCAACATGGTGAAACCCCGTCTCTACTCAACATAGAAAAATTAGTTGGATGTGGTGGCGCATGCCTGTAGTCCCAGCTACTCAGGAGGCTGAGGCAGGAGAGTCACTTGAACCTGGGAGGCGGAGGTTGCAGTGAGCTGAGATCGTGCCACTGCACTCCAGCCTGGCGACAGAGCGAGACTCCATCTCAAAAAAAAAAAAAAAAAAGTGGGTATAAATATGGCTACAGAACTGAACTACCCTCAGCTGCTACTCTCTCCCTATGGGGTAGCCCTGCTCTGCAGGAGCAGTCATGGAGCTGTAACACAGCCTCTTCAATATAGCTGTTTTCTTCTACCTCTGGCTTGCCTTTGAATTCCTTCCTGATAAAGCCAAGAACCCAGAGGGCTAAGCACCACTTTGGGACTTGCCTGTCCTGCACTATCTCCATTTCTGTTGTCACAATTATTGGGGATACCTGTAGTCCAGGAGGAACTTGGGAAATCTGGAAGCTTTCAAGTTTGGCAAGGGGATGTCAAAATGACCACAAAGCACATTTCCTCAAGGCAGCTTTCCCTGAACACTCTCCTTCCCTCATGCCCTCCACGCCTAATTAAGTCAGATCTGTCCAAGTTCTCGTAACAGTATACAAATCCTTTCTCGCTCTCAGCAGTTTGTAATTATGTATTCGGGTCAGTCTCCTTACTAGACGGTAAGCTCTATGAAGGTGAGACATTGTGTTTATTTTGCTTTCTATTCCCGTAAATCCAGGGCCTGGTATATTCCATGTACCCAATAAATATTTATTGCATATGTGAAAGTGGCATTTCTTTGTCTTTTGGTTAATATTGCTGACATAAACAAACAGATGTGCGAATGATGAGGGAGGAAATCATGGGAGTTCAAAAGGTTCTGTAAGCAGGTGAAATGCCCTGGCGGGTACAGACTGGGTACATAGGTGAGCCAGCTGGGAAGAATTTTATATATCAGAGGGGAAAAGACTTTCCTACTAAAAAGACAGGCATCTTTGACAAGTAGGTAACTTGAGTTTACTCCCTGAGTTTTATTTTATTTTTTGAGACATGGTCTTGTGCTGTCACCCAGGCTGGAGTGCAGTGCTGTGGTCATGGCTCACTGTAGCCTCGACCTCCCAGGCTCAGTTGATGCTCCTGCCTCAGCCTTCTGAGTAGCTGGGTGTATAGGCACACACCACCTCACCTGACTAATTTTTGTAGTTTTTTTTTTTTTTTTTTTTTTTTTTGGGTAGACACAGGATTTTGTCATGTTGCCCAGGCTGGTGTGGAACTCCTGGGCTCAAGCCATCTGCCTGCCTCAGGCTCCCAAAGTGCTGGGATTGTAGACATGAGCCACTGTGCCCAGCTGATTTTGCTTTTAGGTTTGAATTTTTTTTTTATAGTTCTGTGTTTATTTGTTTTACTTTGTTTTTGGAGACAGACTTTTGCTCTGTCAGCCAAGCTGGAGTGCAGTGGTGCGATCTCAGATCATTGCAACCTCTGCCTCCTGGGTGCAAGTGATTCTCATGCCTCAGCCTACCAAGTACCTGCACAACCACACCCAGCTAATTTTTGTATTTTTAGTAGAGATGGGGTTTCAACATGTTGTCCAGGCTGGTCTTGGATTCCTGGCCTCAAATGATCTTCCCACCTCAGCCTAGTTTTGTGTTTTATATTCTTTTCCCCACTCAGTTTGAAATGTCATGAGGATAGACACATGTGTGAAGATAGACACATTATTAAGAGATGCTATCGTCATGGGTTCTAAGAGAATGTTTTACAGAGAGTAGCTTTGCAGAGACCAAAGTCTCTGACAGATCATCAGACATTAGATTCTTACAGGATGGCCACCTAGATCCCTCACGTGGGCATTTTACATTAGGACTGAGCATCTTTATTATGATAACTTTGGTTGATGTTTTGCAGTTTAAAAAACTCTCAGATCATCTAATTCTCACACACGTCTTGTGAAGCAGACAGCTCAGAACCATGGCTCTTAGTTTACAGATGAGGAAAGAGAGGCTCAGATGAGGTTGATTTACCCAAGTTAAAGTGAAAACAAATTAACATTTTTTGAGTGTTTACTAAATGTTGAGGCACTTATTAAGCCCTTTATATTTATAGTATATAACATGATATTCACTGCATCCTTATGAAATAGGTAACCATTATTATTATTTCCATTTTACAGATGAGGAAACAGACATGTAGAGGTCAAATAATTTGCCTCAAATTGCATAATCAAGAAGCATAGAGCCCAGCTTAAAACCCAGATAGTCTGGCTCAAAGTGCAGATGATAAACTACCATGCTAATGAGTAGCACTGGGAGTTCTCCAATGAAGCACACGATGTTACTTGTATTTGCTACTAACGTCTTCTTTTTTTTGAGATGGAGTCTCACTCTGTCACCCAGGCTGGAGTGCAGTGGTGTGATCTCAGCTCACTGCAACTTCCACCTCTCAGGTTCAAGCAATTCTCCTGCATCAGCCTCATGAGCAGCTGGGATTGCAGGTGCAGGCCATCACCCCTGGCTAATTTTTTTTGTATTTTTAGTAGAGACCGGGTTTCACCATGTTGGCCAGGCTGGTCTCAAACTCCTGACCTTGTGATCCACCCACCTCAATCTCCCAAAGTGCTGGGATTACAGGTGTGAGCCACCGCACCTGGCCAACTACTAACATCTTCTAACCCCTGGTTCAATTCTGCTACTTGAGGCTTTTTTTTTTTTTTTTTTTTTTGAGATGGAGTTTCACTGTGTTGCCCAGCCTGGAGTACAGTGGCATGATCTCAGCTCACTGCGGCCTCTGCCTCCTGGGTTCAAGCGATTCTCCTGTGTCAGCCTCCTGAGTAGCTGGGATTACAAGCATGAGCCATGGTGCCTGGCCTAGGCTACTAATTTTTTTTTTTTCAAAGCTGTCTGCAGTTTTGCCTTGACTTAGAATTCATCAACTGGAGCCCACAGTGATATCATTGCACAGGATTGAAGTTGTATCAACTAAATTCAGATAAAGATCTCCTACGTTAATTAATTAAACAAATTGTTGAGTACATTTGCTAATTTTGTTAGAGGTGCTCATTGCTTAATAACTACAGGACACATTCTATTGAATATACTGGGAAAAAGCTGTATCTTTCTCTGAAGGTATACAAAACAATATTAAGAAGCATAAAAAATATCTGTCCATAAAAACATGATTATGGCCAGGTGCAGTGGCTCACGCCTGTAATCCTAGCACTTTGGGAGGCTGCAGCAGGCGGATCACGAGGTCAGGAGTTTGAGACCAGCCTGGCCAACATGGTGAAACCCCATCTCTACTAAAAATACAAAAAATAGCCAGGCGTGGTGGCAGGTGCCTATAATCCCAGCTACTCAGGAGGCTGAGGCAGGAGAATTGCTTGAACCCGAGAGGCAGAGGTTGCAGCAAGCCGAGATCGTGCCACTGCACTCCAGCCTGGGCAACAGAGCAAGACTCCATCTCGGGAAAAAAAAAGTGATTATATGAGTTATTTTTATTTTTATTTTTTGATACAGGGTCACCCAAGCTGGAGTGCAGTGGCACAATCTCAGTTCACTGCAGCCTCAGCCTCCCAGGCTCAGGTGATCCTCCCACCTCAGCCTCCTGAGTAGATGGGTCTACAGGTGCATGTCACCACGCCTGTCTTATTTTTGTATTTTTTGTAGACACGGGGTTTCTCCATGTTGCCCAGGCTGGCCTTGAACTCCTGGGCTCAAGCCATCCACCTGCCTTGGCTTCCCAAAGTGCTGGGATTACAAGCATGAGCCACCCTGCCTGGTCTATATGAGTTCTTTTTAAATCATTATCTCTTCAAGGAGATAACAATCATCAATAGGTTTTGTACAGATCCAAACTCTCTGCTTGTGGATTCTCTTAACATGATACTTTGTAATTGAAAAGAGAATATGAAAATGCCAAGCTTTGTAACTTCAAAGAACAACAATAACAAAAAGCCTTTGCCTAGAGATCTAGATAGGAAAGTGATCCCGCCAAAATTTTGGGCCTGTGTACAGGGCTGTGACCCAAGTGGGACACCTGGGGTCAATGAGCAGAGTTCGGTGCAGAGGGTCATTTGTGTATCTTTTGAATATTACTAACTGCATCTCAAGATCATGTTAGAACGAGTATTGGCTATTTGGCTTTTTGTGTCATCTTGCCCCTTCCCGTCTCCATTATGGAGAATTGAGGTTTTAATATACGGTAGTGACATTCTAGTAGATGAAGGAAGGGGGCTGTCCCCAGTGGGCAATCTGAACTTCTGCTTCGTATATTTACTCTTGCTGTTTTCGTTTCTCCTCATTTGTAATTCAGGAGGCTCTCTGAGAAGAGACAGCAAAGCTTCTTAGATGGATCGAAAGACCACGAGCTGGGATACCAAGTTCTATGAAAAGGTCAGCTATTGAATTTACTCTGCTACCTTCAGGCAAATCATTTGATCATCGGATGCTCTGGTTTCTTCCTGTGCCTGCTAAATGTAAATAGCATGGGTTTGAGTGTTTGGTGGTTATTATAGAGTATTTTAAATGTATGAGTGATTTATTTTTCTAGGCCAGCTGCTCAGATATAAAACAAAATCTGCTCCTTTGAGCTGTTAGGCTTCGTGGCAGTCAACTGACCCCAAAATCCTTCTGACTACAGCAGCCATCTACTTGCTTGTTCATCTGATAACATTTTGCAGTCTCTCAGCTACAGCTATGTGGTCTCACTCTATAGCTGGGGCATACCTTTTTGTCTCCTTTGTCTTCAGAAAGGAAATATGCCATTTTATGCACTCCTGCTGCTTTCACCCCCACTTTAAAAAGATGAAGGCTTCCTTTTGTGACAGAGTTGCTTTGTCTGTTACACTGATCCTAAGAGACAGGAAGGAGAGGTGTCATAGTAAATAAACAGTTATTGGACTTGCTACCATAGTTCCTTTTTGATGACTTGGGCCAGGACCACTAGAGGTTTGAACTAGATTTAGTAAGGCTTGGGCTTTTCGGGGTTTTGGCAGGAAGCAGTCAGGGAGTATATTGGAAAGAGAGAACACAAAATACCGAACCCCACCCACCCTGTGCCTTTTTGTTTGTTGTTACAGCCTGTTACATTAGGCAACAAGATATCCTTGTTAGCCAAAGGTGCCAAGCTGAGATTCTTAAAAGCTAATGAAAGAGCTGTTGGGCCAGGTGCGGTGGCTCACGCCTGTAATCCCAGCACTTTGGGAGGCCGAGGCAGGCGGATCACGAGGTCAAGAGATGGAGACCATCCTGGCCAACATGGTGAAATCCCGTCTCTACGAAAAACACAAAAATTAGCTGGGCATGGTGGCGCGCACCCGTAGTCCCAGCTGCTCGGGAGGCTGAGGCAGAAGAATTGCTTGAACCCGGGAGGCGGAGTTTGAAGTGAGCCGAGATCGAGCCACTGCACTCCAGCCTGGAGACAGAGCGAGACTCCACTCCGTTTCAAAAAAAAAAAAAAAAAAAAGCTGTTGGGTAAGGAATGATTTTGTTCCCCATCTGTGGCTCACCACCCCACTGTTTCATAAATGAAAATCTCTGATGTGCAACGCTGAATTAACCAAAAGGCTTACTTCTTTTGTTTTGAACTTAGACACATTTACATTATTTCTGGTGCAGTTAAATTAAAAGCACTTTCCAAACAAACCTAGGAAAGTATTAAAGTTAGGGACTCCCACGAAATGTTACTCCTTAATTGTGGCTTGGATAATAGCAGGAAGAACTGCAGACAGGAACACAGTGTAACTAACCCTTCAGTTCTGAAATGTTGCTAGGTCTCCTCGTGTTATAAATGATCAAATAAATATCCGGGTTAAACACTGCTCCCAGAGCTGAGTTCACTCTTAAGAGTGTTGGGTCCAACTTCCCTGTGCTAATTCAAGGAAACAAGGCAGCCAAGGAGTCTAACTTGAGGTCTTCATTCTTGGGCAGGGCCATCAATACATCTAAAACATTACTTGTGGGTACCCCAGCTGCGGTAGCTTCCCCAAAAGGCAGAATTTTCACTCATTCTTTATAGAAACACGTAGCCAGCAACTTCTCAGGCTTGGGGAACGGGGCAGGCGGGTCGTGGTGGTGGGGAGAGTAGAGGAGGGAGTCTGGCAGGTCGGTTCTAAATGTAAACTGGAAACTACGCATCCGAGCGGGCAACCATCACTGGCACCATTCGTCTCCGGGAAGAACCTGTGTGTGTCAGGATGCACGAAAGGAATGACTCCCCTCTTTGCGCCCCCGGGGTTAACTGCACGACCCTGTCAAAGTCCCGCCGTGGAGTGGGATGAGGGTCGAGAGGTAACCCTGTCAAAGTCCCGCCGTGGAGTGGGATGAGGCGAGGAAAGACTGGAGGTCCTTCCAGCACCACCTTGGAGGGGCAGGGAGGCTGCAGTTACCGCCTTCGGAAGTGATCTCCTCAGCCCTCAAAAAAATTAAAACCACCTCCGCCATTTACTAGAGGCCAAGGCAGGGCCGGGACACGAGAACGCGCTCCGGGCGGATGCGCGCTCCCTTTGTCCCGCCTCCCAGCGGCCCGCTCATTGGACGGAGGGAGGGCGCCGGGGGAGAAAGCGACGCGGCCGCTCGTAAGTGCTCCGGATGGAAACTGGTGCAGGGGGCAGCGGCGTTCCGCGGCCGGAAGGGAAGGGGGAGGTGCCGAGGCTGCGCGCCGGCTGCTCCTCCCCACCCCCAGCCTTTGCCCTGAAGGGGGCTGGATGGGCAAGGCGGCCGCGATGGCTCGAGCTCGGGCGGTGGCGGCGGTGGCCGGAGGCGGCGGTGCCTCCTCCTCCTCGCCCCGGCGCCGGCGGTGATCCGAGCGAGCGGCCGCGGCCCCCGATGAGACTGCTGGCGGGCTGGCTGTGCCTGAGCCTGGCGTCCGTGTGGCTGGCGCGGAGGATGTGGACGCTGCGGAGCCCGCTCACCCGCTCCCTGTACGTGAACATGACTAGCGGCCCGGGTGGGCCGGCGGCGGCCGCGGGCGGCAGGAAGGAGAACCACCAGGTACGGGCTGGGGCCGGGGCCGGGGCGGGGGCGTGGCGGCCCGGCCTTCCCGCGCTGGGCCCGGCTATTGTGCGGGACGGCTCCGCGAGGGGGCGGCCCGGCCCTCGCCCCTCCGCCTCGGCCCCTTGGAAAGTTTTCCCCGCGCCTTCCCCGCCGGGCGTCGACTCCGCGAGCCCCGGGCACCCGGCCGCGGCCCCGCGAGCGCCTTTTGTTCCGCAGCGCAGGCGGGGCATGGCCTCCCGGGCCCGATCGTGAGCGGCCCGGAGCCCCGCATTGTTCCTGGGTCCCGGGCGGTGACTGCGGACGCCCGGCAGCGGGACTGGGGAACTTTGGGGCCAGAGCGTGGCTGGGGGCGCCCGCCTGGCACCGAGGCCTGAGACTGAAGAGACCCGGCCAGATCCATTACCCCGAGAAACAAAACGAAAAGCCAGCCCCTCTTGTTGTCTCGTTGAATCCCAGAACGTACAAAGGGTCGTGAAGAAATGTAACTGTACATCGCAAGCCATTGAACTCTCCAGGCTGATTGGGGTGACATTTCTCCCTAAGCACTTAAAAAATGGGTTTGACAGGTTGTCGCTCCCATCCTACGGAACCTTCCCCTCCTACCTAGCAGAGATCTCCTTTAAACTTGGATTTAGTCAGCCTGCTAGAAAGATTGTGTGTGATGAGGAGGAAGATTATGCAAGTTTTACAGGAAGGGTTTTTAAAACAGAACGGGACGGGAGGGAGTTTTAGTTATGCATCGTGAGCGTTACGCTGTGACCGGGTAGGTAGGCTTTTCATTAGCTCAGTCTTGCGCCACTTAAACGTGTACAGGTTAACTGTAGAATTAAGTGAGATATTTCGTATATGACCTTAACATAGTTTGCAGTTAATGTTAAATTCATTGAAAAGAGGCTTTTGAACTCTGCCAGAGTGTTGGCTTGTCATAGCTAGCATTTATAATACATTTTGCTTTTCCATAGAGTATTAATTATTCCCTATATCATCTTGTGTCTCATCATTTTCATATATTTCTCATTTTCCTACATTACTTTTTTATTATGCCAGGTGTTCAGAGAATTTACACCCAGGTTGATTTCATGTGTTTTAATGAGGGTAGAGAATTGTCTAAGAAGGAGATAGAGCAATTTAGAAAAGTAGCATTTAGTCTTTAGTAATATGTATATTGGGCTTTTTTCTATTGTTAAAGGAATCCTAAATTTCTGTAAATTTTTTTGAAAGCCTCCAGCCATTGCAGTTTGTTAGGTGCAATATCAGTATCATTGATCACTTGTATGATATGGTTAGGAATGTATGTAAACTTAAATTGCAAAACCACATTTATTCCTATGGATTATTTGCTTACACTAGTTCATTCTTATAGAGACAACTCAAAGGTACTGTACCGTTGACTGTACAGTTACCAGAATGTCACATATGGAACAATGGGGTAGACAATGAATTAGAAATGTCATTTTTAACATTTTTAAGCAGTTGATAGAAATAAGGTCCTGGATAGGAGAAAAAGCGATTTATCTCCATTGATGGGGGATTATGGTTGAGTCTCTTAGCTATTGGTATTTATAACACTTATCATGATTACCCCTACTGCAGCCACTTGGTAGGTTTTTAGTGCTCATAAAAGAATTGCACTTATTTTAAAATTGAAACACTATTTCAACACTGTGATGTGTATGGAGGCGGAATTGCAGCTGTAGACATAGCCTCAGAATATCTCCCAGCAGAGGATACTTTCTGACTGTACCTTTTAAAAGCTGAATCTGTTAAGTTCTAATGAAAACTAATACTGGTTTCAGATACGTTTATTTCAGATACCGTATTTATATTCTGTGTGTGTGTGTGTGTGTGTGTGTGTGTGTGTACCCCTTCACTAACAATTCAGCAGATAATTTCTTTAGGGTGAAGACTTAATATGGTGTTTTCTGAATATTTGGGGGATGGGTCAACTCTTTTCCTTAGAATAATGAATCCAGACATTATTTTGACATGAATACATTCATATTATGAAAATAATCGTGCATGAATAAAGATTAAAAGGAACAGAAGAAAGGTGTGTAGAAACCACCATGAGATAAAGTAGGAAACTGTCCTTTCTGCACTGTGGCTGGAGTTGATAATTTGTTTTCCACTTAATATTCCAGGATCCTGGGTTTGCCTTATAACTTCGTTGCTTGTGAAGTAACTGTAACTGTTTTTCCTCCTTCAGATTAATAGTTTTATACAAGGTCTTCTAAGTGTTCAGTTGGGTGTGTGAGTTCCATAGCCAGCCACATCTGGGCCTTTTGGAGTTGCATAAAAGTAGGGTTGTGGATTTGATTGAACCATACTTAGCAAAAGTGTTCCTTCTGGTTATTTTATTAAGGAATTATGATGGAGGATTCTGTGGTTAAAAGAGAGATCTTGGGCAATGTTTATTCGTTAAAAATGGCTATTTTGTTAGTATAGTTTGGAGAGGCAAGGCTCCTTTGGGCTAAAGCTGCTCTAAAACTGTAGTAGCAGTGCCATTTTAGTAACTTGGTTTGGTGTGCTAGCTTCAAAACTGGGATTATGTTTCACTTTGGGCAAGCAAGAAGCAGGGTTTCACTTAGAGCAGGGAAGTGGCTGGGAGGCCAGACTGGTCTCACAGACTTATTTTACAGCCTATGAAATAAGAATAGTTTTATATTTTTAAATGGTTACCAAGAAAATATCAAAATAACATTTTGTAATACATGAAGTTTCATTTATGGAATTCAAATTTATTTCAGTGTCTACAAATAAAGTGTTTTTTTTTTGAGATGGAGTCTCGCTTCGTCACCCAGGCTGGAGCGCAGTGGCCCAATTTTGGTTCACTGCAACCTCTGCCTCCCAGGTTCAAGCAATTCTGATGTCTCAGCCTCCCGAGTAGCTGGGATTACAGGTGAACACCACCACGCCCAGATAATTTTTGTAGTTTTCAGTAGAGATGGGGTTTCACTATGTTGGTTAGGCTGGTCTCAAACTCCTGACCTCAAGTGATCCTTCTTCCTGGGCCTCCCAAAGTGCTGGGATTACAGGCGTGAGGTACTACACCCAGCCCACAAATAAAGTTTTATTGAAAGAGAACTACCACATTCATTTACCTGTGGTCTATGAGCTCCCTGGCTACAATAGCAGCATATTTGCTACTGTATGGCCTGCAAGCCTAAAACATTTACTACGTGGCTTCTTACAGAATAAAGACTTTTTCCAAGAGAAATTCCCAGCTTCCTTAACAAACAGCTTTTTTTTTTTTTTGGAGACAGGGTCTCACTGTGTCACCCAGGCTGGAGTGTAGTGGCACAATCTCAGCTCACTGCATCCTCGACCTCCTGGGTTCAAGCGGTTCTCATGCCTCAGCCTCTCCATAGCTGGGATTACAGGCACGTGCCAGCACACCTGGTTAATTTTTGTAGTTTTAGTAGAGACAGGGCTTCACCATGTTGGCCAGGCTGGTCTTGAACTCCTGGCCTCAAGTGATCTTCCCACATCGGCTTCCCAAAGTGCTGGAATTACAGGAGTGAGCCACTGCAACCAGCCTCCAACAGCATATTCTTAATCACAGGTTGCAGGGTGGGTAGATTGACTCACTGGGAAGAAATAGAGGCAGGCAGTGAGAAACTAGTAGATATTGTCACTTTGCAATGTTGGCAGACTCAGAATTTAAAAAGACAACAACAAAAAACTTAGGATCTATTCTTTTTGATGCATTGCACCTAGTGCTTAAAGTTAATGCAACTATTATGGAGCTACTGAAACTTTGAAAGGACCCTTAGGCCCCAGGTTCTTGGTAATAATAGCGGTTCAGTAGCTTCTCAATTGATGGAGTGAAAAAATTGTTATAGAACTCGCTGAACCAAACCACAACGATTTCTCCGGGTGACATACTGCAAGGTTTTTTAAAAGCACAGATAACATTCAATATCTGGAATTATTAAGTTGTAACTTAAAATTGCAAGTATGTGTATATTTTTGTGACTTATTTTTTCACTTTCTTATATAAGCTCAGAACTGCGCTATGCCACAAGTGATGAAGAATTCAAGAAAGAATTAAAATCCTTTTTTTTCCCCCAAATGAAAAAATACTTGGACAGCATAGCCAGAGCCAAACACTGTGCTAAAGGACAGAGTGTTTCCTGTCCCTTTACCCCTCACTTACCCTGTGGAGGCAGACTGGAGTCAGGCATGAGTTAACAATGCTTCAAGGATAGTCAGCCAGCTAAGCCGGACAGACACTGATGGATTGGCGTCCTTCTCTGAACTGCCTTCGAGAGTCTGGAGGCCTTTGCAGCTGAATACCAAAGAGACTTCAGAAAGGATTTCTTTGCTTCCTCATAATCTGTGTTGAAACCCCAAGTGTTTGCTTCAGTTTCACAGAACACTAGAATCTCTTTCTTGTGCTGGATATACCAGGAGTCTTTATGTTTCTCTTTGAAGGTGCCCTAGAAGACCCTAATAGCTTCCAGTAAAAAGCTCTGTTGTGTAGACCCTCTGAAGCTTTGTTAAAATTTTAGGATTATCCTGTCCTATGGGGAGTGAGTATTTAGTATTTGCAATGAGGATTGCCAGTAATTGGTTATTAAATCAAAGCTGAAGCCATTTAATCTGTTTTAATTGATTCCCCTCATGGATATGAGGGTGCCTGTCACTGTACACATTGAAATCTCACATAAAGAGGTTATTGGGTTGAGTTTATATTGTTTGTGGGAAAATGGTGAATGGTCTGAATATTTACGCCTATGCTGTGCTTAAATGCAAGGTGTGCATGGTGAAATGTCTGGACTGAGTTGACTGCATTGTAAAATCTTAGAATGTGAATTTTGAATCCTTAGCTGTCAAGCTCTGTTGATGGAGTTGGTCTGGCCAACTTAGAAAAGATTCTGTGTTCATAGATCCTGAGCAGTGGAGCTTTTCTGATTGTTTTTGGTAGCCCTGAATGCCTTGGGTCTTTGATTACCCATTTCTTTTGAGAATGGCTGGATGCCTAGACCTACAGTTTGGTTTTTAGGCATTCCCTTGAACTGTACTTCTCCTCTGACCAGCCCTTGCCTTGGAGAGAAAGGGGAAGGAAATATGAAGAGCTACTGGCCTTCTATTGTGTGCCAGGCACTTCAAATATATTATCCCCAGTAGTCCACATAGAACTCTTGGAGGTTGGTGGTATCATCCGCACTTTACATACAGAAAAGTGAGGGTGAGAGAGAGAAGAGACTTGCTCACCAGCACAGAGTTAATGGATGATAGAGTTGGGCTTTGCACCCAGCTTTGGTTTCAAGGCAACACATTTTCTGCTGCTTTATGATGCCCCTCCTGGTAAACCTTGTGTTGTCTGAGGGGTGGTAAAAATAGGCTTGCCTTCTTTTTTTTTTTTTTTTTTTTTTTTTTTTTTTTTTTTTTTGAGAAACAAGTTCTTACTCTGTCACCCAAGTTGGAATGCAGTGGCCTGATCATATCTCACTGCAGCCTCAAACTCCTGGCCTCAGTACATCCTCCTGCCTCGGCCTCCTGAGTAGCTTCTAAATCTTTTGTAGAGGCAGGGTCTTGCCATGTTGTTCAGGCTGGTCTCAAACTCCTGGCCTCAAGCAGTCCTCCTGCCTCAGTCTCCCAAAGTGCTGGGATTACAGGCGTGAGCCACTGCTCCTGGCCTAGGCTTGCCTTCTGAATAGGAAACTGCCCTCATTCTAGTGAGGCCTCTGTGTAGACACTGAAGTTAGGTAGCTGTGTGCACAATACTTGTTGAAGATTTTGTAGTTTGTGAATTAGATGAGAATAAGACAGCTGCTTGAAGTTCTGGCCTTTATCTGGTTTGTGCATGCTTTTTTTAAGGCTTAAAGTTGAAAAAAGATTCTTACATGTATTGTCATTTTTTCCTGACATCAGCCATTCTCTAATTTTCCATCACCAAGTGGGTGTTTAATTGTTCAATCCTGTTCTGACATTAACTACCTGGAGTTAGGGTCACGCTTTACAGAGTTAAGAGCTCAGTCCCACAAGACTGCCCTCACTTCAGAGGCCAGCTGGAAGTCCTGGGTTCCCAGGCTGCCAGTGCTTTTGTCCACCTTGAACAAATTTGGGAGTTCCCACAACTCTACCTTCACCCTACCCCACCCCACCCCCTAATTTCCTATAATAGAATGACTCATAGAACTTAGGAAAACACAGGTGCGGTGGCTCACGCCTGTAATCCCGGCACTATGGGAGGCTGAGGTGGGTGGATCACGAGGTCAGGAGATCAAGACCATCCCGGCTAACAGGGTGAAACCTGGTCTCTACTAAAAATACAAAAAAATTAGCTGGGCGTGGTGGCACGTGCCTGTAATCCCAGCTACTGGGGAGGCTGAGGCAGGAGAATCGCTTGAACCGTGGAGGCGGAGGTTGCAGTGAGCTGAGATTGCGCCACTGCACTCCAGCCTGAGCGACAGAGCGAGACTCCGTCTCAAAATAATAATAATAATAATAATAAACCACTTAGGTTTACTGGTTTATTACAAAGGATACAATTGGGGAACGGCCAAGTGGAAGAGGTGCATAGGGTGAGGTGTGGGAGGTGGTGTAGAGTTTCTCTTTCCTCTGATGAGCCACCCAACCATCATATCAATGTATTCAGCAAACTAAAAGCTCCCAGGACCCCATAGTTTAGGGGTGTCATTACATAGGCATGATTAGACTCAGTCTTCAACTCCTTTCTCATCCTTGGAGATTGGAAGGTGGGGCTGAAAGTTTGAACCTTATACCCACATCCTGGTCCCCATCCTGAAGCTGTCTGGGTCTCCCACCCCTATCAGGAGTCATCCTGTTAGCATACAAAAGATACTCTTATTACCCTGAGATTCCCGAAGGGTTTTAGGAACTCTCTATCAGGAACCTGGGACAAAGATCAAATATGTATTTTTTATTATACCACATCATCTAAAATCAGTCAGTTTTTAAAATTACTTTCTGACTCTGCTAGTGTGCTTAAATCCTTTGTATTTTGGGAATGTTGTATTTTGGATATGTTGTATATCACATGTTTGATTAGTTGATAAACTCCAAAAATAATTTCAGAAAAACTTTTAACCATATTTGGTCTGATTAGCAAATCTAATTTTATAGGAAAATTGCATTCCTACTTTGAACGAGTGATTCATCAACCAAGGTTATATATAAATATTAGGAGGAGTTCATGGGCTTAATGAGAAATTTTTTTTTTTTTTTTGACAGTCTTGCTTTGTCGCCCAGGCTGGAGTGCAGTGGCACACTCTGGGCTCACTACAACCTCTGCCTCTCTGGTTCAAGTGATTCTTTTGCCTTAGCCTCCCAAGTAGCTGGAATTATAGGTTCCTGCCACCACGCCTGGCTAATTTTTGTATTTTTAGTAGAGACGGGGTTTCACCATGTTGGCCAGGCTGGTCTTGAACTCTTGACTTCAAGTGATCTGCCCACCTGGGCCTCCAAATTGCTGGGATTACAGGTGTGAGCCATCGTAGCCAGCCAGGAAATTTTTAAGACAGTATGACCTAATATTTAATAACTTCGGTTGGCGAATACTGTCAGACATGCATTCAAAACGCGTGGCAGCCACCTGATTTGGCTGTTTACTGCCTGGCCAATTATTAGTATCTTTGCAGTTGTGTTGCCAGTAGGGAGAATATTGCTATTTACTGTAATTTTTAGATATCACATCCTGTTCTGTACTTGGCATCAGCAGATGACTGAATGGAATCATTCTCATTTGATTAGAATTTGTCATTTAAAAGATTCCCTTGTTTATTTAGATGAAACAACATTTGAGTGAGCTTTAAAGGCAGATGCTAATAAGATGCTTTTTCAGACATGGTAGGCTCCAGCCAAGGAGTCCAGCCTCACAGTAGAGTGGGCGTGTAGTCCTGTCAGTGTGTGAATTTAACGGGCATAGTACTTTGTTCTTGCCTGTGCACCTTTGTCTCTGTAGTCTTTAAGGAGCACACATTTAAAGAACTCACCTGCGGCTGGGCGCAGCGGCTCACGCCTGTAATCCTAGCACTTTGCGAGGCCGAGGCAGGCAGATCACCTGAGGTCAGGAGATCAAGACCAGCCTGGCCAACATGGTGAAACCCCATCTCTACTAAAAATACAAAAATTAGCCAGGCGGGGTGGTAGGTGCCTGTAATCCCAGCTGCTTGGGAGGCTCAGGCGAGAGAATCACTTGAACCCGGCAGGCAGAGGTTGCAGAGAGCCTAGATCACACCACTGCACTCCATCCTGGGCGACAGAGCAAGACTCCGTCTCAAAAAAAACAAAGAACTCACCTGCTTGAAAGTACACAGGAGCATACAGACAAGCCACCCAGTGCTGCGAGCTTAGCGTAGCTTTTTATCTAAGCTGGTTGTTTGGAGAGAGGTGAAACCAGGAGTCCTGCCCATTGGGTTAAAGGGGTTCCTGCAGATTTTTTCTCTCCTTGGTCCTTGGTATTTCACCTTAAGGGCAAGGTGACTGCTCCTTTAAGGCTCTGAAGCTCCTCGCCAAGATCATAGTCACATTACTTGTTTCCCTTGGTTTCTGATTTTATTTTCACTCTGGAATGTAAGTTCTCTGAGGCCAGCGAGTCCATCTTTTAATTCAGTCAGCTGGAGTCCCTAGACCATAGTTAGGCTGGGATAGTGGGAAACACTACTGGAGAGTCAGTACAGTGACATTTTGTGGGTAAGGCCATGTATGGGTTCTCAAGCAGTGGCAGTTTTGCCTCCCAGGGGACATTTGGCAATGCCTGGGACATTTTGGGCTGTCATTTGGGGTAGTGCCACTGTAACCTGATGGATAGGCACTAGGAATGCTGCTGAACATCCTACAATGTGCAGGTCAGCCCCTATAACAAAGGATCATTTAGCTCCAAATGTCAGTAGTGTGAAGGCTGAGAAACCCTGGCTTACAGGACTTTAGTTACTATCTAGACCAGATTATCTTTTCTCTACACACATGTAGTTCAGTTTAATTGGCAGGATAGTCCTGCTTTCTTTTCTTTAGCAGACACACTGGGTAGAGTTAAGTGAAGAGAAGCTTCTTTGAAAGAAACGCTTATAAAACAACACGTACCTGGAGCAGGAGCTTGAATCAGCTGGAGCTGCTTAGGGACCCTATGCTTCCCATTTATTCAGAAATTGCAAGGTGGTAAATGAAATGTAAAGCACATGGCTTGGTGCCTGGTGCATGATAGGTGCTCAGTTGGTGTCTTCCTTCATTGCTTGCTTCCTTGCTTGTGGTAATGCAATTTTGTGGTGAGTGGGTAGCTGTAACCACTGGTTGCAAAATTAGGTTTAAGCAAGGCCTTGCAGAGTTTGAGAAATTGACAGAAACCCCATGGCAGCGATCTCTGTGGTTATCCTTATGTTTCCTCTAGGATTTTGTTAGAAACTCCAAATTCTGTTTAGGCTGCCTGTTGATGAACATTTATTGTTTGTCTGTATCTGTGCCAGGCACTGAAGCCATTCATTTTCTCTGCCTTTATGAAGCTCTCAGTCTACCTGGGAAGATAGGCACTGAACATGCGATTGTCTACAATTATTCAATTCAGAGATTGTAAATATTACCAAAGGGACAAATGGGATGTATGAAAGGGTATTAGAACAGGGGGCCTAGCCTAGCCTTTCGTAGGTATATTTTCCTTTGAAAAGAAAATATACCTAGGAAATATTTAGGCTGAAGTTGAACGAACCAGGTGAAGAGAGAGTGGGTTAGGTGGTGGGAAATGTTGGGGGGCAGAGCAAATACCATGTGAGACAGCCACGGGAAAGGGGCCTTCCAGAAAAAAGAAGGAAGGGGTGGAGCTGTGTGATGGAGTGAGGGTCCAGGGGTCATGGGTTGGTAGGGAATGTCATGAGGTGAGGCTGGAGACACAGAATGAACAAAAATCGTGCAGGGCCTTATAAGCCATATTAAGCATTTTGGATGTTATCCTAAGATTCCTGTTAAGCAGGGTAGTGATGTGATCAGATTTGCATTTAAAATTTGCATTTTAAGAGGTTTTCTAGGTTACTTATGTTTTCAGGCCACTTTTAATTTCTGGAAGATCTAACTGCCACCTGCATATTTAGGGAGGGGTGTGTGTGTGTGTTTAAAAAACAGCTTTATTGGGATATAATTCACATACCATGAAATTTATCCTTTTAAAGAGTACAATTCATTGATTTTTAGTATAATCACAGAATTATGCAGCCATCACCAGTATTAATTTTGGAACATTTCATCACCCCAAAAAGAAACCTCATGTCCATTAGCAGCCACTCCACATTGTCCCAGCTCCCCAGCCCCTGGCAGCCACAATCTACTATCTACTTTCTATCTCTGGATTTGCATATTCAAGACATTTCACGTAAGTGGAATTACACAGTATGTGGTCTTTTGTGACTGACTTATTTCACTTAGCATAATGTTGTCAAGGTTCATCCATGCTGGAGCATGAAGCAGTGCTTCATTCCTTTGTATGGCAGAACATGCTATTATTTTATATGAATCTATTATCACATCTTGCTTATCCACCATTTGATGGACATTTGACTTGTTTGCAGTTTCTGACATTGCTGCTGTGAAATCGACATTTGTGTCATGCAAATGGTCAGAAAGGACATACGTTTCACCTTTCTTTTTAAAGAGAAGAGCTTTGCTCTATTTTTGTTCTGTAGCACATTCTGTTCAATAAGCAGTTTCTTTCCAGAAAGACCTGTGTGACAGTAAGGGTTCAACCACACGTGTTAATGTTGATGAATTGAGAAAAATGCTATTAAAAACTTGAGTTTTCCTCTTGGTGCTTGAAAGCACTATTTGCAGCTAATGGTGCCAGTTCCTGCTTGGTTCTAGAAGTCAGAATCTATTGTTGTTCTAGTCCATTTACAAGTGGATGCCAAGGAATTCTTAGCTCCTCTGTTTCACTTGAATGACTTCTCATCCACATTAATAAAATGTACCTGATTGCCTATTATCAAGGTGATGGCTTTCATCTTGATTAGCCATTTCAGAGAATAAAAAATAAATAAAAGTCAGAGTGGCCTCCATATTACAGAGTTCAGAACGTGCACCAGGAGGTCATGAGTATAATAAAAAACGGTTTATGACCTGCACTGGAGCATAACTTCAGGCACAATAAGTATTAAGAATTAGAAAATCATTAAGCAAGAACATTTTCAGACCAAGGGAAAAAATGTAGGCAGTGAATGTAAAAAGCTTCATAGCTTGTCATATAGAGTAGGAAAAATAAAAACAGTTTTATATATAAAGTCCAAGCAGTTTTGATAACTGTGATGAAATGGCAAATTAGCACAAATTAGTCCACAACTGGAAAGGTTTGGTTTACCCAGTTTAGGGAACAGAGTTTGTAAAATGATTAATCTCTGAAATTTAACGTGCCTGTTTGTTTGTGTTGATTTGTAACTAGTTCCTTTTAACGTTAGCATCAGGAATGTTACTTAAGATTTCACTGAACATTAGTAAGCTTAGGATGACTGTAAAGCTGGTCTACCAATTGTGCAAGCACTTATGGGACGTCTACTGCTGATAAAAGGTCGTATTTGTCAAGGGGAAGCAAATTACTCTTGGCCAATTGACTGGGAAAAATTTGTGTTTCATGGCAGATAATGGGTTAATAATAATTGATATACTTTGTAGTTTCATCACTGTACTTAAGGGGCTTATTCTTATTTCTCAGGCTATGTTAGAGGAATCTCACTGCTATTATTATTGTAGGATTCTCACTACGTGCTTTGTATTATGTTGAGGACTTGCCTGCATTATCTTGTTTAATCCTCATCGTACCCTGCCAGGATATATAGACCCCAGTGACATCTCTAGTCTACAAATGAATGGAGGCTGAGAGATTTAAGTGATTTGTCTGAGCTCACATAGGAAGGGCAGAGCCGGGACTTGATTGTGGGGCTGACGCTAAAGCTGATGTACAGTCTGCTTCCCCACCTCTCTGGTATGCTGACTCATTTATTATGAAAGATTAAATTTCATCTACAGGTGAAGCTTTTTGAATTTTGTTCTAGAATGTGGATTCTGGGTAGAGCCAATTCCTGGAAATCTGGTTCTTAGCATGTTACTATTTGGTCTTCTCGTTGATTGCAGTATGACCTTAAGTAACTTCTTAATCTTTCTTGAGCACATGTTGCCTCTGTAAGAATGTCATATGACCTATTTGTAAAGCATACCTCAAGATTTCTAAAGATCTCTTTTACATAGTCCACAAGAGGAAAGGCAACTTAATCTGGTCACTGGAGTGTTAAATTCTGTTGCTTACTTTGCTATTTGGGTTTGTTTGGTGATTTTGAGTTAAGGCATTGGATTATGTGACTGTTTTCTTGTCTAAAAACAAGGATGCTGCTAGCTGTTTGCCTTCTGATGTTGAATCTCAGTGAAAGAGAGGCCAGCAGAGCTTTCTAAATCTCGGGTACAGTGACTGAAGCACTGGGCTGGGAGTCCGAGTGCCTGAGCTGTGGTCTGGTTCTGCTGCCTACTAAGCTGAATGACCCAAAAGCCTCTCCACCCTTCCCTCACCCACTCTACCTACCTTGAGGGCTGTAAGAGAATTAAATGAGAAGTCATGTCTGAAGAAGTACTTTATATTTTATAGGTTATATGAGTATACGAAATGATTATTCTCAGAGTATCATGAGATGGTAATATTTGGAAATCTTAGATGTGATTTAGTCTTCTGGTTTTTTGTTTTTGGATTTCTTAGGTGACACTTCGGTTGTGTGTTTTAATTTTTGTTCTTTTTTTTTTTTTTTTTTTAGTGGTATGTGTGCAACAGAGAGAAATTATGCGAATCACTCCAGGCTGTCTTTGTTCAGAGTTACCTTGATCAAGGAACACAGATCTTCTTAAACAACAGCATTGAGAAATCGGGCTGGCTATTTATCCAATTATATCATTCTTTTGTGTCATCTGTTTTTAGCCTGTTTATGTCTAGAACATCTATCAATGGGTAAGTGAATCTTGGACATTTATTTTTTTCTTTATCCTTAGGTTTACAAAAGGAAAAACACAAAAAGAAAAGTTATCTTGTTCAGCATGTTGACTACCTGAGCTACAATACTTCTACTAGTCAGAACCTTGGCAGTTGGTCCAGCGTTCTATCTTTCTGTGGTTCTGCCCTTTAAATTCACCATAACGTGACAGCCTCATTAGTATGTTTATTCATAGCGGGAGTTACTTACGGTAGTGCTTCTTGGCTTTGATGTACATAGGAATCACCTGGGGGTCTTGTTAAAATGCAGATTATGAGTTAGTACATCAGGGGCTAGGTCTGAGAGTCTGCTTTTTTTTTTTTTTTTTTTTTTTTTTTTTTTTTTTTAAAGACAGTCCTGCTCTGTTTCCCAGACTGGAGTGCAGTGGCAATCTGGGCTCACTGCAGCCTCCGCCTCCCGGGTTTAAGTAATTCTCATGCCTCAGCCTCCCAAGTAGCTGGGATTACAGGTGTGCACCACCACACCTGTCTAATTTTTGTATTTTTAGTAGAGACGAGGTTTCTATGTTGGCCAGGCTGGTCTCTAACTGACCTCAAGTGATCCATCCACCTTTGCCTCCCAAAGTGCTGGGATTATGGGTGGGAGCCACTGCACCTGGAGAGTCTGCATTTTTAACAAGCTCTTAGACGATGCCAGTGATGCTGAATGCTGCTGGTTCTGGACCACAAAGTAGCAAGACTCCTGGAACCAAGCCCTGAAGCTGAGGGCTTTACGCCCTTAGGCTGAAAAGTAAGATCTTTGCCTTAAACATACTTCGCAGTGGCAAATTTTTTTTGGGAGATATAATTAGTCAGCCCAACAGTGGATGATGGCTTATTTTGAGTGAAGAGTCCTGCATCTGTTCTTAAATAATGTCTAGGTTCACCAGAATTTTATGAACTTATTGTGGAATTCTCTGTCCCCAGAGTGGTTCCCTCATATAAATCCATAGAAAAAGCTTTAGGAGTTTTTTTTGTTTTTTTTTTTTTTCAATCCTTTCTTGGCCATGTTTTCAAGCATTCCTAAGGACCTAGAATCTAAAATGCCAAAGAGAAAAGCAACAGGCTCAATGGTTAAGAAGCCTCATTGGACCACTCAAACCACTGGTTGGGCCCACTTTTCTTTTCCCTTGAGGTTTGGAGCAGTTTCTACTGACTGACTGGATCCCCAGTGTATCATCTGGTCCTAAGTCTTCAGGCACCGCAAGCCATTTCTCAAGATTTCTCAGTTGATTTTCTTCATTGTTTATGTGAAATTGCCATACGTTTGCTTTGGCAAACAGTTGTTATTTTTATATGGGTGGTTGAGTTGATACAACTTGGTCTGACATTTTGTTCCTTAAATTGGTTATATTGAATTTCTGTTCTATACCATTTATTCTTCCTTTGGAATTCAGATGAGTCACTGTAGCAGAGATTCTTATCCTTTCTGGGGTCCTGTAGCTCTTTGAAAGTGATAAAGGTAGGAATCCTCTCTTCAAAAAGTGCTTACATTCAACATTTTGTGTATGATTTTGGGGGCTTCAAACTTTTATTTCCCCTTTCCTCTACCCATAAGACCCTGGTTAAAATTCCGTGCTCTAGAATTTCACAGTTTGATCAAAGAGGCAATGCAGTTAATAAACCCCTTTTGGCTTCCCTTACTTAAAACTCTTCTGCTTTTTCCTTCTGATACCCACCCTGCTTTCAGTCCTTCTTGCCTTGTGTCCCATTCTCAGCTAAAAACTAAATTTTAGGGCCCATCAGTACTTTCCGGTCATGGCAGTGGGAGATAATTACTACAGGTGGCCATCTCTCACAGAAATCATTACTGTAGTACTGTCTTGTATTACCTTAGGATACTTATCAAACTTCCTTTATTTTGGAAAGGAGAAGGCCAAGTAAGGAAAGACTTAGTAGATGTTCCAGAGTTTATTTTATAAGGAAGAGGTGCATCTCTCCGTAGACTCTTAAGTCTAGAGAGAACTTAGATTGTGATCAGAGAACCTAGGATGGTTATTAAACACTAAAGTTAAACCCAAATTAGAGGGTCATATCTCTTCATGGTTTGTGTTTATGGGAAACTTTGTATTGGGCTCAGTATTTTAGGTGATACTGTTTTTCATTGTGCGAGACTGCCCCCCACACTGCAGGAAGTCTAACTTTTCTGGCCTTGCCCACTAAATGGCAGTAGTACCCCCAGGTCCTTGTGATTACTGGAAACTCTCCTGTCTACTCCCATTGCCCCCTAGAGGGCAAAATCAATCCTGGTTGATAAACACTGGGCTTGATGGATTTTGATTTATTTTTTGACAGTGTTAATCTTTTTGTAGAGCCCCTGTTGCTAATGTTCTTTCGAAATAGGACAATGCTTCCCCTCTTTCTCTAGTGCCTTCTTTCTTTCTTTTTTGGAGACAGGGTCTCGCTCTGTTGCCTAGGCTGGAGTGCAGTGTCACAATCATGGCTCACTGCAGCCTTGACCTCCTCAGGCTCAGGCAGTCCTCCTGCCTCAGTCTCCCAGGTAGCTGGGACTAGAGGCTCATGCCACCGTGCCTGGCTAATTTTTGTATTTTTTATAGAGACGGGGTTTCACCATGTTGCCCAGCTGGTCTCAAACACCTGGTTTCAAGAGATCCTCCCACCTCGGCCTCCCAAAATGCTGGGATTACAGACGTGAGCCACCATGCCCAGCCTCTAGTGCCTATAAATGTAGACCAGTCAGATGAACTTGTGAGCTCTGAGCTCAGGTGACCTCTTGTTCTAGAATTTTATAATTATCATGTCAAGATTCCTCACATCCCAAGGAGATGGCTTGGGAAGCACGCTCTGGGAAAATTTAAGCAAAATAACTATTTTGTGACTTACTTTTGGTCCTGTGGCAAGTCAGCATCAGTATTTGAAATTCGCCTCCCCTCAGCCATGCTGCCAGTAGCCTCTTTCTGCTGTGACTGGTTTCTGTGTTAAATTTTGTACAGCTACTTCAGCAAGTTCAGATTTGCTTATTTTCTTACTGTAATATATGAACAATTGAGGATTAAAACAACTTGTCTTTTATGAGACGTGATTTTCTTTGGTAAGCAGTTGTAGTCGGTAGCATCACGTTTAGTGGTCTCTGAGGTCTTTCTCCAAATTTTTAGCATTTCTATGGGGGCAGAAGATTTACTGTAAACTTGGTTAAACTCTCCTATGGCCTTAATGGGAAAAGGAAGGGGGACTTTGTTACATGAACTCCATTATTTGTATTTTTTCCTAAAACTGGTCTTACCTTGGGCACCGTGTTGCATGCATCTTTCCAGTCACTGTATAGCAGCAAACATTCTGTACCTTATGATTGTTTCCAGAGAGCAGCAGTACAGAACAGGTTTCCCTGCCACTTCCTGGACCAGTGGTCCCCAAACTGTTTTCTAGGGTCTGAGGAGGAAGTGCCTCAGGAACTGCTTCAGGCTGCAGAGAAAGGCCTAGAAGTGGGCTGGCCACAGCTCCTGGGCTCCCAACCTCATTCGAACAGCAGCAGCTCTCTTAGGATCTTATGTTATCTGTGAGTTCCACTTCATTTAAAGAAAGGGTTCTGCTGCTTAAAGGAGGGTTGAGAATCCCTGTCCTAGATAAACTAGAATTTCAGAGCTAGAAAACAAGTCCTAAATAGGGATTGCGCTTTATTTCCCAGAGTGATGCTTCCATGAGACTTGGCTGGACCTATAGTTGCTTTTCTGAGGGTTCTCTTCAATCTCCAGTTAAACTCCCCTCAGTCTCTTTTTTCAAAGGCATCACTATGGTTTTGAGTGTTTTCTAGGACCTTTAGAAATAATAGGACCCAGACAGTTGTAACCATATAAACTGACATAAGTACGAATCTACTTTAATGCATATTAACCGACATCACAAGGACCACTCTTTTCCCTCTTTTCTCTAGTGTCTCTTAAAAATCTGTTATACTAAAGCTCTTTTTTCCTGATCCATGGTTTAGTTCCATATTTGAAATCACTTTTTTTTCCTATTTGGTTTCTCTGCTACTGTGGTCTGGCTGTGTTAGCTTGTCATCTTTTTCAACTGATAAACATGTTTTCTGTTACTCCTTCCACTTTTCCTTCCTATTTTGACTTAAGTTCTTCACATTCATCTCTTACTTATTTCTTCTTCCTTCCCCTGTCATCCTTTCCACTTTCCACCTTTTATTTCCCTCCTCCCATGCTTTTTTGGGGCATTATTTGCAACTCCAAAGACAAATGGTATCTGGAGGCATTTTCTTATTTTATTAACTTTGTCTTCTAATCATAGAAATGACATAAAAGATAATATCTTTGCTGGGCACGGTGGCTCATGCCTGTAATCCCAGCACTTTGGAGGCAGAGGCGGGTGGATCACGAGGGCAGGAGATCGAGACCATCCTGGCTAACATGGTGAAACCCCTTCTCTACTAAAAATCCAAAAAATTAGTCAGGTGTGGTGGCGGGCGCCTGTAGTCCCAGCTACTCAGGAGGCTGAGGCAGGAGAATGGCATGAACCTGGGAGGCGGAGCTTGCAGTGAGCAGAGATCGTGCCACTGCACTCCAGTCTGGGCGACGGCAGAGCGAGACTCTGTCTCAAAAAAAAAAAGAAAAAAAAAATTAGGCCAGGCGCAGTGGCCCATGCCTGTAATCCCAGCACTTTGGGAGGCCGAGGCGGGTAGATCACCTGAGGTCAGGAGTTCGAGACCAACCTGGCCGACATGGTGAAACCCTGTCTCCACTAAAAATACAAAAAATAAGCCGGGTGTGGTGGTGCATGCCTGTAATCCCAGCTACTCAGGAGGCTGGGACAGGAGAATCGCTTGAACCCAGGAGGCGAAGGTTGCAGTGAGCCGAGATCATGCCACTGCACTCCAGCCTGAGTGACAGAGTGAGACCTTGTCTAAAAAAAAAAAAAATCTTAACCATGTAATAAGTGATTATGGTTGTTGGTGCTGAGTCACTATATTCACTTTGTGTGTGTATGTGAGGGGTGCTTAATTTGCATAGACACTTCCATTTTTGTCCTTTTTTTCTTTCAGGTTGCTAGGAAGAGGCTCAATGTTTGTGTTTTCACCAGATCAGTTTCAGAGACTGCTTAAAATTAATCCAGACTGGAAAACCCACAGACTTCTTGATTTAGGTGCTGGAGATGGAGAAGTCACAAAAATCATGAGCCCTCATTTTGAAGAAATCTATGCCACTGAGCTTTCTGAAACTATGATATGGCAGCTTCAGAAAAAGAAATACAGGTATAATTTTCTTGGTTTTAGATGCATTTCTTCTTGAAAGTATATTATTTAAAGGATATGAATAAAAAATGATCTTCCATGATTAGAAATTTAAAAAATCATCTCATACATAATTAACTGGAAATGTAGAGAAATAATCTTCTGGTAGCAGTATTTTTCTGGAGCGGAGGGGTTGGCACTATAGGTAAGAAAAGCACTAGCGAGAGACAACTTGGAAAAGGCAGATCAGAAGAAGGGACTTCTTCCCTAATCAGAATGTGGCATTCTCAAAAAAAATTTTTTTAAGTAGTGGTAAAATACACATAGCATAGAATTTACTGTTGTAACTATTTTTAAGTGTACAGTTCAGTGGTATTAAGTACATTTACATTGTTGCATAATCATCACCACTATTCATCTCCAGAAATTTTTGTCTTCCGAAACGGAAACTCTGTACCCAATAAACAATAACTCCCCATTTTTCCCTCCTCGTAACCCCTGACAACCACCATTCTACTTTGTCTATGAATTTGACTATTCTGGGTATTTCGTATAAGAGGAATTATATACATTAGCTCCTTGTGACTGGCTTATCGCATGTAGCATAATGTCTTCAAGGTTTACTCATGTTGTACCATGGGCCAAAATTTTCTTTTCTTTTCTTTTCTTTTTTTTTTTGAGATGGAGTCTTGCTCTGTCACCCAGGCTGGAGTGCAGTGGCACGATCTCGGCTCACTACAACCTCTACCTCTCAGGTTCAAGCAATTCTCCTGCCTCAGCCTCCCAAGTAGCTGGGATTACAGGCATATGCCACCATGCCTGGCTAATTTTTTTGTAGTTTTAGTAGGGATAGGGTTTCACTATTTGGCCAGGCTGGTCTCGAACTCCTGACCTCAAGTAATCCAAAGTGCTGGGATTACAGGTGTGAGCCACTGCGCCTGGCCCAAAATTTTCTTTAAGGATGAATGATAATTCGCTGTATGCATGTACCACATTTTGTTTACCCATTTATCTGTCAGTAGATATTTGGGTTGTTTCTACCATTTGGCTGTTGTGAATAATGCTGCTATGAACATGGGTGTACAGATACCGACTTGAGCCCCTACTTTTACTTCTTTTGGGTATAGACCCAGAAGTGGAGTTGCTGGATCACATGGCTAAGTCTGGGTTTAATTTTTTGAGGAATTGCAATACTTTTCCATTGCTGCTGCACCATTTTACATTCCCACCAGCAATGTAGTACAAGGGTTTCAGTTTCTCCACTCCTTGACAATACTTGCTATTTTCTGTTTTGTTTTGCTTTTAGTTTATAGTCATCAGTGTTAATCTTGGTTTTAAGGTCATCTGGAGTTTGAAAGACTAGGAAGAAGGGCCTTTTTTTTTTTTCTGGAGATGAAGTTTCACTTGCCCAAGCTGGAGTGCGGTGGCGTGATCTCAGCTCACTGAAACCTCCACCTCCTGGATTCAGGCAATTCTACTGCCTCAGCCTCCTGAGTAGCTGGGACTACAGGCACATGCCACTATGCCCGGCTAATTTTTTTTTTTTTTTTTTTTTTGTATTTTTAGTAGAGACAGGGTTTCACTATGTTGGCCAGGCTGGTCTCAAACTGCTGACCTCGTGATCTGCCTGCCTTGGCCTCCCAAAGTGTTGGGATTACAGGCGTGAGCCACTGCACCCGGCTGGAAGAAGGGTATTCTTATTTCAGTATGATTTATTGATTGGGAGATTTCTATATATTGGCTCAGTGCAGAATCAGGGAGGTAGAGCTGGAGTCAGCCTTTCTCTGTGATATTTTTGGAAGTCTGGTTAGCCTTAGAAAGAAAGGAGAAGAAATTATGTAATCACTCACTTTCCTATCCACATGTTTCTACTTTTACAGATTAATCCTAGAGATAGAGCATCAGTGTAGCTTTTGGAGCAGGACTGGTTTGAGCATTTGCAAAACATGGAGATTTTTAGCCTGGAGAAGGGAAGATTTCTGTGAACAGATACGCTGTGGGATTTTTATATGGAAGGAAAGGAATAGGTATAGTCTCTGGTGTAATCAGGCACAGCTACGCCTTAGAAGTTGAGTTACAGCTTAGGGAGATCGACCTTCCTAGCTTGAACTGTTTAAGTCCTTATCACTGTCAGTGTTTAAATTGCTGTTAGGGTTGTTATAGGAAGAGACATAAGGAAGGTGTGAGTTTGAACTGAGTGATTTGAAAGCCCCTTAGCTTTAGCAAGCTGTCTCAGATAAGGTTCTGGTGGGTCTGCATGGTGATAATTGACATGTTTTCCTTCAGTTAGAGATTAATTCGGCATTTCAAAACTTAGAATGCTTTGACCTTTGTTATAACAGTGGCTTAAGTCAGGCTGAATTCCTAATCTGATTCCACCTCCCCCCCTTAAAAAAATCCATGCTTTGAAGTGGGTCGAAGAGGAAGGTGTTAAACCCATCTTCAGATGATTGACCGCCCCAGCCTTCTTTTGCTTTGATGCTAAGTGCCTAAATGGAATTTTCAGGGAAACTTCAGATGTTTGAAATTAGTAATATATCTGGAGTGTACATGGTATGTAAAGATATCTACCACATAAAAAATACTTGGTTTAATTTTTTCCCTAATATACAGCACATAAGCCAAAAATCTGCAGTTTGACCTGCATGGGAAATTCATACTGATTGGCATTCCTTTCATAATATTAGTATGAAGTGAAAACATTTTCACAAAAGTGGTAAATTTTGTGACTATTGGTGCAGTTTGAGGTTTTAATGAGGAAGTAGTATCTTTATTTCCTAAGATTAGAGGTCACCCAATCCAAGATGGCAAGGCAGACTTTCAGCTGAATTTTACATTTTTTTCTTCCTTTTGAGATTAGAGCTATTTTCTATTTCTCTTCAATATCTGGGCCATGAAAAACAGGCTTTTTATTAATTTATATATATATATTTTTAGAGACGGGTCTCTCTCTGTCACCTGGGCTAGAGCATGTGGCGTGATTATAGCTCACTGTAGCCTTGAACTTCCGGGCTCAAGTGATCCTCTCACCTCAGCCTCCTCAGTAGCTGGGACTACAGGTGCCTGCTACCATATCTGGCTAATTTGAGAGAGAGAGTGTGTGTGTGTGTGTGTGTGTGTGTTTTTGTGTGTTGTGTGTGTAGAGACAGGAGTTTCATTATGTTGACCAGGCCAGTCTTGAACTCCTGGCCTCAAACAGTCCTCCTGCCTTGGCTTCCCAGAGTGCTGAGATTACAGGCATGAGCAAAACACACCTTTTTAAATAAAGGTTCTGTAATTTTTTTTTTTTTTGAGACAAAGTCTCGCTCCATCACCAGGCTGGAGTGCAGTGGCACAATCTCAGCTCACTGCAACCTCTACCTCCCAGGTTCAAGTGATTAGCCTGCCTCAGCCTCCCAAGTAGCTGGGATTACAGGCGCATGCCGCCACACCCAGCTAAATTTTTTGTATTTTAGCAGAGATAAGGTTTCACTGTGTTGCCCAGGCTGGTCTCGAACTCCTGAACTCAGGCAATCCGCCCGCCTTGGCCTCCCAAAGTGCTGGGATTATAGGTGTGAGTCACTGCGCCCAGCCAAAGTTTCTGCATTTCAAAAATAGGTCAATAAACAGAAAATGGCCAGGTTTTTCCTTTGTATTCGCAAGTTGTCATTGTTTATGCCAGAAAACCCAATTGTAAAACTAAAGGATGTGGTTTTGATTTTTACAGCAAGACAGTTTTCTTTATATTGTTAGTGTTTCATTTTTTATTTAGGAATTATCAAAATACAGATTGCTTATTTCCTAAGTTTAGAGCTCTCCCAACCCGAGATGGCAAGGCATCTTTTTTTTTGGGAGACGGAATCTCTCCCTGTTGCCCAGGCTGGAGTGCAGTGGTGCCATCTCGGCTTACTGTGCAGCCTCCGCCTCAGCCTCCCGAGTAGCTGGGACTACAGGCGCATGCTGCCACGCCCAGCTAAGTTTTTGTATTTTAGTAGAGATGGGGTTTCACTGTGTTGCCCAGCTGGTCTTGAACTCCTGAGCTCAGGCAATCTGCCCGCTTTGGCCTCCCAAAGTGCTAGGATTATAGGTGTGAGCCACCATGCCTGGCCTTTTTTTTTTTTTTTTTTTTTGAGACAGGATCTTGCTTTGTCGTCCAGGCTGGAGTGCAGTGACACAATCATAGCTCACTGTAACCTCAAACTCTTGTGTTCAAGCCATCCTCCTGCCTCAGCTGCCCAAGTAGCTTAGCTAGGACTACAGGTGTGTGCCACCATCCTTGGCTATTTTTAATTTTTTATAGAGATGGGGTCTTGTTGTGTTGCCCCAGCTGGTCTCAAACTCCTAGGCTCAAGCGATCCTCCCAAAGTGCTGGAATTACAGATGTTAGCTACTGCACCTGACTGCTTTATCATTCTCTAAGGAGAAATATATTTTACATCCTTCTGGAAGTATTAACTCATTTTCTTGAAAATAATAATCACTTGAATAGATACCCTCATTCTAGGTTTAGAAATACTGTTTTAGAAAAAGGAAAATTCTGACAACTTGTTAGGATTCCTGGGCTAATACGCAGTTTTAGTGGGGCTAAGCAATTTGTCTTCATCAGTGGAACTGAGTGAGTTTACAAATAAAAATCACAAAACAGAAGTAAGAATGCACTTGAGCTTCTATAGGTATAGATTTAACTGTCTTAGTGTTAGTCACCTTTTTGTGTTATGAGCATATATTTCTCTTCCAAAATTACCAACACAGAGGCTACCTATCTGAAACTCATTCTGAGGTAGGTTTAGTGAGATTATTCTAGATTAGAACATGCTGATGATGTTTGGCTTCTGCTTCATTGCAGATAGACATCAGATTTTTTTTGTTGTTTTGTTTTTAAAAATCAAATATATAATTTGTGTTTTACAATTTGTGTCTTTAAATTGGCTGCTTAGCTAAGGCGTTAATATATACAAATAGTCCTTTCTTTATTCATTTCCATTTTTTAGAATGGGAATTGATGACATTTTTGTTCTGAAAGTAGTCTTCTTAGTAATGTTTGGAAACTCTTGGAATGAGCTAAATTGAATTTCCAAAATTGCTATTACAGTTGACTTAGTACAACAAAGTGATTTTAAAGCCTGAATGCTCTACTTATTTCAAACAGTATTTAGTGCAATGAAACACCTGCACCAGTAAGGAATCTGACTAGTCCCTGGAAGTTTGTTAGGCTGCTATTTGGAAGAGGCTTTAGTTTGACAAAAATATAGATTGAAAAGAAAATGCAGCTAAGTGCTTTGTGTTTTTAAAATTCTGCTATTCAGAAATGCTCTAAATATCATTATGCTAATGAGGTTTTCAAAACAACCCTCATTATACTTTTAGAATTTTCTGAGCTATCTTACTGTATCTGCTCAACATTACTAAAGACTTGTTTACCAAAGATCCTTTTTTTATGTTTCCTTTTTTACCTGTCTCTATCATAACATATCTCACCTACCACATTCTGATTGGTATAACCAAGCAGGAGTAAGTAATTTGTAAAATTGCCTAATTGTGTGGCTAACAAAGACTCTTGATATAAAAACTCCCCCTTTCTAGAGATAACAACATTGTAGAGGACTGAAAATGTTCTCTGTGTTCTGTGTACGTGTGTATGAAAGTGAGAGATTGAGGATCGAGAGTGGTTTTTTTTTAAACCATGCTCTTAATGTTAATAGGATGTCCTGGGCTTTATCTTTTCTGTATAGTTTTTGTTTTGTTTTGTTTTGTTTTGAGATGGAGTCTGGCTCTGTCCTCAGGCTGGAGTGCAGTGATGTGATCTCGGCTCACTGCAGCCTCCGCCTCCCTGATTCAAGCGATTCTCCTACCTCAGCCTCCCGGGTAGCTGGGATTACAGGCACGCGCCACCACACCCAGCTAATTTTTGTATTTTTAGTAGAGACAGTGTTTCACCATGTTGGCCTGGATGGTCTCAATCTCCTGACCTCATGATCCGCCTGCCTTGGCCTCCCAAAGTGCTAGGATTACAGGCGTGAGCCACCGTGCCCGGTCCTTTTCTGTATAGTTATTCAGATATGAAGATTCTCAAGTATGAAATATGTCTTTCCTGGGAACGGAAATGTGCTCAAAGGTCATAAGTTATCAATGGAAATTATTTTATACCACTCCCAGCCATTTTTAAGAATAGAAGGGATCCTAGGAATAGAAAACATTAATTATATGATGCATTTTTTGATTAAGTTCCAATGAATGGTAAAAAGCTGGACTCTTGTTCATTAACTGATATTCAAAAGAATTTGATGTTTTAGTTTCATAACTTTGTCAGGTTACATCTTCATACTTATTAAACATGATTAGTTCTTGTAAAGGAAACTTCGTATGTGTTGAGATTTGGAAATAGGTGAAATGCTAAATTTAAAGAAATATGGGCCAGTCGTGGTAGCTCACACCTGTAATCCCAGCACTTTGGGAGGCCGAGGCAGTCGGATCGCTTGAGGTGAGGAGTTCAAGATCAGCTTAGCCAATGTGGTAAAACCCCGTCTCTACTAAAAACACAAAAATTAGCCGGGCATGGTGGCAACTGCCTGTAATCTCAGTTACTGGGGAGGCGGAGGCAGGAGAATCACTTGAACCTGGGAGGCAGAGGTTGCAGTGAGCCGAGATTGCTCTACTGTACTCCAGCCTGGGCAACAGAGTGAGGCTGTGTCTCAAAAAAGAAAAAATTAAAAAAAAAAAAAAATGGTTGCTATTTTTCTCTTCCTTGGCCATGTCATTATTGCAAACATAAATTATAACAGAAGATTTTGAACTTAATTTAGAAGACAAAGTTAAAGCCTTTATTGTCATCTCAGTTATTTTTAAAGATGTCTTTAGAGGGACTTTATGTTAATACAGTTATTTCTGATTTTTCTAGAGTCCTTGGTATAAATGAATGGCAGAATACGGGGTTCCAGTATGATGTCATCAGCTGCCTGAACTTGCTGGACCGCTGTGATCAGCCCCTGACTTTGTTAAAAGATATCAGAAGTGTCTTGGAGCCAACTAGAGGCAGGGTCATCCTTGCCCTTGTCCTCCCCTTTCATCCCTATGTGGAAAACGGTAAGTGTGGTCAGTCAGGCTAGCTCTTACTGAGGATAGCTGTTTATTGGTATTTGTGATTTTGTGCTGTGTACAATTAAATATTGTCTAGTATGTCTTATAATAGCCTGCAGTTTAAAGTAATCCAGTTAATCCATGTAAAACACCATCTTGGTTAATGTTCACCTTAAGGTGGACTTTATAGAGGTCTAGCATTCCCCTTGCAGTGGTAATAATTAATATTTAGCTGGGTCTGACTGCTTGAGATTGAAAGCTAAAAATGCAACTGTATCTCTGGTTTTAAATGGAGCTTGAACCATTTATTTATTAGCTTTACAACTGAATCGAGCAATAAACAGTGCCTTTAAATCTGGTCGTATATACTTGCTGAATGTCATGGCTGTTTTGTTTTCCGTTTTGCATCTCTTGTGCCAGACTCTAAAAATGATAAATGCTTTTATCTGTTTTTTTCTCTTTTGAAGACCATGTGTGTTGTTGCAGCATGTATCATTTCTTTCTGTAACATTTGATTTTTTGATTGCATGGTCTTGCTCTTCAGCAATATTGAATGAAGAATATGTTAGAAGAAACGGGTTGATTTCATATCACTTCATAGTTACTGTGACTTCTGGCCATTCTGACTTAATGCCACATTAAGTTATAGTTTTAGTTTGTGTGGTTTGCATTTTAGGTCATCTTGAAAGTTATGATTTTAAGTCTCCTGCATTTTCATAAGTTAATGTACATTAATATAAAATTATTTATTTTATGAATAATACAAGTTACTATTTAAAAATCTTCAGTGTTTCATTTATTTTTTTGAGACAGAGCCTTGCTCTGTCGCCCAGGCTGGAGTGCAGTGGTGCGATCTTGGCTCACTGCAACCTCTACCTCGTGGGTTCAGGCATTCTCCGGCCTCAGCCTTCTGAGTCCCAAGTAACTGGGACTTCAGGCACATGCCACTATGCCTGGCTAATTTTTGTATTTTCAGTAGAGATGGGGTTTCGCCATGTTGACCAGGCTGGTCTCTAACTCCTGATCTCAGGTGATCCTCCTGTCTCTGCCTCCCAAAATGCTGAGATTACAGGTGCGAGCCACCATCCCTGGCTGAAAAATCTTCAGATTTTCTATTTCACTGCCTCGATTGACCTTGACTTCAGAAACTCTTAAGAGCTCACAGACATTTTGAAGAAATCTATTAGGATTTTGCAAATGTCATTATTATCAAATATGAAAATCTATGTCTTAAGGAATAATGCCCGTTTCATATAACCATTGGATTCTGTGTGGATTTGTGGTGTCACAAATTAATTTAATTTCTTGTATGTGTTTTTTCTCCCCAGATCTTAGTGCCTTCAGATTTAATGCTTGTCTTAATATTTACCAAATGGTTTCAGATTTGTGTTGATAATGGGGAAAATGGGGAATTCTTTCGATATAGAAGGGTGTGGAAAAGAGCAGAGAGAACAGATCTCCCCTTTCCCATCTTAGATCTCCATTTTTATGTTCCTGTTGTCGAGTGGTTTGTCATGGTAAAGAAAAAATGCTTTTAAATGTGAGTGTATATATATCATCTATATGTTGCAAAATGTCCTCCTTCGTGATTCAGCAACCTGATCTTACTTCAGTGCTACTCCTTCCTGTGTAATTAAGCCTCAGCTCCAGCTCTCTGTATTGCACTCACTAGTCATCAGGTTGGAAGGTCCTGGGTTCCTGTGTCCTGTTGGGCAACCGCATGATAGAACTTTAATGCTACTTCCTGGCATAGCAGGAGATGAAAGAGCAGGGGGAAGAAACATCAATCTAACCACGAATTTTATTTCCTTGTGTTTCTGATGCTAAAAATGGAGAGGAAGTCAAACTAGACAAGAGGGAAGTCTCCATGAAGTGTGGAAAACAAGCTCCTTGATTGTGGATGTGCAGAGCTGCCTGTTGAGTCTGAGGAGTCTGGCATGTGACACACTGCAGACCTGAGACAAGAAGCCTTGTTGCTATGGGTGACTTTTAGTGACCTATAAATTTTGCAGGCGCGCCACGGCACTCTATTATTGCTTTCTTTCTCTGAGTCACTAATTAGATCCTGATGATTTCCATGTGAAACCATGAGGACTGGGAGATGCAAAATGGTTTTGCTGTGTAGATTCATGAATGCTGGACTGTTGGAGGATATCTGAGTGTGCTTTGCATACTTGGCTTAATTTGTTTTTTTTTAACTAAAAGTAGTTGTAGGTGAAATGATTACTTAGGTAATTGTTTTGGTAAATGGCTTGAAGTTGAACCACAGCAGTTTTGCTATTTGGAAAAAAAATGAAAAAAATACCATTCTAATTTCAGTTTATTTGGTTTACTGACCCAGTTTTGGCTAGGGGTTATTGAATCTAGTGAGAATTATTTTAAGCACCCCCCAAAGAAGGAAAGATATGAAGTCAAGAGAAGGATAATTATATTGTAAAAATAAAAATTTAATGATGTTTAATTTTTCAAAATTGTAATTTTTATTAAAAAGTAATTCAGTAATTAAAAAAAAATACTTCAAGCAACTTACTAGAGGGTTTACAATAAAAAGTTTCTGGGCTGTGCGTGGTGGCTCATGCTTGTAATCCCAGCACTTTGGGAGGCCAAGGCAGGCAGATCATGAGGTCAGGAGATCGAGACCATCCTGAGTTAACACAGTGAAACACCATCTCTGCTAAAAATATAAAAACAAAATTAGCCGGGTGTGGTGGTGGGCGCCTGTAGTTCCAGCTACTGGGGAGGCTGAGGTGGGAGAACGGCGTGAACCCAGGAGGCGGAGCTTGCCGTGAGCCGAGATTGCACCACTGCACTCCAGCCTGGGTGACAGAGCCAGACTCCATCTCAAAAAACAAACAAAACAAAAAAAGTTTCTCATCCAGTCCAGTTCCACAATCTTGTTCAGGTTTCTTGAATATTCTTTAAAAGATAGTCTATGTAAATGTAAGTCTGTATGTACATTAAAAAAATTATACAGGCAGTTCCCAATTATAAATAACTTCTGTTGCCTTTTTCCACTTAAATGTATCTAGGAAAGTAGTTCTTACCAGCACATATGTCTCCACATGGTTGTCTACATGTAAGCTGTAGATGCTGGAGCTGGCGTGGACTGGTTCATGAGAGCTGATTGTTGTTTTGGTAGGAATTTAAGTGAACTGGTTGTTAAACATGGCCATTATTGAAATTGACCATGATGGGAGTATTTACACTATAGAAATTGGCAAACACTGCAAATAGCCATTTTCTTCTCCAAGCTGGTAGTTACACATTTACCAGCACACCACTAGATGTATAACTTTACTAGAGGAGGTCTCTAGATAGCAATTTGCTTAGTAATGTTTAAAAACAAAACACCCTCCCCTGTCCTCCCCCACTTTTTTTTCTTTCTTTCTTTTTCTTTCTTTTCTGAAAGGGACTTGCTCTGTTGCCCAGACGGGAGTGCAGTGGTGCTGTCACAGCTCACTGCAGCCTTGACCTCCTGGGCTCAAGCTATTCTCCCACCTCAGCCTCCTGAGTAGCTGGGACTACAGGTGCATACCACCACACCCATCTAACTTTTGTATTTTTTTGGTAGAGAGGGCGTCTGGCGGCGTTGTCCAGGCTGGTCTTGAACTCTTGGAATCAAGTGATTGGCCTGCCTTCGCCTCCCAGCGTGTTGGGATTATAGATGTGAGCCACTGCACCTGGCCTTGTTTCTAACTTTAATGAAAATATTACTACTTTAAATATGATGCTAATTTTTTTTTTTTTTACTTGAAGTTGCTGTTGTTTGGCTTGAGATGTTTCTTTTTTTTTTTTTTGGAGATGGAGTCTCACTCTGTCACCGAGGATGGAATGTGGTGGCACGATCTTGGCTTACTCACTGCAACCTCCGCCTCCTGGGTTCAAGTGATTTTCCTGACTCAGCCTGCTGAGTAGCTGGGGTTATAGATGTGTGCCACCACACCCGGCTCATTTTTGTATTTTTAGTAGAGACAGGGTTTCGCTATGTTGGCCAGGCTGATCTTGAACTCCTGACCTCAAGTGATGCCCCCTCAGTCTCCCAAAGTGCTGTGATTACATTTCCCTCTTAAAGTTGTGTTATAGACTGCGTGTTTGTTTGTGTTCCTCCCAGATATATATTTTGAGGCCCCCACCCCCCATCGTGATGGTATTAGGAAGGGGTCTTTAGGAGGTGATTAGGATTAGATGAGATCATGAGAGCAGAGCCTTCCTGAATGGGATGAATGCCCTTTTAAGAGTTCCGAGAGACCTTGCTTCTCTCTACCTTCTGCCATGCAAGGATACAACAAGAGGTCAGCAGCCTGTACCTAGAAAGAGGGTCCTCACCAGAACTCATAAATTTCTATTGTTCTGTGTCTGGAATTGGTGGGTTCTTGGTCTCTCTGACTTCAGGAATGAAGCTACAAACCTTTGCGGTGAGTGTTACAGTTCATAAAGGCGGCCTGTCTGGAGGTGTTAGTTCCTTCTGGTGGGTTCCTGGTCTTGCTGGCCTCAGGAGTGAAGCTGCAGACCTTTGCGGTGAGTGTTACAGCTCTTAAAGGTGGCACGGACCCAAAGCGTGAGCAGCAGTAAGATTTATTGCAAAGAACGAAAGAACAAAGCTTCCTCAGCATGGATGGGGACCCAGCAGGTTGGTGCTGCTGGCTTGGGTGGCCTGCTTTTATTCCCTTATCTGGCCCCACCCACAGCCTGCTGATTGGTCCATTTTACAGAGAGCTGATTGGTCCATTTTACAGAGAGCTGATTGGTCCGTTTTGACAGAGCGCTGATTGGTGCGTTTACACCTTTAGTTAGACACAGAGTGCTGATTGGTGCGTTTACAATCCCTTAGCAAGACACAAAAGTTCTCCAAGTCCCCTACCTGATTAGCTAGACACAGAACGCTGACTGGTGCGTTTACAAACCATTAGCTAGACACAGAGTGCTGATTGGTGTGTTTACAAACTTTTAGGTAGACACAGAGTGCTGATTGGTACATTTACAAACCTTTAGCTAGACAGAAAAGTTCTCCAGGTCCCCACCCGACCCAGAAGCCCAGCTGGCTTCACCTCTCAATGGCACTGGCTGCGGGACTTTGCGGCACCTAGCCTGGGCACTCCGACAGCCCAGTGGGAGCTTGTCCCCCGATCAAGCCCAGCAGGCGCTGGCTGGTGGCGCCAAGTGCGGGGCCTGCCGAGCCTGCGCCCACCCGGAACCCACGCTGGCTCCCGCCTGCACCTCTCCCTTCACACCTCCCTGTGAGCAGAGGGAGCCGGCTCTGGCCTCGGCCAGCCCCAGAGAGGAGGCCCCTACAGTGCAGCCGTGGGCTGAAGGGCTCCTCGAGCACAGCCAGAGCCGACGCCGTGGCCGAGGGGGCGCCGAGAGCGAGCGAGGGCTGCTAGCACGTTGTCACCTCTCAATCCCCCGTCTAAACAGGATACCCCCAACTGCTGTTGGGAATTTGGCTGATGACCACTCTAGCTACTTCCTGCTGGATAGGGGCGAAGAAGGGGCCCTGCAGTTGTAGTGTCCTCCAGAGGGGAACTCTTTAGGCCAGTGGAAGGGCCAGCGGGTTGGTCCAGGGGTCCTCGGTAGAAGTTGTTAGTTGAGCTCATTTGGGGTTCCATTTGTAAGACCATCTATAGCTTGATGGCCTCCATTCTAGAGGAAACAAATTTGACAAGAAGGTTAAAATTACAGGGCCCAAAGGTGAGTAACAGCAAGATGGCTGCCACAGGACCTAGAAAGGGGAGAAGCCATGTTGCCCAACTCCAGAGGTTGGTACAAGAGTTTGAAAGGTGGTGTCTGATTTCAGAAGCCTTTTCCTGTAAACGCTGGGCGGCATCTCGTACTATCCCTGCCTGGTTAGTGTAAAAACAACACTCTTCTCCTAAGAAGGTGCAGAGTCCTCCCTTCTCAGCAGTGAGGAGGTCTACGCCTCAGGGGTTTTGGAGAGTCACTATTGCCAGAGAGTCTATTTGGGATTGTAGAGTATGGATAGATTTTGTTATTTCTTGCAAACTATCTGAGAAATCCTTTGATAGTGTGTAATAGTAGGATAATGAAGTAGATAAACTGGCTATTCCGGTTCCTGTAGCAGTAGCCATTCCTAACCCTATAAATAGGGGTATTAGTTGTATGGCTCTGTGCTGACGGACTTGAGCTTTGAAGAGTATTGATAGGGTCTGATTTCCACAAGATTAGAAGTTAGGATAATATATGTTTACACTGTTAACTTTTAGCAAACTTTACTTTTGTTGAAAACCTTTTAAGTTTGGGATTTCAATTATTCTTTGCTATTAATAAGACCTCGTTTAGTGTATATTAACTTAGAATTGGTATAGATGGCTCCTTCCTGATTCTGTAAGTACTTTAAGGCTCAGCTGAGTGCAAACAGCTTGCAAGTTTGAGCAGACCAATTATTAGGCAATTTTCCTAACTCTGTTTCTACAAGAGTTTCCTTATCATTTACTGAATACTCATTGTGTCGTTTTTCCTTAATCGCCCGGGAGGAACCATCTATCGTCCTGTCCTGAAGGGAGTTCCTCCTATGTCTGATTGGACCTTTGTATGGTGATTAAGATTTAGATCCCCTGTTAGGAAACCTGCTGGGTTAAGGATTTTTGATAGGAAGGCTATGGGTTGTCAGTGGCCTCAGTGCTTTCGCGCTACGCCCTTGTTTACACTGACAACAAGGTGGTATTGGAGTGTTACAGGGTTACAGAGAAGACCTTCAATTATCAATTATAGGTTTTAACTTTACCCTGGCTTTTAAAGGAATAGGGTACACTGTTTTTTCTTTACTACTTCCATCTCTCTTTCTCTTTGACTTTTTCTTTGTCTCTCTCTCTCACTGACTCCCTCTTTGTCTCTGTCTCTTTGACTTTGTCTCTTTCTTTCTTTCTCTCTGACTCCCTCTGTCTCTTCCTCTCTTCCCTTTCTGCTGGTTTTTCCCTGCCTCTGCCAGCCACTTATCCTGCTGTTCTCCCCTCTCCTTCCCCTTTTGATGGCTTTGGCAGTGTAAGACTGCCGCCTCCTTGGGTTTTTGCACTGCATGCAAAAACTCCATAATTGCCTTGTGGTATTTAATGGGGGTTCCCCCCAGAGGTTAGGAACTCCCTTTCTTTCCATATTGCAGCATTGGCATGTAGGATTACATAAGCATACTTGCTATCTGTATACACATTTATTCTTTTTCCCTTTTCCAGTTCTAAGGCTCAGGTAAGTGCCACTAGTTATGCTAACTGGGCACTGGTCCCTGGGGGAAGAGGCTTACTTTCAAGTACGGTTACATCATGAACTATGGCATAATCTGCCCTTTGTATCCCATTCTCCACAAATGAACTTCCATCGGTATATAGGTTAAGGTCAGGATTAGCTAGGGGGCCTTCTAAGAGATCATCTCGGGCCACATAAGTCTGGACTATAATTTATTGGTAGTCATGCTCGATTGGTTCCTCATCCTCTGGGAGAAAAGTGGCAGGGTTGAGGGCCACGCACATACGTATTTGAAGCACTGGTCCCTCAAGGAGTAGTGCCTGGTATCTAAGCAGGTGGTTGTCTGATAGCCATAAACTTCCTTTGGCACCTAGTATGCCACTTACATCATGAGTAGTCCAGACAGTGAGATCCTTTCCTTGTATTATTTTGATAGCCTCTGACACTAAGATGGCCACCGCCGCAACTACCCGTAAACAGGCCAGCCTTTTGCTACTACATCAATTTCCTTACTTAGGTATGCCACTGGTTGTGGGGTCATCCCACAAGTCTGAGTAAGGACTCCAAGAGCTATCCCTGCTCTCTCTGTGATGTATAAAGAGAAGTTTTGTTCTGTGGGAAGGCTTAAAGTCAGAGCTTATACTAGGGCCTGCTTTAAGGTTTTGAAGGCTATTTCTGCCTCTGGTTCCCCTTCTACTAGATGAGTATTTGCTCTCTGGGTCTCCTCGATTAGAGTATAGAGGGGCCTGGCTATCTCGCTGTATCTGGGGATCCATAGTCAGCAAAAGCCCGTGATTCCAAGGAACCCCCGCAACTGTTTTAATGTCTTAGGGCAAGGATAAGCCAGTATAGGCTGTATTTGTTCCTTGCTGAGGGCCCTCATTCCTTGCTGAGGGCCCTGGTCCCTCTGGCTAAGATTAGGTCTGGATATTTGACCTGCTGTAGGCAAAGCTGGGCCTTTGACCTAGACACCTTGTACCTTTGATTAGCTAGAACGTTCAAGAGATCTAGAGCAGCCTGCTGGCACGAGGCTTCTGAACTGGTAGCCAAAAGTAAATCATCCAAATACTGAAGGATCAGAGTGTCTGGACTTGAGAAGTGTCCTAGATCTTGGGCCAGTGTCTGACCAAACAGGTGAGGGCTATCCCTAAACCCTTGGGGCAAGACTGTCCACGTAAATTGGGATGTGTGGTCTGTGGGATCCTCAAAGGCAAAGAGAAACTGGGAGTCAGTGTGCAGGGTAATACAGAAGAAGGCATCCTTGAGGTCCAGAACAGTGCACCATTCTGCCTCCTCTGGTATTTAAGAGAGCAGGGTATAGGGGTTGGGTACAACTGGATATAGAGGAATTACTGCCTCATTGATGAGTCTAAGATCTTGCACTAGTCTCCACTGACCGTTCAGTTTCTGTATTCCTAGAATTGAGGTGTTTCAGGGACTGCTGCATTTCCATACTAAGCCTTGAGCTTTTAAATGTTTAACAGTATCCTGTAATCCTTTATGAGCTTTAGGCCTTAAGGGATAGTGCCTTTGATAAGGAAAAGTGGTGGGGTCTTTTAGCCTGATTTGGACTGGGCGGGCATTTTTTTGCCCTTCCAAATTGTCCTTCCAATGCCCAGACTTCAGGGCTGATTCCCTCTTCAAGTAGGGGACAACAGATGGGTAACTTGTTCCCCATATTCATGTAGATAATAGCTCCAGCTTTGGCTAATATACCCCTCCCTAATAAGGATGTGGGACTTTCAGGCTTAACAAGAAAGGCAAGTGAAAAGAGCAAAGTTTCCAATTACAACTGAGGAGGTGGGAGAAATACCTGGTTACAGGCTGTCCCAGGATTCCTCGGATGGTAACGGACCTTGAGGACAGTCATCTGGACAGGAGATTAACACTGAGAAGGCCACACCAGTGTCCATGAGGAAGTCAATCCTGGCACTCAATAGTTAAGCATACCTGGGGCTCAGTGAGTATGATGACATGAGCTGGCGCTTGCCCCGGGCACCCTCAATCCTGTTGTTGGATCATCCGGTTGGGGGCTTCTGACCCAGAGAACCTTTGTCTTCTGGGGCAGTGCACCTTCCAGTGATTGCCCCAGCATAGTGGACATGGATGAGGGGGCGGCTTATTTCTCATTGGACAATCTTTCTTAAAGTGTCCTTGTAAACCACATTGATAACAAGCCCTACCGGGTGATTGACCTGCCCCATTTTCTGTCCTCTCTGAACCACCAAGGTTTGTTTGTCTGAAGGCTATGACTAAGGCTGTGGCCTTTCTCTGATCTCACTTTTCCTTTTGGGCCTGTCCCTATTATAGAACACCGAGGTTGCCAGGTTAATAATGCCTCCAGATTTTGTTCAGGGCCCAGGGCTTGCTTTTGGAGCTTTCTCCTGATATCTGCAGCCGATTGGGTAATAAACTTACCTTTTAGGATCAATTGACCCTTGAGTGATTTGGGCGACGGGAGTATATTTTCTTAAGGCCTCCTGTAGCTGCTCAAGGAAGGCAGAAGGATTTTCTTCCTTTCCCTGAGTTACGGTGGACAGCATTGAATAATTCATGGGCTTTTTCCTAATTCTCCTTAGTCCTTCTAGAACACAGGTCAACAGATGTTTACGACTCCAGTCCCCATGATCTGCATCAAGGTCCCAGTGGGGATCTGTACTGGGGACGGCTGGCTGACCAGTAGGGAATTTATCCCTTTCTTCGGCTGTCATTTACTTGACTAGGATACCAGGTATCTCCAAACTCTCGGGCTGCAGCTAAAGCCGTATTCTTTTCATTAAAGGCCAGGGTTTGATCTAACAGTAGCATGACATCTCTCCAAGCGAGGTTGAAGGTTTGCCCTAGACCCTGTAGGACATCTGTGTACCTATCATGATCATCTGAAAACTTCCCCAGGTCTGCCTTGATCTGCTTTAAATCAGAGAGGGAGAAGGGGACATGTACTCAGGTTGGGCCAAATTCCCCTCCCCCTACAGCTTGAAGGGAACATAACCGATAGCCTGGGGAGGTTTGTGGTCCTTTGGAGATTTCTTTGCTTATTTCCTTCTGGGCAGGGGAGATTAGAGGAGGATTATCATTAATAGGAGGGGGAGCTATAGGGAGGCTAGGATATGGGGGGTAAGCTGAGCGGTCCTCCTGTGGGATGTAAATTGCAAGCTCTGTATAGTTGTGTATTCTCGTGTATTCTCCTTCAATGAAAAGAAAGCTTGGACATAAGGTATTTCACTCCATTTGCCTTCCTTCTTACAGAAAAGGTCAAGCTGCAGGATAGTATTGTAATTTCTACTTCCCTCAGGTGGCCATTTTTCCCCATCAGAGAGAGAATATTGGGGCTAGGCCATAGTGCAGAAAAAAATGAGCCGCTTCTTTTTCAGGGTTTGTGGGTCAAATTGGTCCCAGTGGCTTAGGATGCATTTCAAGGGTGAGCCTGTTGATGCCTGTTTCCCATCTGAAAGACAAAACCGCCTGTGTTTTTGGTTTGTTTTGTTTCTCCCCCTGCCCAAGAACCTGCAGCAGTCCCCGGACCCTGCTAATTGGAATAGTTGCGCTCACCGAAGCAGCAGCAGAAACGGTAGTTTTCCTCCCAGACCACAAGGAGGACTGAGGAAGGCCGGATTTAGTGGCCCTTACTGACGCATTCTCGAAAACCTGCACCCTTGCCTGTCCTCGTAGACCACAAAGACTGAGAAAAATTGGATTTAGTGGCCTTTACTGATGCATTCTCAAAAACCTGTTAGAGTCCTAAGCATTCTCCTGTTAGTATTGGGACCTTACCTGTGTCCTATAAAGATGTTGTGCCTCAAAAATGAAGTGGAGGGCCATACCCTGAGGGAGGGAAGGGATCTCCAGGGTTGGAAGAGTGACACCTTTTGTCCTCACTTATATGAATAGGAAGGATACAATTTCTGAGGCTCCCCATATCCTAGCTTCAGGAATAGCATTTGTTAGGCCTGCTTTTCTAAGGAGGGATCCTAAAATTCCAGAGTTCCCCCTATGACGGGGCTTTGGGCAAAAATTATGTCTTTCTGATTGGTGAGCCCAGGTGCCTAAAGAAGGGAGTAGACTCCTGGAGTTTATACTAGAAATCATCCTCATAGGAGAAACTGGAAAAGCACCAGAGACAGGGAGTGATTTTGAGAAGTGGGACTAGCCTCAGAGACTCCAAGAGGTGAGAGGAAGTTTGTCTGACAGGCGTTAGGACCCAGGAGGCAAGGGTCAGGGTAGATAGAATAGATGGGCTAGTCTCGCTTGGGCGACATTGAGAGTTCTGCTCATGGCCGCAGGGTCAACCAACTTCTTGTTGGGACCCCGGAGCTGAATGGCTTTCCTCTCTGTCGACCCTCGGTTCAGCCCAGAAGTACTGGAAAGGCGGAAGCTGGTTCCAGGCCAACCACCGCTCCCAACTCTGAAGAGTCGGGGGTTGTTAGCCCTTTCCCAGAAAGCCTGACACCCATGTCTTTAGCCCGGTGGCTGCGCTAATCACTTTTAACTGGCTGACAGGTGCCCAGTATTTAGCCCCCGAACTCTAAGGAAAAATAGGACAGAATAGCAAGTGAAAAGGGTCCGATGGTACTTACCGCTTGGCGATAGGCGATAGTCTCACCACTTGGCGATAGGTGATAGTCCCATCTGGGTCGCCAAAATGTGTCTGGAATTGGTGGGTTCTTGGTCTCGCTGACTTCAGGAGTGAAGCTGCAGACCTTTGCAGTGAGTATTACAGCTCTTAAAGGTGGCACGGACCCAAAGAGTGAGCAGCAGCAAGATTTATTGCGAAGAGTGAAAAAACAAAGCTTCCACAGTATGGAAGGGGACCCGAGCGGGTTGCTGCTGCTGGCTCTGTTGGCCTGCTTTTATTCCCTTATCTGGCCCCACCAACATCCTGCTGATTGGTCCATTTTACAGAGAGCTGATTGGTCCATTTTACAGAGCACTGATTCGTCCGTTTTGACAGAGCGCTGATTTGTGTGTTTACAAACCTTTAGCTAGACACAGAGTGCTGATTGGTGCGTTTAGAATCCTTTAGCTAGACACAAGTTCTCCAAGTCTGCTACCCGGCTAGCTAGACACAGAGCGCTGATTGGTGTATTTATAAACCATTAGCTAGACACAGAGCACTGATTGGTGCGTTTACAAACCTTTAAGTAGACACAGAGTGCTGATTGGTGCATTTACAAACCTTTAGCTAGACAGAAAAGTTCTCCAGGTCCCCACCCGACTCAGAAGCCCAGCCAGCTTCACCTCTCAATGGCACTGGCTGCGGGACTTTGTGGCACCTAGCCTGGGCACTCCAGCAGCCCAGAGGGAGCTTGTCCCCTGATTAAGCCCAGCAGGCACCAGCCAGTGGCACCGAGTGCTGGGCCTGCTGAGCCCGTACACACCCGGAACCTGTGCTGGCCCGCGTGCGCTGCGCGCAGCCCGGCTCCTGCCCGTGCCTCTCCCTCCACACTTCCCCGCGAGCAGAGAGCCAGTCCGGCCTCGGCCAGCCACAGAGAGGGGTCCCCACAGCACAGCGGCGGGCTGAAGTGCTCCTTGAGTGCGGTCAGAGCGGACACCGAGGCCGAGGAGGCGCTGAGAGCGAGCGAGGGCTGCTAGCACATTGTCACCTCTCAATAAGCCACTCAGTCTATGGTAATTTGTTTTTGCAGCTCGAAGTAAAACAAGTTGTTTCAGTATTAATTCTTTTTTAATTGTCATAGGAAACCCAAATCTAAACAGAAAGTTACAGCTTAGGCTGGGTGCGGTGGCTTATGCCTGTAATCCTAGCATTTTGGGAGGCCAAGGTGGGCAGATCACCTGAGGTCAGGAGTTTGAGACCAGCCTGGCCAACAGAGTGAAACCCCATCTCTACTAAAAATACAAAAATTAGCCAGGCATGGTGGCAGATGCCTATAATCCCAGCTACTCAGGAGGCTGAGGCAGGAGAATCACTTGAACCCTGGAGGCAGAGGTTGCAGTGAGCCGAGATCACGCCATTGTACTCCAGCCTGAGCGTCAAGAGCAAAACTCCATCTCAAGAAGAAAGAAAAAGTTGCAGTTTAATTCTTTTCTGGATGCTCAGATAGCAGGACAATTAGTACTGTTGGGGTTTGTTGAATGGTCTTTATGGAAAGGGGTGAAGCTTCATGGTGAGGGACTGAAGTATGCTACATATCTCAATTTAAATGCTGAAGGAACATTTTTCTATAGAAACATTGTTCAATTGCATTTATAGAAGGCATTTGAGGGCCTACTGTGTACCAAGTGGAAATATAAAGATAAATGAGAATCACGCTTTTGCTCTTAAAACACAGAATAGTACACAATATAGATAGAAACAGATAATGGCAGGAAATTGTGGTAAGAAATATGTCAAACTAAGTACTGAAGAATTAGAGACGAATAGATCTGTTAGCCTGTGGGTGAGTTAGGGAAGGTTTCATGTTGAGGTGAGCTGTGTTTGTAGTCTGAAGCATTTTACCAGGCTGAGGGGAACAGCATGTGCAAAAGCATGAAGGTGTGAGTAAGGTTTGTGTGGGGGTGGAGCAAGTTCAGTATGACCCGAGGATAGTTTGCAAAAGAGGCCTTTGATTGTATAGTGTAGCACTCAGTAAATAGTGTTGGCGCCTGAAATCAATGACTGTACATCCCAAACTAATCTCAAAGCTATTTCCTTTTGGTGTGGGTTTGGTTTTGTTGTTAATTTTGAAATATACTTTTGAACACTGAAATCTCTGAAACTGCTAAGATCTCTAGAAGTGTAATTGGGAAAGAAACTTGCTTGTAGCTTTAACAAAATAAGAAACTCTTCCCAAATAAAACTTATTTTGAAGTTTGAAAATATATACTTTTGGTGAGATAGATGAATAAATGAATGAATACTGTGTATACACCAGATATTCTTATATAAGACCTAGAGGAATGGAACTCTTTGCGAAAGTATATTCCGTATTTCAGCTTCAAAATCAATCTTTGAAACACGGTCCTTGCTTACATGGGAAAGGCATATTGTGAGTCAAATACTAGTTTATCTGAGGGATTTTGTCTCCTGGTTAGACAATGAACAGTGTATTTTCAGTCCTGGAATTCAGTACCAAAATGTAATGACTCCCAGAAATGAAAAGCAAATGATCGAATTCAACACTTCTGTTCATTTCGATGGTATTAGTGCTTGCCCTTTTTTGCAGTCTGGCTTAGAAGCTCATTACTTTACCTGAGCTAGTGGTCTCAGAGTGGGGAAGTACACACTGCAGAGTACACAAGACAGTTTATTTTGGAATATGGCAGGAAAGTATTAGCATTTTTTATTTATATTGCTGCTTATGCCATTGTTTAATTTGTTTTTGTGTATAAGGTACAAAGGTACATTTTCATGCATATACCGTATACAAAACACATGTGGCCCCACACATATACACATGTGCACTCACGTGTACACACAGATACACACAAAAAAATGAGGTTCCATGCTGCCTCCTTTCCCCTGCCCATTTTTCTGGGCACATAGGATCAGGAAAGTTTGATATCACTGATTTAAACCATCAATGCAAAAACACTTTCAAAGGAATCTTAAAATATTTAACAATTCTAAGTTTTATAAAGAATACACCTTAGGCAATACCAGTTTAAAAGAAACACTTTATTTTATTTATTTATTTATTTATTTATTTATTTTTGAGACAGTCTTGCTCTGTCACCTAGGCTGGGGTGCAGTGGCGTGATCTCAGCTCACTGCAACCTCCGCATCCTGGGTTCAAGTGATCTCCTGCCTCAGCCTCCCAAATAGCTGGGATTACAGGTGTGTGCCACCAAACCCCGCTAAATTTTTTTGTATTTTTAGTAGAGACGGGTTTCATCATGTTGTTCAGGCTGGTCTCGAACTCCTGATCTCATGATTCACCTGCCTCAGCCTCCCAAAGTGTTGGGATTACAGGCGTGAGCCACCACACCCGGCCTAAAAGAGACACTTTAATGAAATAAACATAGTAGGTTGTAAGGTTGTAATTTGTGTCTAATAATGAATGCATACTTATGGGCACTTTAGATTTTTTTATACCAAAGTAGCTTTCAAAGGACAATTTATATCATGTTTTCTTAGTGAAGTGGTAATGAATTCCATAAATATCCTTGTACCATGCCTCCTATCTGACATTTCCCTCCTAAATTGGTTAAAAATCAGTATTATAGACTGTGCGCGGTGGCTCACGCCTGTAATCCCAGCACTTTGGGAGGCCATTTCAGGCAGATCATCTGAGGTCTTGAGTTTGAGACCAGCCTGGCCAACATGGTGAAACCCCGTCTCTACTAAAAATACAAAAAAAAAAAAAAAAAAAAATTAGCCGGGCGTGGTGGTGCGTACCTGTAATCCCAGCTACTTGGGAAACTGAGGCAGAAGAATGGCATGAACCCGGGAGGTGGAGGTTGTAGTGAGCCGAGATTGCACCACTGCACTCCACCCTGGGCAACAGAACGAGACTCTGTCTCAAAAAAAAAAAAAAAAGAAAAGAAAAAAAATCAGTATTACAAACGTGCTTGTAAAGTAGATGTGTTGCCCACATCTTCCCTGGTGCTGTTATTTGGCACAACACTGACATCTAGAGTCCGTTGTGGCTTATTTGTTCTGAAGTTACCTCTGTTTAACCTTCAGCTTTGGATTTTCTGTATTTTGGCTTTTATGGTCTTACTCTAGCCACTATATTATTCTCATTTTGCTGATAGCATGATGTAAGTTACTTTGCATACCCTGGCAGGCAAATGTGCGTTACCCCACTGCCCCATTACAACATCAGAGGAAATAACTTTACTAAGGTGCTTTTCAAAATGAATGTCTCTAACTCAAATTTTGTCACGTTGTCCCTCCCAACTTATTTTAATTGTGCCATGATTTCCACAAACCATAAAGGTGATTCTTCCACTCAAGACTGAGGCACATGGTTTGGCTTCAGATCTTCAGGATGGCAGTCATCACACATCTCATGTTGAATGAAACAGACTCAGGATACAAGTTTAAAATAGAATTTTTTTTCTTGGCAAATTTGGAAGGTATTTTTCAGTTGCATTTTGTTGGGTTTTAGTATTTTGGTAATGACTATTAGTTATAGTTTCCTTACATTCTGACATCCTTCTTTGTAGCCAGTTGTCTTTTCAGTTTACCTTTATTTTTTTTTAAGACCTGATGATATATGTTCATTAACACTGCCATAGCTCCTGGAGTTGGATTTTCAGTGACTTCATTGAAAATTAAAACGTTTCTATGGCCTTTCATAGTTGGAAAGTACTCTTCTGTTTTCATAAGTGTTGTTATCTTTCTCCTGCAATAATAAATAAATAGAAAGCCATGTTTAAGGTTATGTAACCAATGAAGCCAACTGCCAAGGAACATGCAAACCACTGGGCCATCTTGGATTCTGGGTCCTAAGTGTCCATATGGTAATCTTAAAGGCCAGATTACCGTTTTCCCCATCCGTATTTAGAGTAGGATGTGGGAACTGAAAAATACTTTTTTTTTTTGTTTGGATGCTACTGTCAAAATCGTGGCTGGGAGCTTTACAATTCTCACTTCTAAGACTGCTTTCAGGCCACATACCTCGGCCTTGTTGTTGAAAACATGTCCCAGCCTCAGAAAGAAAAATGATTTGTAATTACTCAGCATGGCATCTTAGTAATTAGACCACCTATCTTTATGTATTCATATATACACTGTAGGATGAAACGACTACTTAGACAATATTCTTTCCTTGGCAAAAATCCTTTGTGAAAGTTAGATTTTTAGCGCTTGCTTTGGCAGCACATACACTAAAATTGGAACAATATAGAGAAGATTAGCATGGCCCCTGGGCAAGGATGACACACAAGTTCGTGAAGCGTTCCATATTTTTTTAAAAAGAAAACAATTAAAGTAAAAGTTGGACTTAAAAAAATCGCCTTATTTCAGTCTCCTGATGCATTTGCCCTCTTGGCTGCTGTTTAAGAGGAAAATATCTTTACTAGTTTATCAGTTCAGCTTATTTTGTGCTCGCTTTGGCAGCACTTACACTAAAATTGGAATGATACAGAGAAGATTAGCATGGCCCCTACACAAAGATGACATGCAAATTTGTGAAGCATTCCATAAATTTTAAAAAATAAATAAAAATAAATTAACCTTATTTTGTATACATTTTAGCTTATTTGAGCTATCTCATCATGCATCATGGAAACAAAGTATCTGTTCTATTGGCATTAAGATAATATTTTGTTTGAAGAACCTGTTTATATAAGACTTTAAAGGAATACTTTCAGGATGTATTATAGATATACATGTATTCTTTTCAGTTCAACTCCAGACACTGGAGAAATACTTGTTTTTTAATATCATTAGCTGCATCTTTTCTAATGTGAATTTATTTTTGCCTTATAAGTAACAAGTAATTTTTTTTCATAATTTGACCCACAAACATTTGCAGTATCTACTGAACGCCTACCACTGCATGCAGGATACTGTACAGAGTAGCTTTTAATCTATCCTTTTAAAGCATCATTGTCTGTATTGAAAACATTGCTCGTGTCTAATGTGTTTCTGAAAGTTTCCATGTCACTAAGATGCCAGCCTGGGGCTATTTAATATTGTATCAGATGTCTTTTGTTATGTATTTATTAAAACAGGTTCTATATAAAAATACATTCTTGTGAAAGTTCTCTTTCAGACTCTTCTGAAGGAAAACATGGTTCTTGACAGCTCCTTGGCAGCTTAGTTTTTTCAAACGTGCTTTATATCTGTATTTACATTTTTTTTTGACATTTTACACTTACAGATTGCTGATTTGTTTCCACATGTCTCTTATGGTATAGTTCTTGAGCAATTTCCTGAAAAATACGCCGAGCACTCTTCTTCTATAAAGACAAATGAGAAAAAAAAATTCTCTTTTGGGAATATAAGCGATGATAACGACGCATCATCAGAACTTTTCTTGCTCTATTGCCACCGGTCCCAAAAACTACCCCCTCCCCCAACACATATGTGCCTACAGTTAACTCTTTTGTATTTGAGAACTTTAAATATAATTTATGGTTGAGAACTGTCCAATTTAAGTCACAGTTTACCCCTTGAGATTATTTTGTCATTGAGTTTCTCAACAATAGGAAATAGTGTCTGCAGTTGAAAGTTACCTTGATATTCTGTTTAAACTTAACATTTAAATATTTAAAAGCTAAAAAATATTTCAGTTTTGAAATCGTTACAACCAGCCACAATTTAAAAAATATTTTTCAAGTGTTGGTCTGTACCTTTTGTGAGTCTTCTTTTATTTCTTTGTTTCTTAGAGGGTTGGATTTTGACTGCCAAGAAGAGAAGGAAAGTCTATGAAACATTTTATGTACTCATAACAATGGTGGCAGATATCTCATGCCCTAATAAGATTAAACTAACTTAATATTTAAGTGATATACAATGAGACTTAATTTTTACATCATTTTTGAGATGCTTTTACTCCATTAAAAACTAATTGAACAAACTGACGTTGATTGTAGGATTTATAGTAATCCTAACACAATGGTATACATCTCCCTTCTTATACACATAGCCAAAAGGTATTCTTTTTTAATAACTTTAGCCCTTTTTGAAGATTTTAAGGCGGCTTTTAGTTTCTTCATCAACCCATTTTTGTTCTTAAAGACTGTTCTTAAGGCTTTCGTAGATAACAGTAATATCTCGCCCTCCACCTGCCCACACCTCACCCCTACAGCAGAAAGATAGCATAGTGGATGGCTCTCTTCTTAATCCCATGCTACTGGGCTTTAAAGAGAAAACAGCAAACTATGTCCCCTGGCTAATAATTTCAGTGATGAGAATGTATGATGCCTTCTTCCAAAGACCTCTTCTGCAGGTGGTGTTCCCTGCAGATGCACAGGAAAATGTTAATTAGGGAGCTCTTGCTGAGGCCCATAACTTGTGGAGAGATAGAAATTATTTTTCTTTTGATAATATTCAAGGATATAGGGACATTCCATGCAAGAGGATTTGACTTACTTTGGAGAGGAGTATGAAGGCCACGCACACACCGGTCACATAGACAGAGAGCAGTGATACAAGAGCTGTCAGGAAGCTCCGCAGTTCCTTGCTGAGCAGCTTAATTTCTTAATGACAAAAACAGAAAGAAGCACATTGACTATTAAAGCCTATTCTTTCAAATACATGTGTAAAGTATCCTTCACACTGCGTTTTAGAGGTGAAACGTGAACTTACTCTGCTTGCCTATTCGTATAAAAACTAGACCTCAAAAGGTACTCAAGTATGTAATAGTTAAAGCCAGTTCATCAGTTCTTTAAATGTGTTAAACCAAAAATGTTACTCGTTTTTAAACATTAAAAAAATTCAACCAACCATTTGTCATATTGCTAAGCATCACTTTTTAGATAAAGGATTATTTGAAGTTAGATAAACATTTCCAGACAGTTTGTTCAAGGGCATCTAAAATCTCTTTTGGTAGAAACGGTTTACCAGTATCATCAAGAGTCTGCCTATGTGGTTAAGATATTTTCATATGTATTTGTTAAGGGTGATATTTATAGCCTTGGAACTAGTACACATAGCTGAAGAGTCCCATCTGTGAAAGAACCTGGGAAGGCCATACATTGAGGAGCGCAGTGCTCACTGCGTGCTTGAAAGACAGGCACTTTTGCCAAATGTGCTCTTCTTTCTTTATGATAAAATTCTGGAAATAGAGTTATTGAATCCATTTTCACATTCGGAATTTCTCTCTCCTTGCAGAAATTGTCTTGTGCTCTGGGTAGGGATTAAGTAACATGCCATGTCTTCAATTACCTGACTATTTGGAGTACAAAATACAATTAGATTTGTACTTACTGTCTGAATAGCCTGTACTTTCCAACTAAATATCCCATAGATGAGACTGAGTGTGATGGCTCATGCCTGTAATCCCAGCACTTTGAGAGGCCGAGGTGGGCAGATCACTTGAGATCAGGAGTTTGACACCAGCCTGGCCAACATGGCGAAACCCCATCTCTACTAAAAATACCAAAATTAGCTGGGCGTGGTCGCACATGCCTGTAATCCCAGCTACTCAGGAGGTTGAGGCAGGAGAATCGCTTGAACCCGGAAGGTGGAGGTTGGTTGCAGTGAGCTGAGATCACGCCACGGCACTCCAGCCCGGGCGACAGAGCAAGACTCTTGTCTTAAAAAAAAAGAAAGAAAAATCCCATAGATGCTTATCCTGTGAATGCAGTTTATGCAGCATACATTTTTATTTGTGAAACTAACAAATTAACCACATCTATACAACTAAAATAAAAAAGCTTCAGTGTGAAAATAGGAGTTCTGTAGAAGAGACAGGAAGTTGCCATGTCTGCCTTAACACTTTCAATTCTGCCTTTCACTTTCACTTCACTTTATATAAGCCTTGCAGCTTTGAGACCTTCATCTTTTTACAAGCCATTTTTCCCTTTGACTAACATGTTTTTAGAAGGCTAATGCAGTGAGACATACAAATCTCTAAAGCTGTGTGTGTTTTCATATCAGTAGCTAACATTTGTTATTTGCTATATGCCAGGCACTATTAAAAATGCTTTAAGTGCCTTAACTTATTTATAATTTAGCTGACAGATGAGAATAAACTAAGGTTAAATGACATTTGAATATCAAAAGCCCATTAGAACCCTCGTAGTTTAAAAGCACAGGTTATAATACTGGATGGTCTCCCTTCCTCAGAGTCCTATTTTGAAATCGAAGGGCTGGTTGATTTTGAGTTCATGTTTTAACAATCTCTGCTCATCATACCAGGGTCCTTCCTAAGGGAAGAGACCCCAACAAGGCGAGGAGTTGCTGCTGTTCTCTTTTTTCCTTCAGAATCATGTAAAGCTTTTTCTCTGAAATTCCCCCTTTTTTTTTCTCGGGAATGTCTTAATCTCAGTTTACTCAAGGGAATGACTTGGTGAAATTACTGATAGGATTTAGCTATGTTTGATGTCCTCGCTCGGCTGAGGAATTGTCATGGGTTTTATCAAATCTCAGGAAGTGAGAGTCATCACTTTCCGTTCACTGATGTCCAGGCAGAATGGGAAGGGTCAGGGATCCCTGAGTAGCTTCTCTCCAAATCTGTGCTTATTCTCCATGTTGCATAGTTTCTGTGGGTCCAATTTATTGATCTTTTACACTTCTCTAGTGCTTTGTTCTAGGTGGTGCATTACCAGACTAGTTCCTGAGAAAGCTGATAGTTACTCACCACAAGGTTCCCTTTGGACATGGTACTTTACACTAAATCACTGTAATATACAAAAGAGGTGAACATGGTTGGTTAAACATCACCATGTAGGGAGAATAGAGCACCCAGCAAATCACTGACTTTGTGTTAGTGGATGTTCGAGATGGATTGGAGTAGTTCTTTTGTTTTTCTGAGATGGAGTCTTGCTTTGTTGCCCAGACTGGAGTGCAGTAGTGCGATCTCGGTTCACTGCAACCTTCGCCTCCTGGGTTACAAGCGATTCTCCTGCCTCAACCTCCCAAGCAGCTGGGACTACAGGTGCATGCCACCATGCGCGGCTAATTTTTGTATTTTGAGTAGAGATGGGGTTTCACCATGTTGGCCAGGCTAGTCTTGAACTCCTGACCTCAAGTGATTCGTCCACCTCAGCCTCAAAGTGCTGGGATTACAGGTGTGAGCCACCACGCCCAGCCAGTTGGAGTAGTTCTTTAGTCCAAACCTCATGGTGACTTGTGTTCAGATCACACCCATCACTGGCTAGGGTATTAACTTAGCAAATTTATCTCCTGATTTCTACATGTGAGTGAGGTAATGATTTTACAGGCCTGAACAAGATGCAATGATGCACTGAAATAAAGCCTCGCTGACTGACCTCTTACCACCAGTGTGGTCCCTCCTCCTGTCTGTTTAGCTCTCGCTTCCGGCACACTGGGGAATGCTATTCCACAGATGTAAATTGCACTGTCATTTGAAGTCACTCTGTTTACAGTGAGGGAAACTTGGTTTTCTTTGAGGGCCTCCCTCACTGTGAACTTGTCTGCCTCACTTTTGCACCCGTCCAAGCACAGGTTCTCAGGCTGGTGAGCACCGTAGCGAAACCACAGGCATGTTGGTTGCTCAGAAGGGCATCCGGTTGCGGAGAAGGTACACTTTATGGTGACGGCCTCATGAGTGTAGTCCACTTCTAGGTACCACGGTTGTGTGACAGAGAGAGTACAGGCGCCCACAGCACCTGTGGGAGGAAGCAGATGAGTGGGTTAATGGGCCTGCCACCTCACTTTGTGCTTTTATTATATTTTTGAGGTAGGAAACCCAGCCATTCTGTTATTTTTCTTACCTTAATCCCAATATAAATAAGACTAAAAATAAACACCAGTGGTCCTCACTTGCCCCAACTCCTCCTGTTTTCTGACCTTGACCTGCTGGGTCACATGATGTCTGTTCACTGGAGGCCAGCCCTAGAGAGGCTTCAGGGGAACAGAGTCCCTGTGCAGGAGGCCTGCATAGAGGTGGCACCGTATTGGACTCAGAAGTTTGGGGTCCATCTGTGACTCTTGCTCCTTACAAGCTTTCCTTCGATCCAATCACTTAATCTCCTGCCTGCTTTCTTGTCCGCACCCTGGCCTCCCCAGAGTGCTGTGTTCAGTGTGGTAACCTGTGTCCCCAGACGAACGTTGCTGCCGCTGATGGAGCCTATGAGCAGCAGCGATGTTTGTGCTTTGTGGGAGTTGAGATCGCCAGGAATTCATGGCCATTCACAATTGTTTCTTTGTGAGCCTGGTGTCCCTTTGGGAAACATGATAAAAGGCAACATGTACACCTGTGGAAATGCAGCCCTGGCTTAGCCTACCATGTCTTTGATTACTGAGCAGGGACCATATGAGCTCGCCAGGCCATAGCTAAGCAGATTTGGTTTCTCCCTGGCGTGTGTGCTGCTTTGTAGGCCCTTGTAGCATTTATCTTATTTAATTAACAATATTGTGATAAAGAGCACAGACTTGAGTTCAAATCCTAGCTCTGCCTGTTCCCAGCATTATAATCTCAGTATCTCAGTTTCCTCATTAGAAAATGGGGATAGTATTGTTGACCTCATGCAGTTAGTGTGACGTTCAAGATGATGCCTAGGAAGTGTTTACCTGCCTAAGCTATAGTAAGTATTAAATACAAGGGAGCGATTGCTGCTGCAGCCGCCACTGCTACTGTTCCCACAGTGTCAGATGGCTGTTGGAGAGATGGTTGTGGACGTCTAGCCACAAGGTGTTCACAGAGCTGGGATTAGTCACCCACTCCAGTGTACTGTCCACCATGTGGTGCTCTTCCAAGTTATGAGGATTGAGTCCCCCACCTTGGCCTTTATATCCCAGGCATGTGAAGCTGGAAAGCCACTCGAGTGCACAAATGGAAAGACCCGCCCTAAACCCTTCTTTTGCGGCAGGGGAGGCCATAGGTAAAATAGTATTGGTTGAGACAAATTGGAATTTGTCAAGTTTTTGGTCTGAGTTCCGCCTGGTCATATATTCCCAAATGGTCCTATTTGTGTGAGTTTGTCCTTTGCTACTGTAAATGAAACTGAAAAGTCATCCAAGTGGTCTGATGCTTAATTTTCAGACAGGGGCTTTTTTCTCTTAGCGTTTCTCTTATGGATCCCCATTCATAACAGCAGAGGAATTAAAGTTAGAATCATGGCGTTTGTGATGCGAGTCTCTTCTCACCATGTTTTTTTGTTTTTGTTTTCATTTTTGTTATTGTTTTTGGACAGAGTCTCTGTCTCCCAGGCTGGAGTGCAATGGTGCAATCACGGCACACTGCAACTGTGACCTCCCAGGTTCAAGCCATCATCCTGCCTTAGCTTCTCAAAAGTAGCTGGGACTGTAGGCCTGCAGCACTGTGCCCAGCTAATTTTTGTATTTTTTGTAGAGACAGGGTTTCACCTTGTTACCTAGGCTGATCTTGCACCCCTAAACTCAAGCGACCCGCTTGCCTCGGCCTTCCAAAGTGCTGGGATTACAGGTGTGAGCCACTGCGCCTTGCTCTCTTCTCATCATGTTATATTTTAGTATTTGTGCAACATGAGATGAGCTGGGAGCTCTGTGGTGACCTGATAAATGCAAACCAGACAAGAGGGTGCAGTCACCTGGAGGAGGCCTGCAAGCTTCTCTGAGCTTCGTGTCTGTGGGAGGCCCAGCTCAGCTCCATCTCCAGCCAAGGGGATTGGATTCCCTCTCAAGTCTGAGAAATACAACCTCATGTCTCCTGCCCAGACTCAAGCACCTTACAAGTACAGTGAAACATTTTATAGTATATACTGAGTGGAAATTTAAAATGGAATTGGGTCTGCCAAAACTTAGCAAAGTTAAGCACTGTCTCAGTCTCAAGTCATCTTTCAGATAATGTTTTTATTTTTATTTGTAAAATTATTTTTAAAAAGTGGACGATTCCATTATTTACACATTTTTATTTTTGAGATAGGGTCCCACTGTGTCGCCCAAACTGGAATGCAGTGGTGTGATCTTGGCTAACTTACTGTAGCCTTTGTCTTCTGGGCTCAAGCAATCCTCTCACTGCAGCCTCTGGAGTAGCTGAGACTATAGGTGTGCACCACCACGCCTGGCTAATTTTTTTATTTTTAGTAGAGACAGGGTTTTGCGATGTTGGCCAGCCTGGTCTTAAACTCCTGGGCTCAAGCAATCCACTCGCCTCAGCCTTCCAAATTGGGTAGTGTTTTTAAAAGGGAAGCCAAAGAGCCAGGCGTGGTGGTGTGGCCATTAGTCACAGCTACTCAGGAGGCTGAGACCGGAGGCTGATTGAGCCCAGGAATTCCAGGCTGCAGTGAGCTGTGATGGCACCACTGCACTCCAGCCTGGGCAGCATTGTGAGTCCCTGTCTCTATTAAAGGAATAGAGTCTGGACGTGCACTCCAGCCTGGGCAGCATTGTGAGATCCTGTCTCTATAAAAGGAATAGAGGCTGGGCATGGTGGCTCACGCCTGTAATCCCAGCACTTTGGGATGCCGAGGCGGGCAGATCACCTGAGGTCAGGCGTTCGAGACTAGCCTGGCCAACATGGTAAAACCCCATCTTTACTAAAAATACAAAAAATTAGCCAGGTGTGGTGGTGGACGCCTGTAATCCCAGCTACTTGGGAGGCTGAAGCAGGAGAATCGCTTGAACGTAGGAGGTGGAGGTTGCAGTGAGCTGAGATTGTGCCACTGCACTCTAGCCTGGGTGACAGAGTGAGACTCTTGTCTCAAAAAAAAAAAAAAAAAAAATAGAGGTTGGGGTGGCGGGGATAGCTGACTTTCAACACTTTTCTTTAAAAACTAGTAGTATAGGATAAAAACAGGTATTTGTAACTTTGGAATTTCATATCTCTACTTATTTCCACCTTCTTCCCAATTAGGCTATGTGTGGGAGAAAACCAATTGTAATGATTTCCTCTGTGAGCAGGAACTTGTGATGAAACTGTGGTTCCCTCCCCCAACCAGTTAGGCAACCTATTAACAAAAAAGAGAAGTTTGGATATGTCACACCACAGCCTGCTTCTGTGAATGATTTCTTTTAAGAATCCTCATATTCTAGGAATTGTTTTTTAAACACAGTATCCAATGAAAAGGTTGAAGATTTATTTCCTCCATGGAGGGAATAGAAAGATTATTCTTATTATTTTAAAAAACCATATTGAGGCTGGGCATGGTGGCTCATGCCTGTAATCCCAGCATTATGGGAGGCCGAGGCGGGCGGATCACGAGGTCAGGAGATCGAGACCATCCTGGCTAACACGGTGAAACGCTGTCTCTACTAAAAATACAAAAAATTAGCCGGGTGTGGTGGCAGATGCCTGTAGTCCCAGCTACTCGGGAGGCTGAGGCAGGAGAATGGCGTGAACCCGGGAGGCGGAGCTTGCAGTGAGCCGAGATCTTGCCACTGCACTCCAGCCTGGGTGACAGAGCGAGACTCCGTCTCAAACAAACAAAAAAGCCATATTGAAAGTAGGAAGAGAACTAATTCTTGACATTTAAACAAAGCTGTCTCTCTATCTAGTAAGTAAGAAGTAAGTAAATGTCTTGCTCTGTTGCCCAGGCTGGAGTGCAGTGGCACAATCACAGCTCCCTATAGCCTGAAAGTCCTGGGCTCAAGTGATCCTCCTGCCTCAGCCTCCCAGGTGGGTGGGACTGCAGGTGCAGTGCAGGTGCCATCACGCCCAGCTATTTTTTTTTCTTGTGTAGAAATGGGGGTCTCATTATGTTGTTCATGCTGGTCTTGAACTCCTGAGCTCAAGTGATCCTCTCACCTTGGCCCCCAAAGTGCTGGGATTACAGGCATGAACCACCACGCCCAGCCCAAAGCTTTATTATATTAGATTTCAAATTTCTAACATATCAAAGTAGCGAAGTAGTACAGTCAACCCCCTGCCATCACATGGCTTCGACCCAATCTTGTTTCTTTTCTCCTCCCACCTACTCCCTCACTCCCATATTATTTTAGAGCAAATCCCAGCCATTTTATCTGCATCTTTCAGAATATATCTCTAAAAGACAGGAATTCTTCTTTAAAATAATGCTAATTAAAATAGTCTATGAAAGTAATATATACTTATTAGCAAAAAACAGGTTATTAAAAGTAGAAGCAAAAAGTCACCCATAGTCCTTTTGCCTGAAATAACTCCCATTAACATTTTGATATATTTCTTCACAGATGAGAAAAAATTAAGAACTTTCCCCCCTTCCCTGCCCTATAATCCAAATTGTGTGGGCAAATCTGAGATTACTAGATGTATTGGAAATCCTTTCTCTTTCATAGATAAAAAAACAGAAGTAGACAGAATTTTAAAAATAGATATACTATGGGATGGCTATTGGAGTCATGGCAGTTTTTTTTTTCTTAAATGAAAAGTACTTTTATAGAAATTGTTCTTTGAAAATATTCAGCAAATAATCATTTATTGCTTTCTATGTGCAGATCAAGTTTGTATGATAATTAAATTATTGATAACTTATACCTACGATTTTAAGAATATTTTCAACCCTTTGGTCAGATTGTCTCCAATTAGCATAATAGCAAAGAGACTTTTCAAGGTTAATATGAAACTTTTTCTCAGCTATTTTTTTATTGTCTATTTCTCAGGGGAAAAAGGAAACTTATCCTCTTAGGCAGTTTTCATAATGTTATACATTTAAAAATTAATCTGAAGGAGCTTAAAATATAAATGCATTAGGTGAAAAATAGCAGTTGATTTAAATAAAATGAAGGAGGAGAAGAAAAAGAACCTTACCGACACAAAATAGAATGAGATTGGTTTGCAGATGGCGAGCGATGTTGCTTCTGCTCGCAGTCCCCATTTCTGTGTATGCCGGGGCGGGTTGGGGTGTGTATTTGAAAGGAAAGTTGGCTTTCTTTTTTCAGAAGGGAAGAAGAGCTGAAGAGAGGAACCTCTTATGAAGGAACCATAATCAGGAACTTTTTGAAATTGTGCAAGGATGGCTTCACCATTTAACATTGAGATTTTGGCCTGGAGCACATTTAGAAATGTGCATATCTTTTTTTTTTCCATGGATTTTACAGTTGTCATAGGTGTTAGATGTTTCTGGGTGAGATTTTGATTTACACCTAGCACATATTTCCAGGAAGGAGTATTGTTTGACAAATAATTCGTACTTGGATTTTTCAGAACAGTTCAGTCACTGTCTAGGGTACCTGCTCTGGGTGCCACTCTGGGCCAGTAACTGCTGGGAACAAAGAACAGCAGAAGGAGAAGTGGCTTTGTGTAGAGATGAGAAAAGTTAGTAAACAACACATTCTAATGCAGCGAATAAATAAATTGTCTGTTATTAACTTTTTGTACTCCAGTTTTGAATCCAAAGACACCTGCCTTCCCCCCTTTTTTGACAGGGTCTCTATCACCCAGGCTGGAATGCAGTGGCAAGATTGCAGGTCATTGCAGCCTCAGCTTCCTGAGTAGCTGGGACTACAGGCATGCACCACCACCCCTGGCTAATTTTTTTTTTTTTTTGTAGATTCTGTGTTGTCTAGGCTAGTCCTGCCCTCAAGCGATCCCCCTGCCTTGGCCTCCCAAAGTGTTAGGATTACAGGTGTGAGCCACCATGCCTGGCCCAAAGACCCCCTTTTAATGTGTTGAGAAACAAATATGTGGGCCCTCTGTCCTCTGTGTCCTCTCCCCCAGCACTTAGTGGTGATTCAGTAAGGGTCTTCTTTGTAAAGCAGCAGAAACAGACTCAGGCTGACTTAAAAGGAAATTTATGCAAACATTTGAAGGTAGATCCTAGAGTCACTGGGAGGGCTAGTGAATCTTGTGTGGGGTCCACAGCCAGGAAGAATGCCTCAAATCACACCATAAACAGGTCTGAAGAGGATGCTACTGCCACTGCCAAACACTAGGTGCCATCAGCCCTGTTGTCAGCATCGCTCAACCACTGCCCCAGCCCCTTGGTCTCACTGCCATTGCTCCACCCCCAGAGAAGGAGAAGCTCACATCCCCACTACTCTGGGTCACTGGCTCTCCATTCCAGGGCATGGGCAAGTGTGCCTGGCTTAGGCTGCGTGCCAGTGCCTCAGCTGCACGGCAGGCCAGGAAAGCGGCTCCCAGGCCTTGTGTCTCTCCCAGACTCTGGGCAGGCAATTCCCCAGACATGGGAAGAGCGTCATCTGCACCACTGAAAATTATGAAAAATCTCCCCACCATGATATGATGTCTGTGCCCTTGGCATCTGCTCATGATATATTTTCTCATTAACAGAAAGTTATTCTCAGTCTGTTTTGTTTTTTTTTTTTTTTTTTTTTTTGAGACAGAGTCTCGCTCTGTCGCCCAGGCTGGAGTGCAGTGGCACGATCTTGGCTCGCTGCAAGCTCCGCCTCCCGGGTTCACACCATTCTCCTGCCTCAGCCTCCCAAGTAGCTGGGACTACAGGTGCATGTTGCCATGCCCAGCTAATTTTTTTGTATTTTTTTTAGTAGAGACGGGGTTTCACTGTGTTAGTCAGGATGGTCTTGATCTCCTGACCTCGTGATCCGCCCACCTCGGCCTCCCAAAGTGCTGGGATTACAGGCATGTGCCACCACGCCCGGCCTCAATCTGGTTTTAACACTTCAACAGATGTATGTAGTTTTTGTATCACCATAGCACCTAAAAAGTACCCCCAAAGTTAAATATACTGTCATCTCTGTGTGTGTGTCTGTAGTCAGTGCCAGGTTTGTATGTGAATTTGAGGACCTTCCCTAGTCCCCTTGTCCCCCAGGCATCTCCTGCTCATAGGTTTGGAAATGACTGATAGAGGCTTCATCTCTAGTCCAAGAAATGCTGGACGGTGTATCCATCCTACTGTTCCATCTCTCTCTGGTCCTGGAGCTTAATGTTTATGAAATTGTTCTGAAAAGGCAAAGAATGAGTCAACTTCCCTAGAAAAACTCCCCAATGATCTGCTTTTCTAAATTAAAATCCTTCATGAGCCTGTTTTTATTTTCAGCCTAATAAATCTCTCTAGGTAGTAAGTTGCATAAGTTTACTATGCCAGTGGTATTTTCTTGCATTTGTCCAAAACTGTCCTTCAGATATTACATGTTGCTCTCTGTTTCAGTATTCCAGCATTTAATGACCAGTTTTCCAAACCCATTAACCATTACACCCTGCAGTCAGTCTATTGGCAGATACTACCCAAAACTGTCAGAGAAGATAACAGTGTGGGGCCTTGGATCCAGACAAACCTGGGCTTACATTTCCATACTGACACTCATTAACCTTGCAAGCGTGGGCAAGTTCTTCACCCCTTCTGAGTCTGTTCTTTATCTGCCCACCTGTCTCAAAGAGTACCTGGGAAGTACAAAAGAGGTAACTCATGAAGCCCTCAGGCTTGGAACGTACCAAGTCCTTGGTAGATATGGCTCCTCCCTGCTTCCCTCTTTAAATCACTTGTTTGTTCAAGAATTTAACTGAATGTTCTTATTTGTATTAGTAGGTGGCAAGTGGGAGAAACCATCAGAAATTTTGGAAATCAAAGGACAGAACTGGGAAGAACAAGTGAATAGTCTGCCTGAAGTTTTCAGAAAAGCTGGTTTTGTTATCGAAGCTTTCACCAGACTACCATACCTGTGTGAAGGCGACATGTATAATGACTACTACGTTCTGGATGACGCTGTCTTTGTTCTCAAACCAGTATAAACACGTGGAGGTCGAAGTCTTCAGAGTCCGCACCCTCCGGGATGTGCCCTTGGAAGAGGGTCTGTGTTCACAATTACGTGAAGGGAGGACCCTTGGGGACCGCCATTCTAAATATCATGTAGGAATTTAAAAAGCCAAAATACTAATTATTTCTTTGTAGTGTGTAAAGGAATGTTTTTAAAAGACAAAAACCCAACTCTTTGTGGATTTTTATCAACTCTTTACTCAGAGCCACTCTCCAATGCAGGTCACACTCCAATTATGATGGAAGATATTTTTTATACTTAATTGCAGTAGGGACTCATTCCCAGACAAAGCAATAGTCACGACTTCATGGAACCAATCAATGGATTGTTTTTTGAAGACTGGCAATAAAGCTGTCCATTCAATTCCAAATACTGGTTTTAAGGTATAGCCACTGATATTCTTTCATGTTTAGAAATTCTTTCTGTTATTATTCAAGAAAATGTTTTTAATCATGCTAATAAACTTTTTTGGAGATGACTTTGGCATCATGTTTGAATTCATATAAAGCTCCCCTAGCATTTTTTATTGGTTTGGCTTCAGGAGTACCCAAATAGTAGCATTATGAGAATGACGCAGACAATTTGAATAGGGGGGAAGGAAGGCTTCAGACTTGGGGGAAGGGGAGATTATTGCAAATTGCAGTGAACACTGAGTCAGTAAAAAAAAAAAACAGAAACAAAAACCCAGCCTCATTCAGATACAGAACTTCAGGGACCCCTCCCCCCACCCCCCCAGTTAATGCTGCTGTGAAAAATGCAAAATAACCTGGTTCTGACTTTGTGATCACTCATGTCCCATACACTGAACTTTGTTTTTTTCTGGACAATCTCAGGTTCTCAGAATTGAAACATTCAGTTTTGTCTACTGACAAAATGCAACTAAAAATGTTTTAATTCAACTTCTTACTCTACACTTATATACCTCTCTCCCAGAGCTTGGCTCTTCCCTGAAATCCTTAAAGGAGTTTATTATTTGCCAAGAATATGGTTTGATGAAGACCGTGTCAGACTCATGCATTCTGGAATCCGTGAGTGCCTCCAACCATAAACCCAGAAATGCTGCCATAGAGGAACCCATTAGCAAGATCAATAACCATCGTGGATATTCCAAAGAGCAGAGCATTTAACCCAGAATCTGAAATCTCAGTAATAACAGAAATGTCAATATGAGATTGTGGTTATTAACAATATGTTATCCTCACTACTTTATTTCTTTTTTCATCCAGGTGTTTCATTAAGTATTCTCATTTATATGCTCATAGAAGTCATCAGATCAACACATTCACTCCAACACCTGGGTATAAAGGCGAATTAAAACCTGAAGAATTACTTTATTATTCATTAAGAACTGCATTCCCACATCCTCACACCAATATCTTCCACTGTTACTGTGCAGTCATAATAAGAGTTGGGTTATGTGATTTATGCAAAATTGTTATTGGTGTGTTCTAATGATTTTTTTCCAGGAATTCAAGTAAGTGAAGTACAAATACTTAGCACCATAGATTGTAAAAATAGAAAGAGGAAATGAGAAAACTTAATGTCGTTCTTGTACAGTTGAGTTTTGCTTCTTTATAAACTGTCTGTTAAAATCAGGGGTTGCTGTTAGACTGTCAAGCAGAAGTGATGGATGTTCAAGGAGGCAGGTTGCCCCAAAGTGTTTTCTAACTTTCAAGTAGAGAACTTTATGCTCTAATAAGAAAAATACAACTCATTCTTAACCACCCCCCCAAAACAGAGAAAACACATACATTTATGCATTTTAAAGATAAAAAGTAGTTTCTCAAAAAAATCTGAAGTTCTCTGAAAACCAGCTTATTAAAAGTGCTGTTTTGTGGTGAAAATTGAAACCAAATCCACTCACATTTCCTATCGGGTCTTGAAATTCTTGGTGGTGTGTCACCATTCCACTAGATGGCAGTGTTGCTTACTGAGTGTCAATGGCTTTTTTCCCCGTAAATGGAATCATGTTTTTCTCCCCCAAAGTACAATAAAGCTGCCTTGTCTGCACCATTCCTCGTGTAAGTGCTTCATATCAAGTTAAGACTGTACTAGAGAAATTAAGAAGAGCTTTATTTGTGGTAAAAGCAAGCTAACCAATTGACCTTAAAGGTTGAAATGCAAGCCACACCTCTGATTCCTAGCTCCCTGCACCTGCATTTTAAGCTCCTAAAGTGCTCAGACCACTGATCTCAGAGAAGGGGAGGAAAGGAGGTACAGTGCCCTTAGTCATTTATCCCTTGTACAGAGTAGTTAAAAGCAGTACTGTATTTTCTGCCATCCAGTGTGACCTGTCATCAGTTTTTACATGGTTGGCTTTTAACAGAAAAAAGTTGAGTTGGAAAATAAAGTGTAGATGTTTCAAGTCTTCCTGAGCAAAGCTTTGTTTTCACTTGGTTCTGAGTATAGTATTAATAGGCTATACTGCGTATGTTATTTACAGTATTAATGAAGCAAGATGTTTTCATTAATTGCTTCCCACTACTTGGTTACTGATGGAGGTGTTACATGATCCTTTTTCTCCAGCAATGTCAGTATAGTATCATGGGCTTCCAGTGACTAAAGTGACCTACCATGTTAGTGCAGATGCTTAAGCACCCCCAGTTACCTTATATCCAGTGCTTCCGCCGGCTAGAAGATAGTGCATGGAATCAGGGCAGCCTGGACTGAGTTGTACTGTCTAGGAGTGCACTGAGCACAAAACTGGGCTCATAAGTAACTTGAGACAAATCAGGACTATGTTGCCTAGGCTGGTCTTAAACTCCTGGCCTCAAGTGATCCTTCTACCTTGGCCTCCCAAAGTGTTGGGACTGCAGGTGTTAGCCACTGTCCCTGGCCTAGCACTCCCTTTATCTTGCAAAACTGAAACTATGTTCATAAACACAACTCTCCATTGTCTCCACCCCACCCTCTAGCAACTATCATTCTACTTTCTGTCCCTTTGACTACTCTAGGTAGTCATGATCCGCCCCATGATCCAGTCACCTCCCATATAATTGGAATTACACAGTATTTGCCTTTTTGTGACCGGCTTATTCTTCTTTTTTTTTTTTTCCTGAGACAGAGTCTCACTCTGTTGCCCAGGCTGGAGTGCAGTGATGCAATCTCAGCTCACTTCAACCTTTGCCTCCTGGGTTCAATCAATCCTGCCTTAGCCTCCTGAGTAGCTAGGATTACAGGCGTGCACCACCACTCCTGGCTAATTTTGTATTTTTAGTAGAGATGGGGTTTCGCCATGTTGGCCAGATTGGTCTCGAACTCCTGGCCTTGTGATCCGGCCTCCTAAAGTGCCAGGATTACAGGCGTGAGCCACCGCGCCCGGCCCATGACTGGCTTATTTCACTTAGCACAGTGCCCTCAGGGTTCACCGATGTAGAGGGTGTCAGAGTTTCCTTCCTCTCTTTTTTTTTTTTTTTTTTTTTTTTGAGACGGAGTCTCTTTCTGTCCCCCAGGCTGGAGTTCAGTGGTGTGATCTCGGCTCACTGCAGCCTCTGGCTGCTGGGTTCAAGCCATTCTCCTGCCTCAGCCTCCTGAGTAGCTGAGATTACAGGCGCCTGCCACCATGCTTGGCTAATTTTTGTATTTTTAGTAGAGACGGTTACACCATGTTGGCCAGGCTGGTCTCAAAACTCCTGACCTCAGGTGATCTACCTGCCTCGGCTTCCCAAAGTGCTGGGATTATAGGCGTGAGCCACCGCACCGGCCAGAATTTCCTTCCTTTTTAAGGCTGAATAATCTATTGTATGGATAGACCATAGTTTGCTTATCCATTAGTCTGTTGGTGAACTCTTGGATTGCTACTACCTTTTAGCTGTCTGAATAACCCTGCTGTGAACATGAGTATACAAGTATCTTGTGACCCTGCTTTTAATTCCTTTGGGTATATAACCAGAAGTGAAATTACTGGATCATGTGGTAATTCTATTTTTAATTATTTGAGGAACCACAATGCTGTTTTCTGCACCATTTAACATTTTTGCCAACAGTTCACAACCGTTCCAATGTCTCCACATCTTCACCAACATTATCTTGTTTTGTTTTGGGATGGAGTCTTGCTCTGTTGCCCAGGCTGGAGCGCAGGGCATGATCTCGGCTCACTGCAAACTCCATCTCTTGGGTTCAAGTGATTCTCCTGCCTCAGCCTCCCGAGTAGCTGGGATTACAGGCACCTACCATTACACTTGGCTAATTTTTATATTTTTGGTGGAGATGGGGTTTTGGGGTTTCGCCATGTTGGCCAGGCTGGTCTCGAACTCCTGACCTCAGGTGATCTGCCTGCCTTGGCCTCCCAAAGTGCTGGGATTACAGGTGTGAGCCACCATGTCCAGCCTGTTTTGTTTTTTTAGTAGTAGCCATCCTAATCGGTGTAAGGTGGTAGCTTGTGGTTTTGATTTGCATTTCCCTAATGACTAGTGCATCATTTGTTTTTATAATACAACTTGTATGGCATTTGGCTTCATTTACTAGTAAATTGTGCTTTGTAGCTTGCTATCTATATCAGTATCACTGAATTGGACTCAGTATTCAGTGATAACAAAATACTTCTTTTTCACTGTGAAATTGTATACTTTTGGAGAACAGGGAGAATATTATTACATAACCGAACTTAAGAATTCCCTCTGGATTTGGGTCAGTATGCTGTATTCACATGAATTAAATAATATGCTTTTGTTAGAAAGTCACTTTAAAATTACTTTCAATACATGTAAAATGAAAAGTAAGTATTTTTTCTCTCAAGTAAATGCCCATGTAAATTGGGATGTCTTATATACCTGTACTTCTTAAGTTCTGGAAAATAAGAACAGATAGAGTGCCCAAATGCTATTTTCTTATATCCTGTTTAGGATTCAACACAGAACGCTGGTTTTAAACGACTGTGAACTCTCAACACTTTTCCAAATGCTAGAGTTCAAGTGAATACATTGGCAATTCTTTTTTTTTTTTTTTTTTTTTTTGAGTTGGAGCCTTCCTCTGTCGCCCAGGCTGGAGTGCAGTGGTGCAATCTTGGCTCACTGCAACCTCCACCTCCCAGGTTCAAGTGATTCTCCTGCCTCAACCTCTCAAGTAGCTGGGATTATAGGCATGTGCCACTATGCCCTGCTAATTTTTCTATTTTTAGTAGAGATGGGGTTTTGCCATGTTGGTCAGGCTGGTCTCAGACTCTTGACCTCAGGTCATCCACCCGCCTCAGCCTCCCAAAGTGCTGGGATTATAGGTGTGAGCCACCTCGCCCAGCCTCCATCTTGTTTTTATTATTTATAGGGTGGCCATGACTGATCGTAAAGCCCTACTGGTTTTTCCATTATAAGTAACACGTTTGTATTAGTCCTTTCTCACACTGCTATAAAAACACACTTAAGACTGGGTAATTTATAAAGAAAAGAGGTTTAATTGGCTCATGGTTCTGCAGGCTGTATAGGCTTCTGCTTCTAGGGAGGCCTCAGGAAACTTACAATCATGGTGGAAAGTGAAGGGGAAGCCTGCATGTCTTACATGGTGGAAGGAGAACTAAGAGAGAACCAAGGAGAAGGTACCACACACTTTTAAACAACTGAGCACTCACTCACTATCACGAAAGCAGTATTGAGGGGGAAGTCAGCCCCATGATCCAATCACCTCCCACCAGACCCCTCCCCCAACACTGGGATTACAATTCCACACAAGATTTGGGTGGGGACACAAAGCCAAACCATATCAACGTTCATCGCAGAAAAAGTATAAAATGAAAATTAACTTTACTTACCCCATAAACTTGAGAGAACCACTACTGACAGTTTGGTTTATGCCTTCCAGACTTTTTTTTTTCTGTGCATGTATATATACACACATTTATAAATGTTTAAACATTAAAATATGTAAAAATGAAAAGGTCCTTTTATTGTTCTGAGATGAGTCATGTGAGACTCCTAGACACCTATATTCTAAATCAAAAATTGACAAAGGATGGAAGCCATTTCCTGTCATTTAAAGCTTGAGGTTAAGCTTTTTTTTTTTTTTTTTTTTTTTTGAGAAAGAGTCTCACTGTGTCACCCAGGCTGGAGTGGTGGCATGATCTTGGCTCACTGCAAGCTCTGCCTCCCGGGTTCATACCATTCTCCTGCCTCAGCCTTCTGAGTAGCTGGGACTACAGGCGCCCGTCACCACGCCTGGCTAATTTTTTGTATTTTTAGTAGAGACGGGGTTTCACTGTATTAGCCAGATGGTCTCGATCTCCTAACCTTGTGATCTGCCCGTCTCAGCCTCCCAAAGTGCTGGGATTGCAAGCATGAGCCACTGTGCCCGGCTGAGGTTAAGCTTTTTATTTAAAGGATTAAACAAAGACCCTGGGGATAAAAGGATGTTTTTGAGGATGCTGGACATTAGCATTATATAAATTACTATCAGATGGGCAGCAGAATGCTGCAATTGGTCATTTCTGAAGATAATGTTTTAATTGTGCCACTGACAAACTAATGTTAGCGTTGGGCATTTCAATGATTACTTTGAAATATTACGGGTATTAGATGTGTTTCGTTAAATGTGAAGGATTGCAAGGAAACTTCTTGAGTCCACAACTATTTTCATTAGGAAAGATGCAAAACAGTTATGCATAATCCTATCATGCAAAGCTAATATTTTAATGCATTGCCTACCAGATTTTTTTTAATTTTTTTTTTTGAGGCAGAGTCTCATTCTCTTGCCCAGGCTGGAGTGCAGTGGCATGATCTCAGCTCACTGCAGCCTCTGCCTCTCGGGTTCAAGGGATTCTCCTACCTTAGCCTCCTGAGTAGCTGGGATTACAGGACGTGCGCCACCATGCAAGCTCATTTTTGTATTTTTAGTAGAGATGGGGTTTTGCCCTGTTGGCCAGGCTGGTCTCAAACTCTTGACCTCAAGTGATCCACCCACCTCAGCCTCCCAAAGTGTTGGAATTAGAGGTCTGAGCCACCCCACCCAGCCTTGCCTTCTAGTTTTTTGTTTTGTTTTGCTTTGTTTTTGAGATGGAGTCTTGCTCTGTTGTCCAGGTGGGAGGGCAGTGGTGCCATCTCAGATCACTGCAACTGCCACCTCCCCAGCTCATGCAATTCTCCTGCCTCAGCCTCCCAAGTAACAGGGATTACAGGTGCCCACGACCATGCCTGGCTAATTTTTGTAATTTTAGTAGAGACGAGGTTTCACCATGTTGGCCAGGCTGGTCTCAAACTCTTGACCTCAAGTGATCAGCCTGCCTTGGCCTCCCAAAGTGCTGGGATTACAGGTGTGAGGCTCCACACCCAGCCCCTAGCTTCTAGGTTCAATAAAAGTTCAAATACATCTATTTCTTACCATTGGCTTTTTTGTTTTGGATATAAAATTATTTCCTTGTGCTAATTATGTGGTCTTTGTTAAGAACAATTTTAATGACTGTGTAATCCACAGCGTTTATGTATCCATTTATTTAAGCATTTCATTATTGGTGGACATTTAGGATGAATTTTTTTCTACCACTCTGTGTATGTATACATCTATTATAGGTCATACTATTATTTTTATTATGGAAAATTCCAAGTACATAAAAAAGAAAGGTAATAATGAATCCTCCCCAACCAGCCTCAGCAATTATCAACACATGGCCCACCTTGTTTCATCCCTACTCCCACTACTCCTTGGTTCCACTATTGCCAAGCAAATCCCAGATGTCTCATTTCAGTTTTGTAAATATATAACTGTAAAAGATAACCACTCTGAAAAGATAGCCACATTACAATTATTCATTAAGAAACCCGGCAGGGTGCGATGGCTCACGCCTGTAATCCCAGCACTTTGGGAGGCCGAGGCCGGCGGATCACCTGAGGTCAGGAGTTTGAGACCAGCCTAGCCAACATGGAGAAACCCGGCCTCTGCTAAAAATACAAAAAAATAAGCGGGGCGTAGTGATGGGCGCTTGTAATCCTCTTTACTTGGGAGGCTGAAGCGGGAGAATCGCTTGAACCTGGGGGCGGAGGTTCCAGTGAGCCGAGATCGCGCCATTGCACTCCAGCCTGGGCGACAGAGCGAGACTGTCTCAAAAAAAAAGAAAAAAGAAATGAAAGAAACCCAGCCATTAAATATCCAGCGACCACATTGCTCCAATTTTCTTATAATTTTTTTTTTTTTTTTTTTTTTTTTGAGACGGAGTCTTGCTCTGTCGCCCAGGCTGGAGTGCAATGGCACGATCTCGGCTCACTGCAACCTCCCCCTCCCGGGTTCAAGCGATTCTCCTGCCTCAGCCTCCCAAGTAGTTGGGATTACAGGCGCCCGCCACCGCGCCTGGCTAATCTTTGTATTTTTAGTAGAGCCGGGGTTTCGCCCTGTTGGCGAGGCTAGTCTCGAACTCCTGGCCTCAAGTGATCCGCCCGCCTTGGCTTCCCAAAAGTGCTGGGATTACAGGCGTGAGCCACCGTGCCCGTCCTATAACTTCTTTTAACGGTTTGAATTCAGATCTAAATAAAGGTCCCATGTAGCGATTGGTGGATAGCTCTCTAGTGCTCCCCATCCTCGCTTCCTAGCTGCCGCCCCGAAGAGTGGCTGGGGAGCAGGCATTTGTGCGTCTTGCAAGCTTCGACAGATAGGAAGTCCCAGGCGGGGACTGTGACCCCCGCCGCTGCCCTGGCTGAGTTCCCACCTGGGCCGCTGCAGGGAGGAGGTCGCAGAGCTGCCGGCTGGCGCCGCCCCGCCGCTCTCCTGCCTGCCCGCTCCCCGCATGAGCCCCGCGGCCCCGCCCTGCGCCACCCGCCCGCCCGTGGGACTCAGTGCGGCCAAGCCGGGCTCCGCAGGTGAGGCGCGCGCGGGGGCCTGGGCGGAGGACTCACGGGGCAAAGCGCTGGGGGAGCGGGTGGGCGCCCACCGCTGGGCCTCCCTAGGGAAGGGGTGCAGGTGATGGATGGCGTGGGGGACAGACCGAGAGAAAGAGGGTGGGCAAAGTGTGGGTGCAGCGGCTTTAAGGGCTCCTGGGATTGGAGGGCACTTGGAGGGGGGGGACGATGAAACTTCGAGAAAAGGGATCCAAAACTACTTAGTAATATAATAACAGCGATGACAACTGTTGCAATAACTATCACAATGATTATTTGTTATAATAATATAGCAGCAGTAAAAACAATAGCATTAGTAATAATAGCTACGATTCATTGCATTCTTATATGTGCCAGTGCTGGGCTTAGTTCTTTATGTATTTTATGTATAAAGTAATGCCTACCTCATAACAGTTGTGTGGAAGAAATGGAAAAATGCAGGTAAAGGCCGGGGCTCACACCTGTAATCCCAGCACTTTGGGAGGCTGAGGCAGGAGAATCACTTGAGGCCAGGAGTTCGAGACCAGCCTGGCCAAAGTGGTGAAATTCCATCTCTACTAAAAATACAAATATTAGCCAGGTGTGGTGGCGGGCGCCTGTAATCTCAGCTACTCCGGAGGCTGAGGCAGGAGAATCGCATCAATCCGGCAGGTGGAGGTTGCAGTGAGCCGAGATCAGGCCACTGCCCTCCATTCTGGGCGACACAGGGAGACTCTGTCTCATGAATGAATAAATAAATAAATAAATAAATAAATAAATAAATAAACAAATAAAGTTGATAGTTTTTTGCCAGGGAGGTATGAGTGCCATGCCTACTATGCAGAGGAGGAAATGCAAGCCTATAGAGGTTAAGGAATTTGCCCAATAGCACACAGCTGGTTAAGGTTTGGTTCAGGTTAAAGCTGGGGTCTTATCCCTGGGGTGGCACCTGCCACCTGGAGTTTTAGGTTCAGGGCTGCTGAGCTGACACTGGAGAGCAAAGCCAGTGAGCGTTGGAATCATTTAGCTCTGGGTTTGCCACCTGGCTGTGCATGCATAGCTGTGTGACCTTGGGCAGGTCACTTGACCTCTCAGAACCCATTTGCTCATCTGTGAAGTAGAGATAATGGTAATGCTTGCCTCAAAGATTCTACAAGAATTAAGCGAGACAATGTATGTTAGAGAGGCGTGTACTTAGTTCTGTCTCATTAAATGACTGCTGGGATTAAGGTTACTAGGGAGCCCCACAGCCCTGCATCATAACCCCCTCCCTGCCATTCGCTTGCTGTGTGATCGTTCATGTGCACTGAACTCATCTGTGAAACTGAGTACGGTAACCCTTCAAGGCTGGTGGAAAGAGTAAATGGCAGGGAGGAGGGTTTGGTGTGATGCCCGGCTCATAGAGGATGCTCAGTGAGACCAGTTTCTTCCTTTCTTTCCTTCTTTTCCTCATTGAATCCAAAGCCATTTGTTCTCCGGAGACTTAGGAGAGAAGAAGGGGAATAGCTGTGCCTAAAATCTCACTATTAGTGGCAGGGCTGGGACAGGAACTCAAGTCTGGGCATCTCTAGTCCACCAAGCTCCCATCCCCTTGACTGCTTGAATTTTTTTTTTTTCCAGCCAGGGTTTTGCTCTGTCACCCAGGCTGGAATGTAGTGACATGTGATCGCGGCTCACTGTGGCCTCGACCTCCCAGGCTCAGGCAATTCTCCTGCCTCAACCTCCTGAGTAGCTAGGGCTACAAGCATGCACCCAGCTAATTTTTAAATTATTTGTAGAAATGGAGTCTCCCTATGTTGCCCAGGCTGGTTTTGAACTTCTGGACTCAAGTGATCCTCCCACCTTGGCCTCCCAAAGTGCTGGGGTTACAGGAGTGAGCCACAAAGCCTGGGCCTACTGGACTTCTACAACCACTGTGAGCTGGGCCATTCCAACACCAAGCATTTGTAATCAGGCTGGTATTCTATAAGCCAGACACATTTACCTATTTTGGATTAATAGTCATGAAATGGCATTTTTTTTTTTTTTTTTTGGTGGAAAATCTCCCAGCTAGTGTCAGTATGCCTAGAGTTATGTGTTCATGACCCAGAGCTTAAATGGAGCAGCCTTGCAGACAGTGAAACTCCATGTAATTGTGAATTAATGGTTTGTGTCTGGGCTGGGGTGTCCCAGCAGGAGGGGAACCTCCTAGCATCTTTGCAAATTTCACAGAAGATGAAGTGACTCTGATCCATGGGTTGACCAACTCCTCCGGGTTTGCCTGTGACTTTCTGGTTTCAAAATGGAAAGTTTTGAGTCCTGGGAAACCTTTTGGTCCCGGGCAACTGGGAAAGTTGATCACCTTGCACATCCAAACATTCATAGTTTCTCAGGAAATTGTCTTCATTTCAGGTTTGTGGTTATTGTTGCTGTTTTCGAGTAGTTTTCACCACAGGGATCCTTGCCTGACTGATTTCCTCCAGTCTGCAGTGGGGGAATCTTTCAGTGGGGAAGGGGTATGGCCCATAGAGAAAGCTATCGACCTCCAAATCATCATCGCCCTGCCCAGTCCTTTCAGTCCTTTTGACCAATCTGCTAAAAAAGTGACCCAAAGTGCCTTTAATGAAAACCAGATCCTGATGGGCTGCAGTTTCTCGCTGGAAAAAGGACATTATGCACAGCAGAAAGCAAGGCGTCTGTTTCAGTAACCTGAAACCTCTCTGTAGGGTTAATAGAGGGGCCCGAGCAAAGAGCACAAGAAGCCACATTGTCTGGGAAACTGGAGAATTGTGAATGGGGCCAATGTCCCAGGGCAGCTGCCCAAAGGGAAGGGAGAAAAAAGGGTCAAAGGTTCCCCAAAGCCCCAAATGACCCAAACCAGGAAGACTTCTAATTGGAGTTGAGCATTCCAGTTACAGGATGGTGATGGTGGGCCAACACACCTACAAAGTGCTTTGGGATCAGGTTTGCTCAAAACCTGTTAGAATGCAGGGCTTTTGGTGTCTGGGAACTTCAAAAGTTTTACTGTTTTTGTCCTGGGCAGTAAAGTAAGCATAATTGTTTTCAAAGCTGGTTGTGGAGGTCCCCTTGGGGGAAAAATAATCCATTTGCATAACAAGTTAGACAATACGAGGGAAATCTGTATTAAAGAATGCTGGGATGGCGGCTGGGCGCGGTGGCTCACGCCTGTAATCCCAGCACTTTGGGAGGCCGAGGCGGGCAGATCACAAGATCAGGAGATCGAGACCATCCTGGCTAACACGGCGAAACCCTGTCTCTACTAAAAATACAAAAAATTAGCCGGGCGTAGTGGCGGGCGCCTGTAGTCCCAGCTACTTGGGAGGCTGAGGCATGGTAACCCCAGCGTGGGTAACAGAGAGAGACTCTGTCTTAAAAAAAAAAAAACAATTAAATAAATACATAAAATAAAAGAAGGGCTGGCAAGCTTTTTCAGTAAGGGAACATGGAATACATATTTTGAGCTTTGGAGGCCGTGTGGTCCCTGTCCCAAGTACTCAACTCTGCTATGGTAGCAGGAAGCTGCCATGGACAATAGGCCAATGAATGGGCATGGACATGTGCCAATAAAACTTTATTTATAGACACTTAAATTTAAATTTCACACAGGAAATTTTCATATGTCAATAAATATTATTCTTTTGGTTTTAAAAAACTATTTAAACAACCTAAAAAATCATTTTAAGCTCATGAGCCACGCAAAATCAGGTGGCCATTTCCATTTGGTCCGTGGGTGGTACTTTACTAACCCCTCCTTGAAACAATAAGGACTCCTTTAAAAATATAACCACAGTTTCATTATCAAACTTAAAACTATTAACAATAATTCTTTAAAATCTTCAAATATCTAATCAGGGGTTCAAATTTCCTCAATTGTCTCACAATTTTTTGGGTTTTTTTGAGACAGGATCTTGTTCTGTCACTCAGGCTGGAGTGCTGTGGCATGATCATAGCTCACTGCAGCCTTGAATTCTGGAGCTCAAGAGATCCTCCCATCTCAGCCTCCTGAGTGGCTAGGACTACAGGTGTGCATCACCACGCCAGGCTAAATTTTAAATGTTTTTATAGAGATGGAGTCATGCTGTGTTGCCCAGGCTGGTCTCAAACTCCTGGCCTCAAACAATCCTCCGCCTTGGCCTCCCAAAACACTGGGATTAGGTGTGAGCCACTGTGCCTGGCCTAATTTTTTATTTTATTTTATGGTATTTTTTGTTTGTTTGCTTTGTTTCTTTCTTTTTTTTTTTTTTTTTGGAGACAGAGTTTCACTCTTGTCATCCAGGTTGGAGTGCAATGGGATGATCTCGGGTCACTGCAACCTCTGCCTCCCGGGTTCAAGAGATTCTCCTGCCTCAGCCTCCCGAGTAGCTGGGATTATTAGCATGCGCCACCATGCCCAGCTAAGTTTTTGTATCTTTAGTAGAGATGGGTTTTCACCATGTTGGTCAGGCTGGTCTCAAACTCCTGACCTCAAGTGATCTGCCCGCCTCGGCCTCCCAAAGTGCTGGGATTACAGGTGTGAGCCACCGTGCCCAGACATGACGTGTTTGAATCAGGATCCAAATAAAGTCTAGATTCTACAAGTGATCAATCTTTTGTTTTTGAGTTAATAGGTTCTCTTTCTCTCTCTCTCTGTAATATATTGGCTAAAGAAACTAGGTTGTTTGTTTTGGGGAGTTTTCCACAGTCTTGATTTCTCTGGCTGCACCTAGTCTACTCAACGTCTTGGCAATGGGGGTGCCATGGGTCTCAGTCCTTAAAACTCACCTAATTTCTCCGTAAATTTACTTTCTTGGTGATATCATTCAGGGTTTAAATACATGCTGACTATCTGGGGCCGGGTGCAGTGGGATTACATGCCTGTAATCCCAGCACTTTGGGAGCCTGTGTCAGGTGGATCCCTTGAGGTCATGAGTTTGAGACCAGCCTGGCCAACATGGTGAAACCCCGTCTCTACTAAAAATACAAAAATTAGCCGGTGCGGTGGCACAAGCCTGTAATCCCAGCTACTCGGGAGGTTGAGACACAAGAATCACTTGAACCTGGGAGGCAGAGGTTGCAGTGAGCTGAGATCGTGCCACTGCACTCCAGCGTGCGTGACAGAGTGAGACTCTGTCCCCCACCCCAAAAAAACCCCCAAAACAGAAGAACAAACAAAAAAGCAAACACAAAAAACCACTGACTATCTCTGTTTAGATAGCTGCTTCTGACAGCACCTCTCCCCTAACCTGCAGGCTCAAACATCAAACTGCCTACTTGCTATGCTATCTGCACTCTAAAAGGCTTCTCAAGCTTAGTATGTCCAAAACTGAGCTCCAGGGATCCTTCCCTAAACTTGGAACTCCTATGGTTTTCCCATCTCCCTCTCTACATGCTCAGGCCAAATCCTTGGCGTTGTCTTTGACCTGTCTATTTCTTTTATTCCCTACATTCGATCTTTTGGTTCCGCCTTCCAAATACCTCCAAAATCCAACCACTTCTCACCACCTTCACTGCTATCAATGACCAAGTTATTGTCATCTCTTTCCTAGATTGGTCTGCCTGCTACAGCCATTGTTCCACTCCAGGGTATTCTCAACACAGCAATCAATGTGCTTGATCCAGTTAAAATAAAAGTCAGGGCCAGGCACAGTGGCTCACACCTGTCATCCCAGAGCTTTGGGAGGCTGAGGTGGGTGGATCACTTGAGCTTAGGAGTTCGAGACCAGCCTGGCCAACAGGGTGAAATCTCGTCTCTACCAAAAATATAAAAATTAGCTGGGTGTGGTGGTGGGCACCTATAATCCCAGCTACTTGAGAGGCTGAGGCAGGAGAATCACTTGAGCCGGGGAGGCAGAGGTTGCAGTGAGCTGAGATTGTGCCACTGCACTCTAGCCTGGGCGACAGAGTGAGACACCATCTCAAACAAAACAAAACAAAAACAAAAACAAGTCAGAGCATCCATCCTGGCTAATATCCCTTCAGTGGCTCCCACCTCCCTCCAAGTAAAAGTCAGAGCGCTCACAATGGCCTGAAAGACCCTACTCACTCTGGCCCTGATACCTCTCCAACCCCATGTCCTACTGTTATATCCTCTTCGTGCAATTTACTGAAGAACATGCAAATTATGCTCCTAATATCAAAGCCTTTGCACTGTCATTTTCTTTTCTTTCTGGAACTTTCTTTCTCCAGATATTCCCGTGGTTCATTCCTTCACTTCCTGAGGTCTCTGCTTAAATGTCACCTCCTCAGGTCTTCCCTGACCAAACTGTCTATAATAGTACCTGCTCCTTCTTTGGCTCCTTTTTCCTACCCTGTTGTATTTTTCTCCATGGCACTCATCACTCCCTGACATAATATAGTTATTTGATTATCTATTTTCTGCCTGGTTCATTCCAACACACCAGCAGGGAGTTAGTTTTGTAAACTGCTGTATTCTCAGAGCATAGAATAATGCCTGGCTCACAGCACTACTCAACAAATATTTGAAGAATGAAAGCATGAAATAATTACACAAACATAAATATGTATTATAGCTGTGCTTGGTGCTATAAAAGAGAAGTATTGGCCTTTTCTTCTGGCTAATTGCTTTGGCCTGGTCAGAGAATTCAGGGAAGGCTTCATTGAAGACTTGAAATTTACAATGAATTGATCTTAGCCGGGCAAAGAGGAAGGGGAAGAATCCTCTGGGCCGAGGAACAGCCTGTGAGAGGGTCTTAATCTGGGGAGGATAGCACCTTGGAGGGACAGACAGATGGCCCGGGCAGGAACCTTGGGGAATGAGGGGCAAAGAGGAGGGTGATACAGCCACTGGAAAAGCTTTGGGCTTTATCTTGAGGGTAATGGGGAGAGGCGGAGGGTGACATGAGTTTATTGAGATGGTGTTTTTCAAAACAGCATCTGTTTGAAAACAGCAATCTGGTTTCTTTGCTTATTTAATAAACTTGTATACAGAGCTGACTTTGTGTCAAGCCCTGTTTGAAGTGATTCACTATTAACAACTCATTTTACCCTCATACGACACAGTGATGCTGGTACCATCATTAATCTCATTTTACAGACGAGAAAATTGGAGTGCAGAGAGATTAAGAAACTCGTCCAAGGCCGGGCTCAGTGGCTCACACCTGTAATCTCAGCACTTTGGGAGGCCAAAGTGGGTGGATCACTTGAGGTCAGGAGTTCGAGATCAGCCTGGCCAACATGGTGGGAGCCTGTCTCTACTAAAAATACAAAACTTAGCCTGGTGTGGTGGTGGGTACCTGTAATCCTAGCTACTCAGGAGGCTGAGGCAGAAGAATCGCTTGAACCTGGGAAGCAGAGGTTGCAGTGAGCCTACATTGCACCACTGCACTCCAGCCTGGGCAAGAGAGTAAGACTCCATATCAAAAAAAAAAAAAAGAAAAAAGAAAAAAGAAAAAAAAAAAGAAAGAAATATGTCCAACATTGCACAGCTAGTAAGTGGCGGAGACGTGATTCAGAACAGGTGACTGGCTCCACAGTCCATGCTTTTCCATTTCTGTTTGATACTGACTTTTGTGAGGTATAAATTTACAGGCAATACAATGCACACTAAGTGTACAGTTCAGTGAGATCTGATAAATGTATGTATCTGTGTGACAACCACCACAATCAAGATACAAAAAATGGGGGCTGGGTGCAATGGCATCCACCTGTAATCCCAGTACTTTGGGAAGCTCGAAGGGAGGATTGCTTGAAACCAGGAGTTTGAGACCAGCTTGGGCACTATAGTGAGACCCTATATCTACAAAAAAAATTTTTCCATCACTCCAAGAAGTTCCCTTGTGCCCTGTTGCAATAAACTTTTCCCATTGTACCCTAATAATGCCCCAGACCAATCCTAATTTGTTTCCTGTCACTGAAGATTATTCTAGGTAACCTAGATAACCTAGAATCTAGATATTCTAGATAACTTAGAGTTTCACAGAAATGGAATCATATGTTATGTGGTCTTTTTTGACTGGCTTCTTTTGCTCAGCATAAGCATAATGTTTCTGAGGTTCATCTGTGTTGTTGCCTATATCAGTAGTGTATTCCTTTTCCTATGCATATAATATGGGTTTTTTCCCTTTGGGTGCTTAAAAATTTATTATTTTATTTATTTAAAAAATTGACATATACGCCGGGCACGGTGGCTCACGCCAGCAATCCCAGCACTTTGGGAGGCTGAAGTGGGCTGATCACCAGAGGTCAGGAGTTCCAGACCAGCCTGACCAACATGGCGAAACCCCATCTCTACTAAAAATACAAAAATTAGCTGGGTGTGGTGGCGCATGCCTGTTATCCCAGCTACTCAGGAGGCTGAGGCAGGAGAATCGCTTGCACCTGGGAGGCGGAGGTTGCAGTGAGCCGAGATTGCGCCACTACACTCCAGCCTGGGTGACAGAGTGAGACTCCATCTCAAAAAAAAAAAAAAAAATTGACATATAATAATTGTACATATTTATGGGGTACATAAAGATGTTTTGATGTGTATAATGTATGGTGATCAGTCAGGGTAATTAGCATGTCTACCATCTCAAACATTTCTCATTTCTTTCTGTTCAGTATCTTCCTTCTAGCTATTTGAAACTATATATTATTGTTAACTATTGTCATCCTACAGTGGTACAGACTACTATAACTAAATTAAAAAACAATTGTGTGGCCAGGGATGGTGGCCCATGCCTGTATTCCTAGCACTTTGGGAGGCCGAGATGGGAGGATTGCTTGAGGCCAGGAGTTTGAGATCAGCCTGGGAAACATAGCAAGAACCCATTTCTACAAGAACTAAAAGAATTAGCTGGGCATGGTAGTGCATGCCTGTAGTCTCAGCTTCTCAGGAGGCTGAGACCAGAGGATCACTTGAACACAGGAGTTCAAGGCTGCAGTGAGCCATGATCATGCCACTGCACTGCAGGCTGGGTGACAGAGAAAGACTCTGTCTCTCAAGAAAATAAAAAAGAATTTGAAATAACTACAGATTCATAGGAAGTTGCAAAAGAAATATCCTGTGTACTCTTCACCCAGTTTCCCCCATTGGTTACATGTTATGTAACAATAGTACCATATAAAATTCAGGAAATCATGGTACAAATTCAGGGCTTATTCAGATTTCACTAGTTTTACATGCACTCCTTTGTGTGTATATTTTATATCGTTTTCTTCAATTTTGTGACATGTGTAGACTAATGTATCAGCTACCCTAATCAGGACCCAGAACTCTCCTGGTGATCACAAGCCTCTTTCATGCATCCCTTGACAGCCTTATCTCCCTCTCCCCATGGCAAATACCAATCTAGTCTGCATTTCTATAATTTTATTTCAAGAATGCTTTATAATTGGAATCATTAGTATATAACTTTCAGTGATTGGCTTTCTTCCCTCTGCATAATTCCCTTTAGGTGCATCAAAGTTGTTGCCTGTATCAATAGTTCATTCCTTTTCATTGCTGAGTAGTATTCAATGGCGTGGACATACCACACACAGTGAGTTTAACCATTCACCTACGGAATGACATTTAGATTGGTTCAATTTTTCAGCTACTATGAATAAAGATGCTATGAACATTTGTGTACAGGTTTTGTTTGTTTGTTTGTTTGTTTTTTGAGTTGGAGTCTCACACTGTCACCCAGGCTGGAATGCAGTGGCGTGATCTTGGCTCACTGCATCACTGCAAGCTCTGTCTCCTGGGTTCATGCCATTCTCCTGCCTCAGCCTCCCAAGTAGCTGGGACTACAGGCGCCCACCACCACGCCTAGCTAATTTTTTGTATTTTTAGTAGAGATGGGGTTTCACCATGTTAGCCAGGATGGTCTTGATCTCCTGACCTCGTGATCCACCCGCCTCAGCCTCCCAAAGTGCTGGGATTATAGGCGTGAGCCACCATGCCCAGCCTGTGTACAGGTTTTTATGTGAACATAAATTTTCATTTTTCTGGGATAAATGCCCAAGAGTGTAATTGTTGGGCTGTACGTTAAGTACACATTTAATTTTATAAGAAACAACAAAACTATTTTCCAGAATAGCTGTACCACCTTATATTCTCATCAGCAATGTGTGAGTGATCCAGTTTCTCCTCATTCTTTCTAGTTAATGGCATTATGGTTACATTTATTTATTTATTTTTGAGTTGAAGTCTCACTCTGTTGCCCAGGCTGGAGTGCAGTGGTGCAATCTTGGCTCACTGCAACCTCTGCCTCCCAGTCACTGCAACCTCCGCCTCCTCGGTTCAAGCAATTCTCCTGCCTCAGCCTCCTGAGTAGCTGGGACTACAGGCATGAGCCACCATGCCCGGCTAATATTTGTATTTTTAGTAGAGATGGGGTTTCACCATGTTGGCCAGGCTGGTCTCAAACTCCTGATCTCAGGTGATTCACCCACCTCGGCCTTCCAAAGTGCTGGGATTACAGGCATGATTCACTGCGCCTGGCTTCATTATGGTTTTTTTTTTTTTATTTTAGCCATCTGATAGGCCTATAATTATACTGTGGTTTCAGTGGTCATTTTCCTAATGGCTAACAGTGCTGAGTATCTTCCCATGTGTTTATTTGCTATCTGTATATATACTTTGATGATATATCTGCACATATCTTCTGCTCGTTTTCTGATTGGATTGCTTATTTATTTTTTAGTTTTAAGAGTTTTTCAATATAGTCTAGATGCAACTCCTTTTTGCTGGATTTTTTTTAAAAATCTTTTTTTTTTTTTTTTTTTTTTTTTTAGCAATTTGATTATTATATGCCTTGGCGTGGCTTTATTCATGATTCCTCTGCTTGGGGTTGGTTGAGCTTCTTGGATCTGTGGATCTGTAGTTCTATCAAACTTTACACAAATTTGGTCATGAGGTCATGTTTTCTTTCTGTCTTTCTTTCTTTCTTTCTTTCTTTCTTTCTTTCTTTCTTTCTTTCTTTCTTTTTCTTTCTCTCTTTCTTTCCTTCTTTCTTTTTCTTTCTCTCTCTCTCTTTTTTTTTTCAGTCTCATTCTGTCACCTAGGCTGGAGTGCAGTGGTGCAATCTTGGCTCACTACAACTTCCGCCTCCCAGGTTCAAGTGATTTTTGTGCCCAGCCTCCTGAGTAGCTGGGATTACAGCCACCACACCTGGCTATTTTTTTTTTTTTTTTTTTTTTTTTTTTTTATAGAGATGGGGCTTCACCATGTTGGCCAGGCTGGTTTTGAACTCTTGGCCTCAAGTGATTTGCCCACCTCAACCTTCCAAAATGTGGGATTACAGGCGTGAGCCACTGTGCCCTGCTAATGATTTATTCAGATATTTTTGTGCCACCCCCTCCTTTCCTGGGACTCCAGTTACACATATTTCAAATAGTTTCATATTGCTCCAGAGCCCTCTTAATTTTTTCAGTCTTTTTCCCCCTGCATTTTACTTTGGATAATTTATTTTGCTATGACTTCAAGTTCACTAATTTTTCTTCTGCAGTGTCTAATATGCTGTTAACTCTATCCCGTGTATTTTCCATTTCAGATATTGTATTTTTATCTCTAGAAGTTCCTCTTGGGGTTTTTTTCGCACCTACCATGTCTCTCCCTTTAACATGCTCGCAGTTTTCCCTACTTTCTTGAACTTCCAGAGTGTATTTATAATAAACATCCTTGTCCATTAATTGGATCTTCTGTGTCATTTCTGGATCTGTTCTATTGATTGGATTTTTCTCCTGATAATCAGCCATATTTTCCTGCTTCCTAGTATGCCTGGTAATTTTTATTTATTTATTAAAAAATTTCTTTGAGACAGGTTCTCGCTCTGTCACCCTGGCTGGAGTGCAGTGGCATAATCATGGCTCATTGCAGCCTCAACTTTCCAGGCTTCAGTGACCCTCCCACCTCAGCCTCCTGAGTAGTTGGGCACCTGCCACATCCCTGGCAAAGTTTTGCATTTTTGGTAAAGACAGAGTTTCACCATGTTGCCCAGGCTGGTCACAAACTCCTGAGCTCAGACAATTCACCTTCCTTGGCCTCCCAAAGGGCTGGGATTATAGGCATGAGCCACTGTGCTTGGCCTGCCTGATAATTTTTGATTAGATCTGGACACTTCGGATTTTACATTGCTGGATTTTTTTTTTCTTTTTTTTCTTTCTCCATCTTCTGGTTTTCTGAAGTTTCTGGGTTTTATGATACTGCTTTAAATATTGTTGGGTTTTGTTCTGGAATGCAATTCAGTTACTTGGAATCAATTAGATCCTTCCAAGACTTGCTTTTGAGATTTGTTAGGGCAGATCTGGAATAAACTTTAGCCTAGGGCTAATTTGGCCTATCATGGAGGCAATTGTTCTTTGATGATTGACCCTGATGCCCAATGTGTTTGGAGGTTTTTCCATTGCAGCTTGCAGGAGCTATTCTCATTCCCCTGTGAGGTCCAAGGATTGTTCTGCCTACTGGTGGTTCATTCTCCAGCCTCAGGAGGTTTCTTACATGCAAAGGTAGATAAATATTCAGCCAAAGTCTCAAAAGACCCTTCTTCAGATCTCCAGAACTTTCTCTCTGTGCAACTTCCTCCTCTCCAAGTATTCTTCTTATGGATTCTAGCTGCCTTGATTTCCCTGAAGTTCCACTCCGTCTCTTCTGCTCAGTGAGACCTGTAGGCTCTGTTTGGATTCTCCCTCCTTGTGCTGTTGGATGGAGACTCCAGGCAGTGAGCAGGAGCAATTATAGAGCTCAGCTTGTTTGCCTTCCTTGCTCAGGGATCTCAGTCTTGTGCTACCTGCTGCCCAATGTCTGAAAAACCTTTGGATGCACATATTTCAGCCAGCTTTTTAATTGTTTAAGGCAGGACGGTTTATCCATTGCCAATTACTCCATCATAGCTAGAATAAAATTATGATGAATTTCTTTTTATTGTTATTACTGAATGGTATCCCACTGAATGGAGATCCATGTTTAACCTTTCACCTGTTATTGGATATGTGATTGTTTCCAATATCTGGCTACTATGAATGAAGCTATATAAATCTTTGTGTAGACATGTTTTCATTTCTCTTGCTTAAATACCTAGGGGTGGCATTTCTTGATCATAGGGTATTGTATATTTAACTCTGTAAGACACTGTCAAACAGTTTTTCCAAGCAGCTGTATCAGAGTTCCTGTTGTTCCATATCATCACCAACATTTGATAGTCAGTCTTTGAAATTTTTGCCCATTCTAGTGACTTTGTAGTGGTCTCGTTGTGAGTTTAATTTGCTAGTTCTTGTTAGCTAATGTGATAATCATTTGTGTGCTTATTGGCCATTTTTACATCTGTTTTTATGAAGTTTAGCTTCATATCTTTTTTTTTTTTTTTTTTTTGAGACGGAGTCTTGCTCTGTCGCCCAGGCTGGAGTGCAGTGGCGTGATCTCGGCTCACTGCAAGCTCCGCATCCAGGGTTCACGCCATTCTTCTTCCTCAGCCTCCTGAGTAGCTGGGACTACAGGCGCCCGCCACCACGCCCGTCTAATTTTTTTGTATTTTTATTAGAGACGGGGTTTCACCGTGTTAGCCAGGATGGTCTGGATCTCCTGACCTCATGATCCGCCCACCTCAGCCTCCCAAAGTGCTGGGATTACAGGCGTGAGCCACTGCGCCTGGCCAACTTCATATCTTTTTAACATTTTTTCCCCTTGGCTTGTCTATCTTCTTATTGAATTATAAGAGTAGTTTTTGTATTCTGGATATAAATTTCTTGCAGATAAAATAGAGTCTATACTTTTTTTTTTCCAGAGTCTCGCTCTGTTGCCCAGGCTGGAGTGCAGTGGCACAATCTTGGCTCACTGCAACCTCTACCTCACAGATTCAGGCACTTCTCCTGTCTTAGCCTCCCAAGTAGCTGGGACTACAGACATGCACCACCATACCCAGTTAATTTTTTATTTTTAGTAGAGACAGGGTTTCACTATGTTGGCCAGGCTGGTCTCGAACTCCTGACCTCAAGAGATCCACCCACCTTGGCCATGCAAAGTGCTGGGATTACAGGTGTGAGCCACCATGCTTGGCCCAGAGTCTACTTTTGACTATACCTTTTTGCTGGATTGAGAGGAGTTGGGGGTAGTGGTAAGATAAACAGGCCATTGTAGTCACCAAGGAGAGAGATGATAGTGTCTTAGACAAGAATGGGGGTTTAGATGGAGGAAAGTAGGTGAGTTTTAAAATTATTTTTAAAAAAGACTTCAAGGGATTCTGGGTGTACTTGGTTTTTCCTTTTGTCTTCTGAATGTCCATATATATATATATGTTTATATACATGTATATATATGTGTGTGTGTGTATATATATATATATTAAAAAAACATGAATCACTTCTATGCTTAAATTAACTACAGGAGAATGTCTCAGGAACCTACGACATACTCCCTTTTCCTATTCCTTTTTCTGAGCCATGGAGTGTCGAGTTATACAGTGCCAAATTCCAGGCAGGGTAAGTCCTGAGGGAAGAATCACCCTTTGTGGTTTCCACACAGTTTAGGGAATGAGGTGGGATAGATACATTAGGTACATGATGCTGTAAGTTGTTTTTGGGCTGTGTGTGTGTGCATGTATGATTTTTCAGGATTATTCTAAGAGGATTTTTCAAGCCACGGTTTTCTCAGAGTGGACAGTTATAATTAAAATTCACTAAAAATTTCCTTCATGAGTGGCTTTCTGGGGCTTTTCCTCTAACCCATATTTGTAGTTTTGAAGGTCACACAATTCAATTCTAGTTATACATTCAATGGCTTTCTTACAGATTTGCATCCATTGTTGCAAAACATGGCGGTGAGTATTCTATTTTCTGTTAATCAGAGTCCCCTCTACTGGAATTGCCAACTTTTGGTTGTTATACTTGATGTTATCTCTTTGCCTTTTAGGAAGAAATAATAGATGGAAGCTATCTGAATGGTAATGTGCCCCCTTGATCTCCACTTGCTTCTTCTAAGAATTTCAAACAGAATGTAGCTGTGATCTCTCTGGAATGATTCCTTTTAAAGATGTCTTTTCATTTTACTCCCATTGTAGCACTGCTGGATCTCATACAGTTTCAAAGGTAAAATGCCCTAGAGGAGAGGGGAAGGGATGGTATAGATTTTTAATAAAAATTCTTAATGGAAGTCTCTTAATTGTAAAAAGTAATATGTGCTCATTACAAAAAATGTCAATCAATGCACAATGTGTTAAAAGTCAACAAACACCCTTGCTCCACGGGCATCATTCCTCCTCACTCTAGCATAAGGGCCAATTTTTTTTCTTTTTTTGAATGGAGTTTCGCTCTTGTTGCCCAGGATGGAGTGCAGTGGTGCTATCTTGGCTCACTACTGCAACCTCTGCCTCCGGGGTTCAAGCAATTTTCCTGCCTCAGCCTCCTGAGTAGCTGGGGTAACAGGTACCTGTCACCATGCCCGGCTAATTTTTGTATTTTTAGTAGAGATGGGTTTTCACCATGTTGGCCAGGCTGGTCTCAAACTCCTGACCTCAGGTGATCTGCCGGCCTCAGCCTCCCAAAGTGCTGGGATTACAGGTGTGAGCCACCGCAACCGGCCTAAGAGCTGAAATTTATTGAGTGCTTTCTATGTAGTGGGTATTCTACTAAGCGCTTGGTATAGAAACAATCTAATCCTCACAAGTGCCACACAATGTAGTTCCCATTGTTATCCCATTGCACACAATGGTGAAACTGAGGTCCAGGAAGGGTAAATCAAGGACACACAACTGGGATGTGAACCAGTGGCCTGGCTCCAGGACCCATTCCCTTTACTGTTGCATTATAAGCTGCATACAGACAGATACCAGGGACATGGGGCAGGGAACTAGGTAGTGTGGAAACGCCAATATTAATAAACAATTCTAATATGATGAGTACTATGATCGATAAGAAATAGGGGTCTTGGGGCCTCATATCAGGGATACCCAGTTATGTTAAAGTGAAAGACTCCCATAACCACTCCTTTCCCTAAGATAACACCAATGGGTACTTTTGGATATATTCTTTCAGTCTAAGTATTTTATTTGTTTATTAATTTATCCATCCATCCATCCATCCATCCATCCATCTCTTTATAAGATTACAGGCCGGGCGCGGTGGCTCATGCCTATAATTCCAGGACTTTGAGAGGCCAAGGTGGGCGGATCATGAAGTCAGGAGTTCGGGACCAGCCTGGCCAACATAGTGAAACCCTGTCCCTACTAAAAGTACAAAAGAATTAGCTAGGCATGGTGGTGCATACCTGTAGTCCCAGCTACTCAGGAGGCTGAGGCAGGAGGATCACTTGAACGCGGGAGGCTGAGGTTGTGATAAGCCAAGATTGAGCCACTGCACTCCAGCCTGGGCAACAGAGTGAGACTCCATCGCAAAACAAACAAACAAACAAACAAAGAAGCAAACGTAAGATTACAAAAGGCTTTTCATAGGCTGGGCATGGTGGCTTATCCTGTAATCCCAGCACTTTGGGAGGCCAAGGTAGGAGGATCGCTTAAGGCCAGGAGTTCCAGCCCAGCCCGGCCAACATGGCAAAACTCAGTATCTACTAAAAATAGAAAAATGAGCTGGATGTGGTGGTGCACGCCTGTAATTCCAGCTACTTGGAAGGCTGAGGCAGGAGAATCGCTTGAACCTGGGAGGCGGAGGTTGCAGTGAGCTGAGATTGCACCACTGCACTCCAGCCTGGGTAACAGAGTGAGACTCTGTCTCCAAAAAAAAAAAAAAAAATGAGAAAAGGCTATTCATGGGCATTTACTGTGTGTTGGGCACAGTCTTACGCAATTTTCATGTGTGAACAAATTTTAATCTCACAGTTGTTAACCATATTTCATATAAAGGGAAACTGAGGCACAAGAAAATTTATCAAATTGTCTCAAGCCACACAACTAAGTGATGGAACTAGGATTCAAATCCAGTTTGGAGCCCACACTCCTAACTATGCTATTCCAGCCTCTCATGGTGTACCTAGCGTCTGCTTTTAAATGTACATCTTTCTAACACAATCAGTTTGGATTGTAGTCAATCTAAGCAGATTGTTACGGGAATTAGAATATTGCATACAGCTTAGAAATTTGGGAATTGGCTTTGAGAGAATGGGATCCAGGCAGATTCCTAGAATTGGAAACTATCCTATCACTGTGCCTGGTTAAGAAATTTTTTACTTCAGGCTGGGTGCAGCAGCTCACTCCTGTAATCCCAGTACTTTGGGAGGCAGAGGTGGGAGGATTGCTTGAGCCCAGGAGTTTGAGACCAGCCTGGGCAACATAGTGAGACCCCATCTCTACAAAAAATTAGCTGGGTGTTGTGGCATGCACCTGTGATCCCAGCTGCTTGGGTGGCTGAGGTTGGAAGATCACTTGGGCTGGGGAGATTGAGGCTGCAGTGAGCCGTGATCGCGCAACAGAGCAAGACCCTGTTTCAAAAAAAGAGAAAAGAAAAAAGGAAAGAAAAGAAAAGAGAAACCTCCCACTTCCAAGTACAAAGTCCTAACACCCCTGGTCCATCCCTACCTGTCCCCTGGGCACTTAGCTAGTACAGTAGTGCTTGTAGGAGAATCTGTCATTGTGATCTTTTCCTGTCTGTCTTCAACTGAAGCTCCCACGTGTGGACGGATGACCTGTCCCACAGAGTCCTGGCCTATCTGAATTCCCGGAATGTTGCCTTCACCATCCCCAGCCTGCAGGTGTGTACCTGAGACCCATCTATATGTTCCCATCTCAGTGCTCAGGGATTGCAAACTCAGGGGCCAGGTAAGTTGGAGAAGTGGGCTGGATGTAGAGATAGTCTTTGCTTCTGCAAGGAAAAGGGTTCTGTCCAGTTTTTCTTGAAACATGATATAAGCTATTTTGTCTTTCTTTCATTTTCCCACCTTTGATGGAGACATGGTATATTAGGATATAGGCTGAGCTGCTATAACAAAAAGACCCCCAGATGACAGCAGCTCAAACAATTTAGTTTATTTCTTTCTCGTACAATAGTCCAGAGCTAAGTGGGAAAGCCACAGAGAAAAGGCAGCTCTATTCCATGAGGTTATCCAAGGACCCAGGTTCCTTTTATCTTTTTGCTTTGTCATCTCCTGGGGAGTTATTGCCCATGTGGTGGAAACACCTCTTCCTTTCTCCAATCCAGGGGATGGGTGGGAAGAAGAAGACAAGGGTAGCATCTTCTCTTCTGAGGATATGACGCAAGTTACACAATTCCCTCTGCACACATTAGATTGGCTCACACACCATAGTCACATCTTACTGCAAAGGAGCCATGTACCCAACTAAAAGTTGAAGGGTTCAATTGATAAAGAGCAGTGAGAGAGTGGATATTTGGATATAGTGATCAGTCTTTCTACCATGGGTCCAAGAAATGTACTACTGTAATGAAAACAATAGCACAAGCGTGTTGATAGGTGGCAAAGGATATTTGCCTTAAGGGGCAATAGGGCTCGTGCCTGTGGTGGTGACTGCGGTGAACTGCACAGCACCTGCCTGACTGTTAGCCTAGTGTGGCATGTTGTGTCTTTATCATCACACTGTGGATAACACAGAAAATTGGAGAAAAATTCTTTCAGTATTGAGAAAGTTATTCAGTTTAGCAAAAGACCATTTATGTCATTAATTAATGAATAAAGTTCTGACATATGTCTTCATTGTTTCCATTTTTACTTATGTTTGAATGAAAATGGAAACATCAACCAACATTGATATCACAAATATACTCAGAGAGCTTGTTGTCTGCCAGGTCCCAGGACAGCCACTAGCTGGAGGTGGCTGTTGGCCCCACATGGCATCTGCTTTTCTTTTCTTCTTCATCAGTCAGGGAAACTGAAAGAGAAGCAATGCTTGCCACTTTTCTCTCTAGCAGTAATGGATACTCATGAGATGTATCCACTTTAATCTGATACGTTTCTTCCTGTGTATATACCATATTTATTTATTCATTTAATATCTACTGAGTTAACATCTGCTTTCTGCCAGGCATAGCTCTAGACACTGAGGACTCAGTAGGGAACAAGGCAGTCATGATACTACCCACAAGGACCTTTCATTTTAGGGGTGAGGCTTTAATTAAGCCATTATTCACCTTGGTCAAGATAGAGAATAATAGCTGGCACTATTGAGCACTTACTGTGTGCTAGCAACTATTGAAAACACTTTACACACTGAATCCTCGTAATAACTCTATGTGGTAAGTCCTTTTATTGCCTCCATTTTGCAGATAAGAAAACTGAGGCCCAGAAGAAATGTTGCTGATTTAGCAAATAAAAATACAGATGTGACTCTGCGTGGTGGCTCATGCCTGTAATCCCAGCACTTTGAGAGGCATAGGTGGGAGGATTGCTTGATACCAGGAGTTGGAGACAAGCCTTGCCAACATAGCGAGACCTTGTCTCTACAAAAACAAACAAACAAACAAACAAAAAATTAGCTGAGTGTGGTGGTGTGGCCTGTAGTCCCAGCTACTTGGAAGGCTGAGGCAGGAGGATTGCTTGAGCCCAGGAGTTTGAGGTTACGGTGAGCTATGATCATACCACTGCATTTCAGCCTGGGCAACAGAGCAAGACCCCGTCTCTAAAACAAAAACAAAAACAAAAAACAGATGTCCAATTTCGTTTGAATTTCAGATAAATAATGAGTGATTTTTTTTTTTTTTGAGACAGAGTCTTGCTCTGTTGCCCAGGCTGGAGTGCAGTGGTGCCACCTCAGCTCACCACAACCTCCTCCTCCCAGGTTCAAGCAATTCTCCTGCCTCAGCCTCCTGAGTAGCTGGGACTACAGGTGCATGCCATCATGCCTGGCTAATTTGTGTATTTTTAGTAGAGATGGGGTTTCACTATGTTGGCCAGGCTGGTCTCAAACTCCTGACCTCATGATCCGCCTGTCTTGGCCTCCCAAAGTGCTGGGATTACAGGTGTGGGCCACCTTGCCTGGCAAACAATGAGTGATTTTTTAAGTTAAGTATGTCCTATGCAACATTTGAGACATACTTATACTAAAAAAAAAAAAATGTGTAGTTTTTCCCGAAATTCAAATTTAACTGAGCATCCTGTATTTTACCCAGCAACCCTAGTTAAGTAACTCGTCCAAGCCACACAGCTAGTAAGTGTCAAGGTGGGGATTTGCATGTGGCTTGTCTGGGTCTAGAGTTCACCTTTTGCCCATGACATCACACTGGGCATGTCTGTTTAACGGAGATTTAGAGAACAATTCCCCAGACAGCAGAGGAAATCTCTTTCAGGAGAGGCTGATGGCTTCTGCTCCTTGCCCTGTAGGGGGCGCCACAGAGTATGTTCATTTCGCCTGTATTTTGCTCCTGCGCTGGTAGCTTGGGTTTGGGCACAGTGCCATCTGGGGTTCTAAACTTCCTGGACAAAGGCCAGCTGCTGCTGATGGGAAACTCAATCACCTACAGGGACCAGGCAGGCCATGGAATGGGGGAATCGGGCTGGCTGGGCCTGAGAGTTACTTCAACAAGCAGCTGTCCCTTGGCTTGCCAATTATTGCCTAAAAGGGGATGTGCGCCCGGTGTTGCCAAACCTTTACTTTTTCAAGAGAAGTTGGAAATCTTGATCTTGTGAGGAATCCCCTTATTATTATTATTATTATTATTATTATTATTATTATTATTATTATTTTTTAGGTGGAGTCTCGCTCTGTCACCAGGCTGGAGTGCAGTGGCGTGATCTCGGCTCACTGCAACCTCCGCCTCCCGGGTTTAAGCGATTCTCCTGCCTCAGCCTCCCAAGTAGCTGGGACTACAGGCGTGCGCCACCACACCCAGCTAATTTTTGTATTTTTAGTAGAGACGGGGTTTCACCATGTTGGCCAGGATGGTCTTGATCTCTTCACCTCGTGATCCACCCGCCTCGGCCTCCCAAAGTGCTGGGATTACAGGCATGAGCCACCGCGCCCGGCCCCTCATTTTTAAATGTTGGCGGCTAATGAGGAAATTTGGAGGTGGCCAAACCAGACTGCTGGCCACTAGTTGTGGTCTCTGCAGGGAATGAGGGGGCCGGGCTGGGCCGCTGGCCATGGTGCTGACCATGTGCTCCTGCTCTTTCTGTTCTCACCGACTCTCCCAACACCCCAAATACAGGCAGCCGTGGAAAACCACCTGGAGCAGCGTCTGCACCAGCCCCAGAAGCTGCTGGAGGACCTGAGGAAGACAGACGCCCAGCAGTTCCGCACTGCCATGAAATGCCTCTTAGAAGACAAGAAGGACGGCTTGGTGAGGAGCCCTTGGCATCCCGGGGATAGAGGAAGTCCAGCACCACGTGGTGTTTGTTGAATTGAATAAATGGAGCCTGACTTAGGCCTTGGCACTTCATTGTCTCTTCCTCTCTCCTTCTGCCTCCTCCAACCCCCTGGGGGCTTTAGGACCTAAGTTTTCTCACTTACTTTCTCCAAAGTTAAAATGAAGAGCCTTACAATTTTTTATTTTATTTTTGTTTTAGAGTCTCACTCTGTCACTCAGGCTGGAGTGCAGTGGCACAATCTCAGCTCACTGTAACTTCTGCCTCCTGGGTTTAAGTGATTCTTGTGCCTCAGCCTCCCAAGTAGCTGGGATTACAAGTGTGCACCACCATGCCTGGCTAATTTTTGTATTTTTAGTAGAGACGAGATTTTGCCAGGCTGGTCTCAAACTCCTGGCCTCAAGTGATTTGCCTGCCTCGGCATCCCAAAGTGCTGGGATTACAGGTGTGAGCCACCATGCCTGGCCTAATTCATATTTTTGTCAGTACTAAGAAATGACGGGTCCTAATTAAGGATCTGAGAATCTCCTGGTTGTTTGGGTCAATAAACATCCACTAGTAAAAATTACTATGCACCAGTGGACACAGAGATCCTCCTGCACTCAAGGAGCTCACGGTCTGGAGGGGAGACAAAAAACAGGAACAGTTAATTTCCACAAAATGAGTTTAGTGATCCAAGAATATCACAAAGCAAGGCCTCTGAGACCTTAAAAACTGGGACTTAAAAAAGGTAAGTCATTTGCTCAGGACACACAGATAATGGAGGCCCTGGGACTGGAACCTGGGAATGCCTGACCCTAGTACCCATGGGGCTTAACCGGTAGGATTGTCATGAGAATTAATCAGATGATGCGTTTGCTCCAAGCTTGGCACAGTAGAGTCAATGCTCAGTAAAATGGAGGCTTTTTTTTTTTTTCTTAGAGACAGGGGCTTGCTCTGTCATCCAGGCTGGAGTGCAGTGGTATAATTATAGCTCACTGCAGCCTTGATATCCTGAGCCCAAGTGATCCTCCCACCTCAGCCTCTCAAGCAGCTAGGACTACAGGTGCGCATTAGCACACCCAGCTAATTTTAAAAAATTTATTTTTTAGGGACGGGGTCTCCCTGTGTTGCCTAGGCTGGTCTCAAACTCCTAGGCTCAAGCGATCAACCTGCCTCAGCCTCCCAACATGCTGGGGTTATAGATGTGAGCCACTGTTCCAGGCCAATCAGTCCTTTTCAAAATCTCCCCAGATGGGCTGGGCATGGTGGCTCATACCTGTAACCCTAGCACTTTGGGAGGTTGTGGGCAGATTGCTTGAGCCCAGTAGTTTGAGACCAGCCTGGACAACATGGCAAAACTCCATCTCTACAAAAAACAGCTGAGCATGGTGGTGTGTGCCTGTAGTCCCAGCTACTTGGGAGGCTGAGGTGGGAGGATCGCTCAATCCCAGGAGGTTGAGGCTGCAGTGAGCTATAATCACACCACTGCACTGCGGACTGGGTGACAGAGCGAGACCCTGTCTCAAAAATAAAATAAAACTTTAAAAAAGCTCCCCAGGTGATTCTGATGTGCACCCAGAGATGAGAACCACGGGCTTGGAGGAAAGACGCATGAGTCCCTTTAATGCATTATAGAGTTTGGTTCAAGATGCCCTGGGGCCACATAAGGGAGGGAAATCTGATCTGAAGTAGGAAGTTGGAGGGATCAGAGACTTCACGAAGGTGATGGCAATGGAGCCCAGACTTAAAGGATGAGCTAGATTTCACCAGAAAAAGGAAAGATGCAGAATTCCAGGTAGACCAAGGGCCTGATGTATGCTGGTCAGGTGTATCTGGAGAGTGGGGAGGCTCCACAGTGAGTGGAGCAGGTAAAGGCCTTGACTTTGTTCTGCAGGGAATGGAAAGTTCTAGAAGTTTCAACATAGCAGCATGGTGTTAAACAGTGATCCTGACTTTCCCCACTGTTGCAATGTGTGGTCCCTCCCAGGGCTTCCAAATTGAGAGGCAGCTCTCAAACTGACCCTGGCTTCTGTCATTGCTTTAGGACCTGAAAGACATCATCATCGACTTAGGAGAGATTCGAGAACGAGCCTTGCAGAGCCCTGGCGTGAACCGCAGCCTGTTTCTCATCACACTGGAGAGGTGTTTCCAGATGCTGAACTCCCTGGAGTGTGTGGAGATCCTGGGCAAGGTGCTGAGGGGGTCCTCAGGGAGCTTTCTCCAGCCAGACATCACAGAGCGGCTCCCTCGGGACCTGCGCGAGGATGCCTTTAAGAACCTGTGAGTGGTTCCTCCGAACTTTTTTTTTTTTTTTTTTGAGATGGAGTTTCACTCTGTCGCCCAGGTTGGAGTGCAGTGGTGCAGTCTCGGCTCACTGCAACCTCTGCCTCCCAGGTTCAAGTGATTCTCCTGCCTCAATTCCAAGTAGCTGGGACTACAGGGGCGCCTACCACACCCGACTAATTTTTGTATTTTTGTACAGATGGAGTTTCACCATGTTGGCCAGGCTGGTTTCGAACTCCTGACATCAAGTGATCCACCTGCCTTGGCCTCCCAAAGTGCTTGGATTACGGGCATGAGCCACTGCACCCAGCCACTCCCACCTTCTTAACTCATCACAGTATCCTTCAGGGGCTGCCGTGAGAATGCAAAGAGATCTCACCTGGCAGCAGGGAGAAGACAAGTGGGGACAGGTTGATATGCACGTTTTGGAGCAAAAGCTTAACATCTGTAGAGTTAGGCTGGGTGTGGTAGCTCACACCTGTGATCCCAGCACTTTGGGAAGCAGAGGTGGGTGGATCATGATGTCAGCAGTTCGAGACCAGCCTGGCCAACATAATGAAACCACGTCTCTACTAAAAATACAAAAATTAGTTGGGCATGGTGGTGGGCGCCTGTAATCTCAGCTACTTGGGAGGCTTGAGGCAGGAGAATTGCTTGAACCTGGGAGGTGGAGGTTGCAGTGAGCTGGGATCATGCCACTGCACTCCAACCTGGGCGACAGAGTGAGACTCCATCTCAAAAACAAAAACAAACAAACAAAAAACAAAAACAAAAAAACCCACATAAATAAATACAGTGGGAAAAAAAGTGTTACTAAATCCTAGCTAGATATGTTGCTTGCTTAAGTGTGTTAGTCAGATTGGGCTGCTGTAACAAAAATACCATAGACTGTGTGGCTAGTAAACAAGAAGCATTTATTTCTCATGGTTCTGGAGGCTGGGAAGTCCAAGATCAAGGTGCTGACAGACTTGGTGTCTGGTGAGGGCTCGCTTTCTGGTTTATAGGTGGCACCTTCTCGCTGTGTCCCCTTGTGGTGGAAGGGGTGGGCAAGCCCTCTGGGATCTCTTTTATAAGGGCACTAATCCCATTCATGAGGTATCCAGCCTCATGACCTAATCACCTCCTCAAAACTCCACCTCTTAATACCTTCATGTTGGGAATTAGGATTTCAACACATGAAATTTGGGGAAACGCAAACATTCAGTCCACAGCACAAAGGCTCTGAGCCTGGGTCTTGTTCCATTGATTTAAAAACAATCTGAGTGTGTTTTAAAGATTCACTGGCACTAAACTGAGACTTTGTTCTTGAGGGACAACAGAAGGAGTGACAGAGCACTGAAAAAGGAGGACTTCTCCTTTTGAGATGCCATGCCAGCTTAGATTGGTTACACCTAGCCCTGCATGAAATTGCGCTTTGATGTAAACCAAATTCGAGGATTGTGTCTAGGACTTGAAGGGCCATAGGCATTGCAACCACCGCCAACTCCCTCCTTTTACTAATCGTAGTGCTTTATGGCCATAAAGCACTCTTTCTAAATCTAAAAATGATTTAGAAGAAGGAAAAGACCAATATGATGATAACAATGTGGGAGATTCCTTTTATCTTTTGTAGCCAAATGACAGTAAGGAAAACAGACAGTATGCTGACCTCATCGTTTCTCTAGGTTGCCAGTTTTTTTCACTAAGATGTATATAAATGAAACCCTTTTGCTCTGCAGGCTATTATACTATTCCTTTTAAATTCAGCATCTCTTCCCTCCTCCGTTCATGCAGATTGTGGAAGAGAACATCATTGGGAGAGAGAGTTTATTGGTTACTGCTCACCTGAGTAAGCAGTAAGCCCAAGTGGCAGAAAAACCCATTCAAACTGGCTTGAAGCAAAAAGGGAATTATTGGAACATGTAATTGAATAGTTTTAGGTGTAGGGCTGACTTCAGACGCAGCTGGATCCAGAGACTCAAATGATGCCATCAGAAACATCTTTGGCTCTTTGTCTTATATGCTGAAAACCACTGAATTGTGCACTTTATTTATGTAATTTTTTTTTTTTTGAGACAGAGTTTCACTCTTGTTGCCCAGGCTGGAGTGCAATGGCCCCATCTCGGCTCACTGCAACCTCCACCTCCCAGGTTCAAGTGATTCTCCTGTCTCAGCCTCCCAAGTAGCTGGGATTACAGGTGCATGCCACCACGCCTGGCTACTTTTTGTATTTTTAGTAGAGACAGAGTTTCATCATATTGGTCAGGCTGGTCTCAAACTCCTGACCTCAGGTGATCCGCCTGCCTTGGCTTCCCAAAGTGCTGGGATTACAGGTGTGAGCCACTGCACCCGGCCCAATTGTGTACTTTAAATGGGTGAATTGTAAGGTGTGGGAATTATATCTCAACAGAGCTGCCCCCACTTCCCCAAAAAAGGACCAAGAGGTGAGGAAGTGGAGACAATATGTATGGAATATTCTTTGGAAGGTGTTTAGCTGTGAAGGGGAAGAGGAAAATGGGAAAAATAGTTACATATACCTAAGGAGTGTGTTTGGGGGTATTTTTTGTTTTTAAGTTCTGGGGTACACGTGCAGGATGTGCAGGTTTGTTACATAGGTAAACGTGTACCATGGTGGTTTGCTGTACCTATCAACCCACCACCTAGGTATCAAGCCCAGCATGCATTAGATATTTTTCCTAATGCTCTCCCTCCCCCACCCCACCCCCACAATAGGACCCAGTGTGTGTTGTTCCCCTCCCTGTGTCCATGTGATCTCATCGTTCAGCTTCCACTTACAAGTGAGAACATGGGGTGTTTCATTTTCTGTTCCTGCGTTAGTTTGCTGAGGATAATGGCTTCCAGGTCCATTCATGTCCCTGCAAAAGACATAATCTTGTTCATTTTTATGGCTGCATAGTATTCCATGGTATATATGTACCACATTTTCTTTATCCAGTCTATTATTGATGGGCATTTGGGTTGACTACATGTCTTTACTATTGTGATTAGTGCTGCAATGATCATGTGTGCATTTATCTTTGTGACAGAATGATTTATATATTTTTGGGTATATACCCGATAATGGGATTGCTGGGTCAAATGGTATTTCTAGTTCTAGATCTCTGAGGAATCGCTACACTGTCTTCCACAATGGTTGAACCAATTTACATTCAAGAAAGGGAAGGTTTTTTTTTTTTAAATATACTTTAAGTTCTAGGGTACATGTGCACAACGTGCAGGTTTGATACATAGGTATACATGTGCCATGTTGGTTTGCTGCACCCATCAACTCATCATTTACATTAGGTATATCTCCTAATGCTATCCCCACCCCCTCCCCCCACCCCCCAACAGGCCCCGGTGTGTGATGTTCCCCTTGCTGTGCCCAAGTGATCTCATTGTTCAATTCCCACCTATGAGTGAGAACATGCGGTGTTTGGTTTTCTGTCCTTGTGATAGTTTGCTGAGAATGGTGGTTTCCAGCTTCATCCATGTCCCTGCAAAGGACACGAACTCATCCTTTTTTAGGGCTGCATAGTATTCCATGGTGTATATGTGTCACATTTTCTTAATCCAGTCCATCATTGGAGGACATTTGGGTTGGTTCCAAGTCTTTGCTATTGTGAATAGTGCCACAATAAACATACGTGTGCATGTGTCTTTATAGTAGCATGATTTATAATCCTTTGGGTACATACCCAGAAATGGGATTGCTGGGTCAAATGGTAATTCTAGTCCTAGATTCTTGAGGAATCACCACGCTGTCTTCCACAATGGTTGAATCAATTTACATTCCAACCAACAGTGTAAAAGCGTTTCTATTTCTCCACATCCAGGAGAGGGAAGGGTTTTAACACAAGACAGCTTTGGGTCACATTTGCTGTTGTGACTCCCTTTTTAATGCAGCCCCCACCTGCTTGTTATTAGCTGATGCCTGTGTTTGTGTCATTTAGATCTGCAGTGTTCAAAGATCTCTACGACAAAACCTCGGCTCATTCCCAGAGAGCTCTCTATTCCTGGATGACTGGAATACTGCAGACATCCTCCAATGCCACTGGTGAGCCTGTACTTGGAGGTGGGGTCACTTTTTGGGGGAAGAATATCTTCAGAAGAGGTGTTTCATCTCTGAAAACATGGATTTGATGTTGTTCTCTTCTGATTTTTACCACCTCCCACTGCTTCGAAAAACAGTTTGATGTGGCTTATGGAGTAAAACACATACTCCATTTCGTCAATGCAATTCGCACATGTGGAAGTCTGAAATAATGATGTGTTTGTATTTCATAATCTATGTTGTGTCCTAGTTTTTCAGTGGAATATAAATAATGATGGTAACTTAGATTCAATGTGAACCTTGAGTAGGGGTACAAGTTCAAAATCTGTATAAAAAAATCTATATTAAAATGAGAGAAGAGGCTGGGCGTGGTGGCTCACGCCTGTAATCCCAGCACTTTGGGAGGCCAAGGCAGGAGGATTGCCGGAGGTCAGGAGTTTGAGACCAGCCTGACCGACATGGTGAAACCACATCTCTACTAAAAATACAAAGATTAACCGGGCGTGGTGGCGGGCACCTGTAATCCCAGCTACTCAGGAGGTTGAGGCAGGAGAATCGCTTCAACTGGGGAGGCAGAGATTGCAGTGAGCTGAGATTGCACCACTGCACTCCGGCCTGGGTGACAGAGCGAGACTCCGTCTCGAAAAAAAAAAAAAGAGAGAGAGACAGAAGAGAATTTTATTAGGAAATCTAGGCAATAAAACACAGAAATTTAACTCTGAGCGTCCTGGCTACCAAAGCAGGTAGGTCAGGATTTATTTATTTGATGGATGTTGCTTAAAGCCTCCTTGTGTCCTAGAGCAGTCAAATTCATAGAGACAGAAATTAGAATGGTGGTACAGTTTCGATTTTGCAAGGTTCAAAATATTCTGGATATGGCTGGTAGTGACGGTTGCACAATAGTGTGGATGTGAATGTACTTACTCCCGCTCAACTCTACACTTAAAAATGGGGCCAGGTGGGCCGGGCATGGTGGCTCATGCCTACAATCCAGCACTTTGGGAGGCTGAGTCAGGCAGATCAACTGAGGTCAGGAGTTCGAGACCAGCCTGGCCAACATGGTGAACCCCCTTCTCTACTAAAAATACAAAAAATTAGCCTGGCGTGGTGGTTCATGTCTGTAATCCCAGCTATTTGGGAGGCAGAGGCAGGAGAATCACTTGAACCCAGGAGGTGGAGGTTACAGTGAACTGAGATCATGCAATTGCACTGCATCCTGGGTGACAGAGTGAGACTCTGTCTCAAAAAAAAAAAAAAAAAAGAAAGAAAGAAAAGAAAAGAAAATTGGGGCCAAGTGCGGTGGCTTACACCTGTAATCCCAGCACTTTGGGAGGCTGAGACGGGCAGATCACTTGAGGTTAGGAGTTTGAGACCAGCCTGGCCAACATGGCAAAACTCTGTCTTTACCAAAACAAACAAACAAAAAAACAAAAGCCAGGTGTGGTGGCGTGCGCCTGTGGTCCCAGCTACTCAGGAGGCTGAGGTGGGAGAATCACTTGAGCCCGGGAGGCAGAACTTGCAGTGAGCTGGGATTGTGCCACTGCATTCCAGCCTGAGTGATGTAGTGAGACCTTGTCGCAAAACAAGCAAACAAACAAACAAACAAACAAAACAGCGATAGAAAAGAATGGCTATATAGATTAGCAATACAAACAATTTCTCAGATAGCTTCAATTTGTTAAACCTTTAATGTCAGTAATGTAAACAGAATAAACTTTTTAAAAGCCCATTATGTATCAATAGCTGAAGATAGAGAAGGAAACAAAACAAAGTCTCTGCTCTTACGGCCCTATTGTTTTATTGTGGGAGTGTTGGTGGAGACAATTTTTTTAAACATGTAAGTAAATAAAGAGAGAGAGAGAACTTAGAAATTTAGATACTGGTAGCGGCTATGAAGAAAATAAAATAGTTTGTTGAGACGGAGTCTTACTCTGTCACCCAGGCTGGAGTGCAGTGGCACAATCTCGGCTCACTGCAACCTCTGCCTCCAGAGTTCAAGTGATTCTCTCAGCTCCTGAATAGCTGAGAGTATAGGTGCCTGCCACCATGTCCAGCTGATTTTTGTATTTTTAGTAGAGATGTGATTCCTCCATGTTGGCCAGGCTGGTCTCAAACTCCTGACCTCAACAGATCCACCTGGCTTGGCCTCCCAAAGTGCTGGGATTACAGGCATAAACCACTGCACCCAGGCAGAAAGGATATTACAGGTACTTTAGACTAGAAGAGCGCTTGGCAAATGTTTTCTGTAAAGGACCAGGTAAATATTTTAGGCTTTGTAAGCCTACCATCTCTGCCTCAACTATTCAGCTCTGACACTGCAGCTTGAAGACAGCTGTAGACAATAGATGAATGAGCATGCCTGTGTCCCAGTAAAGCTTTACTAATGGATGCTGAAATTTGCATAATTTTCATGTGTCACCAAATAGGATTCTTCTTTTGATTTTCCTTTCAGCTATTAAAAAAGGTAAAAAGCAGGCAGGGTGCAGTGGCTCATGCTTGTAATCCCAGCACTTTGGGAGGCCCAGGCAGGAGGATTACTTGAAGCCAAAAGTTCAAGACCAGCCTGGGCAACATAGCAAGACCCCATTTCTTAAAAAATTTTTTAAAAAATAGCCGGTGTCCTGGTACATGCCTGTAGTCCCAGCTACCCTGGAGGCTGAGGGGGGGAGGATCCCTTGAACCTAGGAGTTTGAGACTGCAGTGAGCCGTGATGGAGCCACTGGACTCCAGCCTGGGTGACAGAGCGAGACCTTGTCTCTAAAAAAAAGTCCAAAATAATAAATGTAAAAACCACTTTTGGCTCATGGGCTGTATAAAAACAGGTGATGGGCTGAGTTTGCCCCATGGATTGTAGTTTGCCAACTCTTGGACTAAGGAATCAGGGAAGACCTCTCAAGTGGGTGACATTTGAATCAAGACCAAAATGAGGAGATGGAACCAGTCACGTAAGGCTCTGGAGAAAGGGCATCCCAGAGAGAAATCCCAGGAAATACAAAGGCCCTGAGATGGGAATGAGCTCGGTGTGGGGAAAACATAAGGAAAGCAGATGGGGCTGGAGGATGGGGAATGCCAATCAATCTTTTCCTGGAATTCAGCTCTGAGATTTGTGCATAATGAACATTAAACAACATCATAATCAAAGTCTCAAATGCATAGTAGAATTCCCTCTGCCTGGTGCATAATTGTGGTCTCCAGGAATCAGAGTCTCACACTGGGTAACCATGAGAAAGCCTCTCTACCTTCAGACTTCTCTGTCTTTATTGCCAGAGTTTAATTAGGCACAGACTTTCCTTCTAAAATTCTTATACGGTGCGCTTCATTATTAAACTACAGTGAGTTAAAATTAATTCTGTTTGGACTTAAATTGTTTTTTCATGAAGGCCCTTGAGGGAACTGGAAATACTTTGGCTGTTAAAAATATCCCAACCTTGCTGGCCAGGTGTGGTCGCTTACACCTCTAATCCTAGCATTTTGGAAGGCTGAGGAAGGAGGATTGCTTGAGGCCAGGAGTTCAAGGCCAGCCTGGGCAATGTAGTGAGACCCCCCCCCCCCATACAAAAAAATTAAAAGATTAGCCTGATGTGGTGATGTGTGCCTGTAGTCCTAGCTACTAGGGAGGCTGAGGCAGGAGTTTGAGGCTTCAGTGAGCTATGATCATCCAACTGCACTCCAGCCTGGACAACAGAGGAAGAAAAAAAAAAATCCCAAGCTTGGGGATGATTGATCTACAGAAATACAGTTTATGCTTAGTAATAAGTTAAAAAATAAACAACTAAGCTTGGTTCTTTGTGAATGTGTGGTTCTAGCCTCAAAAGTTTCCAGCCCTCTATATAGGCAAGGCAAATGTCCAGGGTCCCCATCTAGAGGATCGTAGGAGTCTGCCTGTGTCACCCCAACATCTTTGATTCCTGGTTTGGGAGAGGCACTCCATATTTTCTTGTGAATCAGTCTATATAAAAGTTGATTTCTCCATCTTGTTTTGGCATCTGTCATTGCCCACGGCTTCTGCAAATAGCTCTTGATGTTAGAGTCACTGCACCCTGTAAATGCTCCCCACTTCCTTCATTTTCCCCAAATGCCTCCAATACAATATCGTGTGTAAATGTCTTTTGCTAAAGAGCTGGGGAGCATTGGCAGCCACTTCCAGCTCAGTGAAACTTGAAGTCTGATCCTAGACTTGAGATATATATATATATATATATATATATTTTTTTTTTTTTTTTTTTCTGAGATGGAGTCTGGCTCTGTCACTCAGGCTGGAGTGCAGTGGTATGATCTCAGCTCACTGCAACTTCTGCCTCCCGGGTTCAAGTGATTCTCCTGCCTCAGCTTCCTGAGTAGCTGGGACTACAGGCGTGCGCTACCACGCCTGGCTAATTTTTGTAGTTTTATTAGAGATGGGGTTTCGCCATGTTGACCAGTATGCTCTCGATCTCCTGACCTTGTGATCCACCTGCCTCGGCCTCCCAAAGTTCTGGGATTACAGGCTTGAGCCACCGCACCTGGCTGACTTGATGGTTTTTAAAATTCCACTGACATCTCAGTGATGGGGAATTTCAAAAGCCAGAACGGGGTGTCAGAGAGAGTCCTCTGGGAATTCAGTGGAGGGAGAAAGTACTTCTCGTGAAGGAGATAAGAGAAGGCTTTAAGGGAGAGGAAAATTTGAGCTTGATCTTAAAGTAGGATTTGGATGCAGAAGGGGTAAGGAAAAGCATTGTAGGTGGTGAGCAGGGCCAAGGCCAGCCAAGATTTGGAGAATGTTTTGGGGAGGTACAAGTAGTTTGCTTTGGTTCAAGTATAGTAACATGGTGATAATCAGTGAGGATGATCCTTACTAGTGGTAGTGATGCAAGACAGTCAAACATATTTCATGTTGCCAGATTATTATCATTATTATTATTATTAGACAGAGTCTCGCTCTGTCACCTAGGCTGGAATGCAGTGATGTGATCCCGGCTCACTGCCACCTCCACCTCCCGGGCTCAAGAGATTCTCCTGCCTCAGCCTCCCAAGTAGCTGGGATTACACCTGGCTAATTTTTCTTTGTATTTTTAGTAGAGACGGGATTTCGTGATTACAGGTGTGAGCCACCACATCTGGCCTCATGTTTCCAGATTATTTAGTAACCAATCGAATGAAAAAATAAAACTACATTTTGTGGGTTTTAAGTATTAAAAATAACCTGCATTTCTTATTTATTTATTTATTTTTAATTATTATTACTTTTTTAAAGAGACAGGGTCTCACTCTGTTGCCCAGGCTGGAGTGCAGTAGAGTGAGCTGTAGCCTCAAATTCCTGGTTTCAAGCAATCCTCCCTTCTCAGTTTCCTGAGTAGCTGGGACTACAGCTGGCTTTTTTTTTTTTTTTTTTTTTTTTGTAGCGATGAGGGTCTTGATATATTGCTCAGGCTGGTCTCAAACTCCTGGCCTCAAGCAATCCTCCTGCCTCAGCCTCCCAAAATGCTGAGATTACAGGTGCCTGGCCAGAAAGAATAATCTGTATTTCTAACAAGTGGCCAGGTGACACAGATGTTGCAATTCCAAAGACCACACTATTGAGTAACAAGGTCTGAGGTGGTGCGAATCTGTGTTCACATCCTACGTGTGATCTCACAGGTAGGCCCTACGTATATGATTGTTGAATGAGTTAATAACAAATTAATGTGGCTGGGCATGGTGGCTCATGCCTGTAATCCCAGCACTTGGGGAGGCAAGAGGCGGGCAGATCACCTGAGGTCAGGAGTTTGAGACCAGCCTGACCAACATGGTGAAACTCTGTCTCTACTAAAAATACAAAAATTAGCTGGGCATGGTGGTGGGTGCCTGTAATCCCAGCTACTTGGGAGACTGAGGCAGGAGAATCGCTTGAACCGGCAGGCGGAGGTTGAGATGAGCTGAGATCACACCACTGCACTCCAACCTAGGCAACAGAGTGAGATTCTGTCTCAAAAAACCCCGAAAAACAAAATAACGAATTAATGAATGCAAGAAGTAGGTCTTGACAGCAAAGATGCTGTTGACTATCACATACCAGTGTAAAGGCTTTTATTTATGTATGTACTCATTTATTCATTTCTTTATTTTTTGTAGATGACTCTGCTTCATGGGTCAGTGCGGAACACTTATGGGTTTTGGGCAGATACATGGTTCACCTATCGTTTGAAGAAATTACGAAAATTAGTCCTATAGAAGTAAGTTGGAAAAGTACATTTATATGTCACCATTACTAATACACTTGGGGTAAGGTGTATTCTCAAACTCTAATGTTCATCCAGCCAGTCAAGGTGCCTTGGAAATTGTGTACCCTCCTCAGCCCAATAGACCTTGGGCCTCTGAAGAAAACTATTGGAAGAAAGTTTCAAGTGGGCAGTCATGGGATTGTTTTAGTGTGGAAGGGCTAAGAAAAGAAAAAGAATTGTGGACAACTAAGATCACATCTCTGATGTGAGCAAACATGATTTAAAGGGATTGTTGGCTATGAACCAAAAATCATTTAAGGGTATTTTTGTACTGGAGAAGGCCAAGGACAAAAGATATAAAGTTTCCCATCCTTGGGATCATGAACTCAAAGCAAAAGCAAAATGGATTAATAGCTACTTCTATTTATAGCTACTTCTGTTAATAGCTACTTGAGCATGAGCAATGGTTAGATTTTAATTCTAGAGTTTACAGTGGAGAAATACACACATTCTAGGATTACTTAACTCACTAGTCAACCTGTCCCTCTCCTTTTGATGTTGACCCAATGACACTAAAATCCCTTGGGCATCATGATTCTTGAATGCGGTCTCCAAAGAATGCTGCCAACACAAAGGGATTCATGAAGAGACTGTGGGCCTTGCTTCCAATTTTTCTTCTTCTTCTTCTTCTTTTTTAAGTCATATGTGCCCTGACTCTTCTGGCCAGTGAGAGAAGTGTTTGCATCAAATGACTGGCCTGTTCAAGGACCCATTGACCCAGCAATGTGTGGTTATTATGAAACCAGAGGCAGAACGAGCTTTCTCTCTTTTACCTAGGGGGCTGGGAGTATTTCAAGTGTCTTCCGATTTTTATAACCCGCAGTCCTAGAATTAACCCCGCACCCCACTGCCATTTACTCTCTCAATGTAGAGTTGCTTTGAGTAGGTAACAGCTTAAATTCTTAGAAAGCTGAGCCCCCTAGAGGAAATTTCTAAGGTCAAGCACTCATTTGCAACTTTTTATTCGCTAAAAATGTAGAGAAGGGAGAAGTCAAGAATAACACTGCTAAAAGGGAATTTTATTTTATTTTATTTGTTTATTTATGAAATGGAGTCTCGTTCTGTCGTCCAGGCTAAAGTGCAGTGGCGTGATCTCAGCTCACTGCAACCTCCTTCTCCCAGATTCAATTGATTCTCCTGCCTCAGCCTCTTGAGTAGCTGGGATTACAGGCACATGCCACCATGCCTGGCTAATTTTTATATTTTTAGCAGAGACGAGGTTTCACCATGTTGGCCAGGCTGGTCTTGAACTCTTGACCTCAGGTGATCTGCCTTGCCTCAGCCTCCCAAAGTGCTGGTATTACAGGTGTGAGACACCGCACCCAGCCTAAAAAGGAATTTTATATGGACAAAGAGTACGATCCACAAAGGAGAGACAACTTTATGAGCCCCTTTGAGCACAGCATAATACTGTCTCAAAATATAGAATGTGCCGGCTGCCGTGGCCCATGCCAGTAATCCCAGCACTTTGGGAGGCCAAGGCGGGAGGATCACTTGAGCCCAGAAGTGCAAGACCAGCCTGGGCAACATAGTGAAACCTCATCTCTACAAAAAAATTTAAAAATTAGCCAGGTGTAGTGGTGTGTGCCTGAGGTCTCAGCTACTTGGGAGGCTGAGGTGGGAGGATCACTTGAGCCCAGGAGGTCGAGGCTGCAATAAGCCATGATCACACCACTGCACCCAAGCCTGGGTAAAAGAGTGAGACTGTGTCTTGGCCGGGCGCAGTGGCTCACGCCTCTACTCCCAGCACTTTGGGAGGCTGAGGCGGGTGGATCATGTGAGGTCAGGTGTTCAAGACCAGCCTGGCCAACATGGCGAAACCCCGTCTCTACTAAAAATACAAAAATTAGCCGGGCATGTTTGCACATGCCTGTAATCCCAGCTACTCAGGAGGCTGAGGCAGGAGTATCACTTGAACCCGGGAGGCTGAAGTTGCAGTGAGCTGAGATTGTGCCACTGCACTCCAGCCTGGGTGACAGAGCGAGACTCCATCTCAAAAAAATAAAAATAAAAATAAAAATAAAAACAAAAATAAAATAAAAAGAGTGAGTCAGTGTCCCCCCAAAATTATATATATAATTTATAATCTGCTAGAAATACAAGGAAGAATAGATAGATATGAGTCCTGTAGTAGTAGAAGACTTGCACGTGGCACCCTTGGACATGTGGGCCAAAAAGGAACAAGAATGTTGGGAATCTGAATAGTATATTTAATAAGTTGAATATATATGCACCAAACTTTGTGTCTTACAAAGAGAACACATACTCTTTTCCATCACCCAAGGGCCATTTATAAACTCATTCATCTATTAAAAAAATTCTGATTCTTCAAAGCAGAAAGTTTGTGGACCACATTCTCTGACCTCCATATAACAAATCTAGAAATAAATGTGCAAAGATTAGCTTTTAAAAAGCCCAGTTTCTCAGATATTAAAAAATAATTCTTTCCTAAAGAATAGTTAGGTTGAGGAGGAAACTAAAGTAGCAGTTACAGACCACTAAGAAATCAATGACAATGAGGCCAGGCATGGTGGCTTACGCCTGTAATCCCAGCACTTTGGGAGGCCGAGGCGGGTGGATCACTTGATGCTGGGAGTTCGAGACCAGCCTGGACAACATGGTGAATCCCCATATCTACTAAAAATACAAATATTAGCCAAGCGTGGTGGTGGGCACCTGTAGTCCCAGCTACTCCGGAGGCTGAGGCAGGAGAATTGCTTGAACTCAGGAGGTGGAGGTTGCAGTGAACTGAGATCATGTCACTGCACTCCAGCCTGGGCGACAGAGTGAGACTCCATCTCAAAAAAAAAAAAAAAGAAAAGAAAAAAAGACATCAATGACAATGAGAACCAGGAGGTGTATCCAAGTGTCCATGATGGGGCACAGTGCAGACCACCAGGGTGGGGCCACACTGGGCCACTTCCACCCTCCTCACTGATATTCTCGTCCTTGTCCACCAACTAGATTGGGCTGTTTATCAGCTATGACAACGCCACCAAGCAGCTGGACATGGTCTATGACATCACACCTGAGCTGGCCCAGGCGTTTCTGGAGAGGATCAGCTCCTCCAACTTTAACATGAGGAATACCTCCACCATCCACAGGCAAGCGCATGAGCTCTGGGCCTTGGAGCCCTTTCCCAAGATGTGATCTAAGCATCAGAATTCTCTGAGCAGCAAAACACCCAGGGAGGGAAGGGAGGTGGCTGGTCCATCTCTTTGAATAGTCCCATATTTCTCTGTGCATGTGAGGAGAGGTGTCTGCAACTTTTTTTATGAAGAGGTTATGAAGCTGGGTGAAAGGATAAATGCTTTCTGAGCATCTCCTGTGTGCCAGGCATTTTATGCAACCTTATCAAGTGCTAATTCTGTCTCTCAGCACAGAAATGAAACATTTTAAATACTCAGGACTGGGTCCTGTTCCAAAGTGAATGTGTGATTTCCGTTTAAGTTGAGTCAAGTGTTGGAAATAACTCATGGGTCCCCATATATGAGAACCGCTTGTTATCAGACTCTTAGCTGGGGAGCCCCTGGATGAGATCAGCTCTAGAATTTAGTGACTGTAATGTGATCCTCCCTAAAACCATTCCCAGCAGGGGAGGAGGGACAGGAACTCTACATTCCAGGGGTGTCAGGAAGGGAGTGGGCAATGGGAAGGAGGTGGTGAGTACAGCTCAATACTCCCTCCTTTTCCTTTTATTTATTTATTTTTTTGAGACAGAGTCTTGTCCTGTCACCCAGGCTGGAGTGCAGTGATGTGACCTTGGCTCACTGCAACCTCCACCTCCTGGGTTCAAGCAATCCTCATGCCTCAGCCTCCAGAGTAGCTGGGACTACAGATGTGTGCCACCATGCCCAGCTAAATTTTTTGTATTTTCAGTAGAGATGGGGTTTTGCCATGTTGGTCAGGCTGGTCTCAAACTCCTGACCTCTTGAACTGCTGACCTCAGGTGGTCTGCCTGCCTTGGCCTCCCAAACTGCTGGGATTACAGGCATGAGCCACCACGCCTGGCCCATTCAATCCTGTTTTTTTTTTTTTTTTTTTTGAGACAGAGTCTCACTTTGTTGTCCAGGCTGGAGGGCAGTGGTGCAATACCAGCTCACTACAACCTCCACCTCCAGATTCAAGAGATCCTCCTGCCTCAGCCTCCCAAGTAGCTGGGATTACAGGCGTGTGCCACCACACCCAGCTAATTTTTGTATTTTTAGTGGAGACTGGGTTTCGCCATGTTGGCCAGGCTGGTCTCAAACTCCTGACCTCAAGTGATCCACCCATCTTGGACTTCCAAAGTGCTGAGATTACAGGCGTGAGCCACTGTGCTGGGCCATCATTCAATCCTCTTGTGTCCGTCTCTCAAGGTCTTATTATTGCCACACTGCTCCCATCCCATATTACCTTAAGGTTTTTCAAATGAGCCACTCTTAGGGAATGTACTCATAGGAAACAATTACATCTGTTTCACCTACCTTTAGTAATTTTCACTTATTAGCATGTGTCTCATTTTTCTATGGTTTCACACACACAAAAATAGCCTCATGATTAAGAACATGGGACCTCGAGCCAGACTTCGTGGCTTAATCCTTCCCTGCTGCTTACTAATGGTGTGATCTTTGCTATTTTTACATCACCTCTCTATACTTCCGCTTCCCCATCTGTAAAATGGGAGATAAAAATATGCCTACTGCATTAAGGTCTTTGTAGGGATTTGCACACTTGACACATAGTAAGTGCTCAATGAATAATATTTTTTCTTTTTATTTATTTATTTATTGAGACGGAGTCTCACTCTGTCGCCAGGCTGGAGTGCAGTAGCACAATCTCGGCTTACTGCAACCTCTGCCTCCTGGGTTCAAGTGATTCTCCTGCCTCAGCCTCCCAAGTAGCTGGGACTACAGGCACACGCCACCACGCCCAGCTAATTTCTGTATTTTTAGTAGAGACGGGGTTTCACCATGTTGGCCAGGATGGTCTTGATCTCTTGACCTTGTGATCCGCCCGCCTCGGCCTCCCAAAGTGCTGGGATTAGAGGCATGAACTACCACGCCAAGCCTATTTTTCTTTTATAATTTATTTTTTTAAATTGATAAATAAAAATTATATCTATGGTGTGCAACATGTTTTGAGATATATATTCATTGTGGAATGGCTAAATCAAGCTAATTAAGTTATCATTACCTCACATACTTTTTTTGCGGTGAGAACACTTAAAATCTACTCTTAGCAATTTTTGAGTATATGATACATTGTTATTAACTGTAGTCAGCATGTACAATAGATCTCCAGAACCTATTTTCCTATTTAACTGAAACATTGTGTCCTTTGTCCAAGTCTCTCCAACTCCCTTCCCACCTCCAGCCCCTGGTACCAACCATTCTAAGGCTCTGCTTCCATGAGTATGACGTTTGTTTATTTGTTTTTCAGATTCATAATATAAATGAGGTCATACAGTATTTGTCTTTCTGTGCCTAGCTTATTGCACTTAGCATAAGATCCTCCAAGTTCATCCATGGGGTCCCATATGATAGAATTTCCTTCTTTTTCAAAGCTGAAGAGCATTCCATTGTGTATCCACCAAATTAAAAAAAAAATCCATTCATCCACTGACGTGTTGGACACTTAGGATGATTCCATGTCTTGGCTGTTGTGAATAGTTATTCTCAACGTGGTTATTAACGTTCAGCCCTCACTTCCCCTGAGTCTTCTTTACTCGAAGTTAAGCAGATCTCTTTTCCTCATGAGACACACTTTCAAATCTTTTCCCTGGACCTGGCAGCTCTCCTGTGGGCATGTCTGAATATGTCAATATCGCTCTGAGAGGGTGGAGCCAGGCTGACTGTGGTCAACTAGGTAGTCTTCATTCTAACTCTAAGAGCATTCATTAATGAATGAGTGCTTGGTTTCCACCAGGATGTATGCAAATCAGTTGGTATACCACTTCTCATTTAACTTTCACAATCATCCTCTTTCTTTCACTCATGTTTATTATGATGTGCTACGATGAACAAAGAAAACCTCCCATTTATTAGAGGCTCAGAGAGGGAGAGGCACCCTGTCTCTGTACAGTATGGGAGTACAGAGTGTGCACTGCAGAACTGTGTATAGCGGCCTCACAGAGAAGTTAAGTAACTTGGTGGAGAGCAAACATCTCACAGAGCTGGGCTTCAAACTGCAGTAGGCCTGAATCAATGCTCTTAATGATTAGAAACATTGCTCTCAGTTATACCAGGGTTCCAATCTCACTTCTGCCCTTCCATTGTTTTCCTCCAGTCTTTTTTGTTTTCCTTCTGAAATCTTTGCATCATCTGGGTGGGTACCAGAAGGCATCCTAGAAACAGATCTCTGCCTCAGAGAATCCCTCAGGGTGAGATCAGCTCTAGAATTTAGTGATTGTAATGTGGAAAATGGGGAGTTTTCTGTGGCTACCGGCACCTTTCTTTCCTTATTCCCTTTATTCATCCCAGGTGGAGAGATGGCATAGGTGGATGGATCTACATTTAAGTCCCAGCTCCACCGACTTGCCTTGGACAAATCAAATCTCAGTTTCCCCATCTGTGAAATGGGGCTAATGAGAGCACCTGCCTTGTAGGGTTGCTGTAATGAGATAATGCAGGTAAACGGCTCAGTGCAAGACCTGATAAGTGGTAGCTGCTATTAATATAATCAAGACCCCATTGGTTTGGACTGGGGAGGGGGTGTCGTGTCCACCAGCTCTCAGCGCTCTGTTATGGAACCAAACTGGGTCTGTTTGCCCATGCGCAATGGAAAACCAAACACTGAAGCACTAGGTTTTTGTAGAGAGAAACGGTTACTGTGAATCAACTGCCAAGGAGACAGAAGACAGTGCTCAAATCTGTGTCTCTGAGCTGGGGACTGGGGCAGGTTTTATAGGCGGAGGGTAATGAGACTTGATCTGATTGGGTCTTGCTACAAGGTGATGCTGGGAGGTGTGATCTGATTGGATCATGCCATGAGGTGATGCCAGGACTCATTCTGATTGGATCGTGGACCATGCCATGTGGTGTCCACTTCATAATTCAGCCCCCATTCCTTGGTCTCGTCTGAGCAGTTAGGTTCCGCCTGTGGTTGCACATTTGGTTCATCTGAGGATGTTCAGGTTATGTGACCTTCAACCTGGGAGTCCGTGGCAACTGAAAAACAACTCACCATTTTATTACACAAAATTGAACCAGAATGGGCTGGTTCTGCGGTTACACCTCCACCACCATCCCTCCTCTTCTCACACAGGCTGGGGCTGCTGGTTTGTTTCTACAATGACCTGGAATTGCTGGATGCCACTGTGGCTCAAGTCCTGCTTTACCAGATGATCAAGTGCAGCCACCTGAGGGGCTTCCAGGCTGGCGTCCAGAAGGTACAGCTGGGGTGCAAGGCCCTGAGGCCTCTGCCTCAGTGTCACTAGCCAGAGAAATGGGGAGAACAGCCTAGCTTAGCCTTTGGGAGAAAACACACAGCATTAGTCGGGATTTAAGTCCAGTCACAGCAGATGGCATCTCAAATACTGAGGTAAGTGTAACATCGAAGCCCAGACAGAAAATAGCAAAGGAACAGACCCTGGGGAGATCAAAATTTAATCAGAAAGCTGTCTCAGCCAGGCGCGGTGGCTCATGCCTGTAATCCCAGCACTTTGGGAGGCCAAGATGGGAGGATCATTTGAGGCCAGGAGTTTGATACCAGCCTGGTCAACATCATGAGACCCTTGTCTCTGCAAAAAATACAAAAAAATGGCTGGGCACGGTGGTTCACACCTGTAATCCCAGCACTTTGGGAGGCCAAGGCAGGCAGATCACCTGAGGTCAGTTTGAGACCAGCATGGCCAACATGGTAAAACCCTGTCTCTACTAAAAATACAAAAACAGGCGTGGTGGCATGCGCCTGTAATCCCAGCTACTCAGGAGGCTGAGGCAGGAGAATTGCTTGAGCCTGGGAGGCAGAGGTTGTGGCGAGCTGAGATCGTGCCACTGCACTCCAGCCTGGGTGACAGAGTGAGACTCTGTCTCAAAAGAAAAAAAAAAAAGCCATGTGCCTATAGTGCCAGCTACTTGGGAGGCTGAGGTAGGAGGATCGCTTGAGCCCAGGAGTGCCAGCCTGCAGTGAGCTATGATAGTGACTTTGCACTCTAGTTGGATGACAGAGCAAGACCCTATCTAAAAAAAAGAACAGAAAAGAAAAGAAAGGGACAGCTACTTCGAACTTAAATATGCATACAGATCACCTGGGGATCTTAAATGCAGATTCTGATTCAGGAGCTCTTGGTTGAGGCCCAGGACTCCCATCTTCCTCTTCTTCCTCCTTCTTCCCTTGGCCTCCCAAAGTGTTTGGATTACAGGTGTGAGCCATTGCGCCCAGCTGACGCTGCACTTCCAACAAGCTTCCAGGTGATTCTGGAACCGCTGCTCTGGTGAGCACACCTGGAGCGGCAGGAGATAAAGCAGTGGTTCTCAAACCTGCCTCTAGATTAGTAACATCCCTGCCAGGTGCCACCCTCAGAGAATCTGATGTTATTGTTCTGGGGTGTGGCCTGAGGTATGGCCTGATTTTAATGCTTCTCAGGTGATTTCAATGCAGCCAGGATTGAGAACACTGGATTGCAGGGTGGTTATGAGTTCCCAAGACCAGATGAGCAAACACGCTCTCTCTCATTTTCCTTCCTCTCCATCTCTCTCTTCTTCCTTCCAGTCAAGTCTCAATTCTACCCCCTTCCATTCCACTTTTTGTGGCCCTTTTCAATTTGCTTAAAATCGAAACGATGACATGAAAATAATATTAAATGAAATTTTGATAAAGCCATCAATAATTTCACAGCAGTTTCCCACACATCACCATAAAGTCCCCAAACACATTTGACATTTGAGAGTGTGGTCATCTATTTTGGTCAGCGCATCTTTTTTTTTTTTTTTATAAGATTCATTTTTTTTTTTTTTTGAGTTTCATTCTGTCACCCAGGCTGGAATGCAGTGGCATAATCTCAGCTCACTGCAACCTCCACCTTCCGGGTTCAAGTGGCACAATTTCAGCTCATTGCAACCTTCGCCTTGCCTCAGCCTCTGGAGTAGCTGGGACTACAGGTGCATGCCACCATGCCCGGCTAATTTTTTGTGTTTTTAGTAGAGATGGGGTTTTACCATGTTGACTAGGCTGGTCTTGAACTCCTGACCTCAAGTGATCCACCTGCCTTGGCCTCCCAAAGTACTGGGATTACAGGCGTCAGCCACCGAGCCTAGCCTGTGAATGCATATTTTTGTTTCCAAGGAAAAGAATCCGTCCTAAGCAAGCTCAAGCAAAAATAAGAAGATAAATGTATTTTAAGGCCCAGGGGTCTCAACATGTGGCAGCCCTGACCAAGGAGAAGGTGGCATGCAATTAGATACGAGGGAGCCCTTTGGGATCATCTAGCTCAGTTGTTCTCAAACTGGAGGGTGCATCTAAATCACAGGGAGGGCCTGTTCAAATACAGCTTGTGGCAGCGCTCCAGTTTTGTGGAAGACAATTTTTTGGCATCAGGGACCGGTTTTGTGGAAGACAATTTTTTTCCGTGGACTGGGGCCGGGGGATTGTTTCAGGATGATTCAAGTGCATGACATTTATTGTGCTCTTCCTTCCTTCCCTCCCTTCCTCCCTCCCTCCCTCCCTCCCTACCTTCCTTCTCCTTCCTTTTCTTTCTTTCTTTCTTTCTTTCTTTCTTTCTTTCTTTCTTTCTTTCTTTCTTTCTTTCTTTCTCTTTCTTTCTCTTTCTGTCTCTCTCTTTCTTTCTTCCCTCCTTCCTTCCTTTCTTTCTTCTCTTTCTCACTCTCTCTCTTTCTTTCTTTCCTCCTTCCCTCCCTCCCTCCCCCTCCCCCCCCCATCCCTTTCCCCTTCCCCTCTCCTCTCCTTTCTTGATGGAGTGTCGCTCTGTTGCCAGGCTGGAGTGCGGTAGCACGATCTTGGCTCACTGCAACCTCTGCCTCCCAGGTTCAAGCAATTCTCTGCCTCAGCCTCCTGAGTAGCTGGGACTACAGGTGCACGCCACCACGCCCAGCTATTTATTGTATTTGTAGTAGAGACGGGGTTTCACCATGTGGCCAGGATGATCTCATTCTCTTAACCTCGTGATCCGCCTGCCATGGCCTCTTAAAGTACTGGGACTACAGGCGTGAGCCACCACGCCCGGTCTGTGCACTTTATTTCTATTATTACATTGTAATATATAATGAAATAACTATAGAACTCACCATAATGTGAAATCAGTGGGAGCTCTGAGCTTGTTTTCCTGCAACTAGACGGTCCCATCTGGGGGTGATGAGAGACAGTGACAGATCATCAGGCATTAGATTCTCATAAAGAGCGCACAGACTAGGTCCCTTGCATGCACAGTGCACAATAGGGTTTGCTCTTAGGAGAATCTAATGCCGCTTCTGATCTGGCAGGAGGCAGAGCTCAGGCGGTAATGCTCACTGGCCTGCTGCTCACCTCCTGCTGTGGCTGGTTCCTAACAGGCCAGGGTCCCGGTGGTCCCCATCTGTGACCCGGAGTCTGGGGATCCCTGGATTTCGGAGCCCCACCCAGTCTCTGATTCAGGAGGTCCGGGAGCAGCCTGGCAATCTGCGTTTCTAACAAGTTCCCAGGTGTTGCAGATGCCGCTGGGTGTGCTCCACACTTTGGGAGCTGCCACTGTAGTCCACCCCTTCGTTTTACAGATGTGGAAACTGATTTCTAGGTAAGGCAGTTGCCGAACTTAGAGAACCCAGGCGCTTTGACAGTTGTTTCTTCTACTTCACTCTGCTGCCCCCCAGTGGCTATTTCAATATTGCCAGAAACCCGTTTTGTGCACCTGCCTGAAATGACTACGTTATTACGTAAATTCGGGTGTTAAAATATGAACCATTCTTGTTTTTTGTTACAGAGCTCATTGTATAGTAGGTGACTTTATCACATTCCTTACCGAAAGCAGCTGTAACGCACACTTTACTATCATTAGGCAGGCATATTGCAATAAAATAATTATTAAAATGATCATAGAAATGTGCAAAGAGGTGCAAGAGATAATTTTAAGAAGAGTAAATTGTGCTTCTGTTCATATTACAACTCTGTAAAAACTATGTAGTGTCTCTATATTTATAAAGGTATAAGAAATCTTGGAAGCATATACACCCAATTGCTAATCATGGTTATTTTTATGTGGTAGGATGTTCAGGAGACTTTTACTTTCTTGTACTGTGAAGAGTTATTTTTGGCTGGATGTGGTGGCTCATGCCTCTAATCCCAGCACTTTGGGAGGCTGAGGCATGTGGATTACATTAGGTCAGGAGTTTGAGACCAGCCTGGCCAACATGGTGAAACCCTGTCTCTACTAAAAATACAAACATTAGTGTGGTGGTGGGTGCCTGTAATCCCAGCTACTCAGAAGACTGAGGCAGGAGAATCGCTTGAACCCGGAAGGTGGAGGTTGCAGTGTTGCAGTGAGCCAAGACCACACCATTATACTCCAGCCTGGGTGACAAGAGCAAAACTCTGTCTTAAGAAAAAAAAAAAAGTTATTTTTACACAGATTATAAATTATCGTGAAAAGGCCCCTGGCTATTTAATGAAAGGAAAACAGCCTGTATATATGGATATAGAGTTCAAGGTCACCAGAGGACAACAGATGCTATAAGAGTGTGGTGTAGTTATAAAAGGAACATTTCTTTCTGACATGGATTAAGGTTGATTTAATAACAAATTAATATTTAAATGAAGTACAAAGGGAATTTTTGGCACATGAAAGCTAAGGCCAGAAGAGGTGTCCTCCGTGTGGTGTCTCACTGTCTGGGCATGGCAGGAGTCCCTTTCCTTCATCGTTTCTGAGCCCAAAAGCTTTGATGGAACAGGGTCAAGGGAGGTGCTGTGGAGTCCTAATAGCCCTGGATATGGTCAGAGGGAGCCACCGCCCTGCTTCCTGTCAACACTCATTCCAGTTTGCTCTCCTTCCAGCTCAAAGCAGAACTCCTGGACATTGCCATGGAGAACCAGACCCTCAATGAGACCCTGGGTTCTTTGTCGGATGCAGTTGTAGGTTTGACCTACAGCCAACTGGAATCCCTCTCCCCCGAGGCTGTGCACGGAGCCATCTCCACCCTCAACCAGGTCTCAGGTTGGGCCAAGAGCCAGGTCATCATCTTGTCTGCCAAATACTTGGCCCATGAGAAGGTCAGCTGGAGTTTTAAACTCTTTTTTATTCCCCTAAGATGACCTAAGTGTATTAGACCTGCCAGGCTGCCATAAAAATATACTGTAGATTGAGTGACGTAAACAACATAAATTTATTTCTCACAGTTCTGGAGACTGGGAAGTCCAACATCGAGGTGTCAGAAAGGTAGGTTTCATTCTGAGGCCTCTTCTCTTGGCCTGTAGGTGGCCGCCATCTTGCTGTGTGCTCACCTGACCACATGAGAGCAAGCTCTCTGGTGTTGCGTCTTACAAGGAAACTAATCCCATTGGATCAGGGCCCCACCTGACCCTCATTATCTCATGACCTCATCTAACCCTTAAAGGCCTCTTAAAGGTCTCACCTCCCAATGCCATCACATTAGGGGTTAGGACTTTGACATATGAATTCTTGGGAGACACAAATATTTAATCCATAACAATCAGTTATACACACACAGCAGGGGGCAACCAATCAGTAAGAAGATGATGCTGAGGAGGACTGCCTGGGTTCAAATCCTTGCTCTGCCATTTACTAGCTGTGTGACACTAGGCAATTTGCTATTTTCACTTTGACTCAGTTTCTCTATTTGTAATATGTGGACAACAATAGCACTTACTGCCGGGCAAGGTGGCTCACACCTGCAATCCCAGCACTTTGGAAGGCTGAGGTGGGAGGATCACCTGACGCCAGGAGTTTGGGACCAGCCTGATCAACATGGTGAAATCCCGTCTCTACTAAAAATACAAAAATTAGCTGGGCGTGGTGGTGCATGCCTGTACTTCCAGCTACTTGGGAGGCTGAGGCAGGAGGATGGCTTGAACCTGGGAGGCAGAGGTTGCAGTGAGCAGAGATTGTGCCACCACACTCCAGCCTGGGCGACAGAGCAAGACTCCATTTCAAAAAAAATTAAACAACAACAACAACAAATCAGTAGCACTTATCCTGTAGCATTGCTGCGAATATTATGTGAGTTGGTACACATGAAGAAGCTAGACCACCAGGTGACACCACAGAGTAGGAGCTCAAGGGGCATTAGCCATCCCTGAGTGGGATCAACGTGTGGGACTCATCCCAGGATTTTCCTGCCTGCTGTTAAGCTGCTATTAGGTTGATGCAAAAAGTAATTGCGGTTTTTGCCATTACTTTGGGATTAGGGATGATGCTATTTTATTCCAATCTTGGGCTGCAGAGAGGGAACTGTCAGGCAGACAGTCCTCTTTGGTGGGGACAGGAGTCTTAATCTGTGTTCTTGCTGCTCCTGGGGTGGAAAATGGACATTCTTTTGGGGACAATTAATGTCCCTGGGTTGGGTCCAGTCCAGAGGGCTCCAAATCTGGGAGACTTGAGTTCTAAGCATTTTGGTGTCATCTAATTTTTTTTTTGATACGGAGTCTTGCCCTTGTCGCCCATGCTGGAATGCAATGGCACAACCTCAGCTCATTGCAACCTCCGCCTCCGGGTTCAAGCAATTCTCCTGCCTCAGCCTTCCGAGTAGCTGGGATTATAGGCACCCACCACCACACCCAGCGAATTTTTGTGTTTTTAGTAGAGACGAGGTTTCGCCATGTTGGCCAGGCTGGTCTCGAACTCCAGACCTTGTAATCCGCCTGCCTCAGCCTCCCAAAGTGCTGGGATTACAGGCATTAGCCACCGTGCCTGGCTTTTGGTGTCCTTCTCGTTTAGTCCACACTCCTGGCCACTTCCCAGGATGCAAACTGGCTCACAAGGATTGGATTAGGACCCATTCCAATCAAATAATAATAACAAACATTTGTTTATTTTTGGCTTCTGGATATTAATTTTAATTACTTTGAAACAACATAATTTACTACCAGATGTTTAACAAGCACCCATTATAATTGCTAAACTGTGAATTTAGTTTTAACTGTGTCTGACCAACTATACAAAACTCATCAATTTTTATTTTGACAAAAGGTAGTAGGCTGGGCATGGTGGCTTATGCCTGTAATCCCAGCACTTTGGGAGGCCAAGATGAATGGATCACTTGAGGCTAGGGGTTTGAGACCAGCTGGACAACATGGTGAAACCCTGTCTCTACTAAAAATAGAAAAATTAGCTGGCCATGATGGTGCACACCCGTAATTTCAGCTACTTGGAAGGCCGAAGCAGAAGAATTACTTGAACCCAGGAGGCAGAGGAGGTTGCAGTGAGCCGAGATCATGCCACTGTACTCCAGACTGGGCTGAGCTACAGAGCAAGACTCTGTCTTAAAAAAAAAAAAGAAAAAAGTAGTAGGAATCCCAAAGAATAAAGGAGAGACTACTCCTTAAAGGTCATGTTTACTAACCTAGCACCGTAATTCTAGTGTTAGTACCTCCCATGCAGCTTGAAGGAGGATATGGGAAGAGGTGAAGATGTTGAAAATGTAAGGGGCCCCATTTTGCTTGTTCTAAAGCAAAATACCACAGTGTCTCACAAGGAAGAAAATCACTAGGCCAGGCACGATGGCTCACGCCTGTAATCCCAGCACTTTGGGAGGCCGAGACAGGCAGATCACGAGGTCAGGAGATCAAGACCATCCTGGCTAACACGGTGAAACCATGTCTCTACTAAAAATAAAAAAAAAAAAATTAGCTGGGCATGGTGGCGGGTGCCTGTAGTCCCAGCTACTCGGGAGGCTGAGGCAGGAGAATGGCGTGAACCTGGGAGGCGGTGCTTGCAGTGAGCCGAGATCGCATCACTGAGGTTGGAAATGAAAACAAAAGCTTTTGATTCAGGTGGTAAAATGAAAACAAAAGCTTTTGATTCAGGCGGTAAAGGGGTTTAAGAGTTATAGAGTAGAATCCATGCATCCAGAAGGCAGTGCTGGAGTCGGCCTCAGGAACTGGGGGGTTTCTTCTTCTTTTTTTGTTTTTTGAGACAGGTTCTCACTATGTTGCCCAGGCTGGAGTGAAGTGATCTGATCTTGGCTCACTTCAGCCTTGACCCCCCAGGCTCAGGTGATCCTCCCACCTCAGCCTCCTGAGTAGCTGGGACCACAGGCACATGCCACTACGCCGGGCTGATTTTTGTATTTTTTTGTAGAGATGGGATTTTGCAATGTTGCCCAGGCAGATCTCAAACTCCTGGGCTCAAGCAATCTACTCGCCTTGGCCTCCCAAAGAGAAGGAGTAGGGAATTTCTTCTTGGCATCCAAGTCTTTTTAAATTTCTTCAAGTTTTTAAAGCTGGGTTTGGTATGTCATGGTTCTGAGCCAGATATATTCCAACCACATTCCCCAAAGTAAATCCAAGTGGGAACTGGAGCAGGATGTCGGTAGAGAGGGCGAGGGAGGGATGAAGGGCAGCTGCAGCTCCGAGGGCTGGTCCTAGCCTGCTTCCTCCATCGCGGGGCCAAGGGAGGGAGGGTGTGGAATAACAAACATTTACTGAACACTTACTATGTGCCAGGTTGTGTTCTAAGTGAATTAATAACTTAATCCAACAATCCTCTGAAGTCAGTAGTGCTGTAGTCTTCATTTTCCAGTTCATTCTTGTGAGGTACAGAGTGTGTAAGGGAACTGGAAAAGGCCACGTGAAAGTTACGCAGCTGGGATTGAACCCAGGGCACCTGGCCTCAGAGCCATCTTGTTTAACTCCTGTGCTCACTGTCTCCATTATGGCACCATGACCAATGCCCACGCACTCCCACTTTCTGACTCAGGTACCAGGCCAGCCCATTCATCTGGTCTCTTCTAGCCTCGTGGTGACTTTATGTTGAAGGCTTTGAATCCTTGTTTCTGGACCTTGACTGGGGCTCCATGGGTCCACCTTGACAGTCCTCTCTGAATTTGATTTTAGGGAGTTGAGGGAGACGGTTTTGTTCCCTCCCAGCCCAGGACAAAGTGGTTTGTCTCTTTCCTAATACCCAACTCTTCCTACTGAGGGGTGAGGCCACTTTTACTCAGAAGGCAAGAGGTCAAAAGGTCTTGCCTTCTTTGAAGACAGCATGAGATCACCCATTATACACAGAATAACTAAAGGAACCCACTCAGCTGTCTTTTCATAGAACCAAAGCATGTCCTTGATTATATGGAAAACTATCTAGCATCTTCACTCTAAAGGAAGGAAAAAAAACCCAAGTATAATTTCTTTCTTTCTTTCTCTTTCTTTCTCTCTCTCTCTTTCTTTCTTTCCTTTCTTTCTTTTTTCTTTCTTTCTTTCTTTCTTTCCTCCTTCCTTTCTTTCTTTTCCTTTCTTCCTTCCTTCCTTCCTTCCTTCCTTCCTTCCTTTCTTTCTTTCTTTCTTTCCTTCTCTCTTTCTTTCTCTCTCTTTCTCTCTTTCTCTCTTTCTTTCTCTTTCTTTCTCTTTCTTTCTTTCCTTTCTTTCTCTCTTTCTTTCTTTCTCTCTCTCTCTCTTCTTTCTTTCTTTCTTTCCTCTCCCTCTCTCTCTCTCTCTTTCTTTCTTTCTTTCTTTCTTTTCTTTCTGACAGAGTTTTGCTCTTGTTGCCCAGTCTGGAGTGCAATGGTACAATCTCAGCTCACTGCAACCTCTGCCTCCTGGGTTCAAGCAATTCTCCTGCCTCAGCCTCCCAAGTAGCTGGGATTACAGGAACCTGCTACCATGCCTGGCTAATTTTTGTATTTTTAGTAGAGATGGGGTTGCACCATGTTGGCCAGGTGGTCTCGAACTCTTGACCTCAGGTGATCCACCCGCCTGGCCTCTCAAAGTGCTGGGATTACAGGCGTGAGCCACCATGCCTGGCCAACTCTCTTTCTTGATAGAAGGAAGGAAGGCCTGTGGAGGCAGCATCTGTCTGGCTCACTGCTGTGCCCCTAAGGTGTCACCCATCCCTATACTTGGCACATAGATGGGCTGAGTGCACGTTGGAGAGGTGAAAGGCGGGAGCAGAGCCTGACTGCGCAGCCGCTCCTCTTCCAGGTGCTGTCTTTCTACAATGTCAGCCAGATGGGCGCACTGCTGGCTGGGGTCAGCACCCAGGCCTTCTGCAGCATGAAACGCAAGGACATCTCGCAGGTCCTGAGAAGTGCCGTCTCCCAGTATGTATCCGACTTGTCACCTGCCCAGCAGCAAGGTATCCTCAGCAAGGTGAGAGGAAGATGTCTGGTGCTCAGCCACATGTCACAGGGGGTATGTTTTTGGGGTTGGTGAGTGGGCTGTGACTTTGGGCCATGAACCCAGGGCTGGGATTGTCTCAGCTGTTGGTGTCTGGGGTGGCTCTGCCTTCTCCTGGTGGCACACCTTCCTTCCTTTCCAGACGGAGCCCTTCAGTCATGCTGTCATTCTTCCCAGACCCCTTTGTTCTGCCAGACAGTCTAATCTGGAAGACTTTTCTTAAATCAGGTTTCCTGATCTTATAACACTTCAGGTTCAAGTTTGTTTTTTTTTTTTGAGACAGTCTTTCTGTGTTGCCCAGGCTGGAGTACAGTGGTATGATCATAGCTCACCACAGTCTCCTGGGCTCAAGCAATCCTCCTGCCTCAACCTCCTGAGTAGCTGGGACCACAGGCATACATCACCATGCCTGGCTAATTTTTTTAACTTTTTGTAGAGACATGGTCTTGCTATGTTGCGCAGGCTAGTCTCAAACTCCTGGCCTCAAGCCACCATGTCTGGCTAATTTATTAATTTTTTGTAGAGATGGAGTATTGCTATGTTGCCCAGGCTGGTCTCCAACTCCTGGCCTCAAATAATCCTTCTGCTTCGGCCTCCCAAAGTGCTGGGATTATAGGTGTGAGCCACTGTGCCTGGCCTAAAATTTGTTTTTCAAATCTAAAAATAAACCCAAAGTCCTAGGGTGCATCTGAAAGCCCTTTTCATGGTCCACAGCCATGTCCGTATTCTGTTTTTTTGTTTGTTTGTTTAGATAGGGTCTTGCTCTATTACCCCAGCCAGCATGCAGTGGCGTGATCTTGGTTCACTGCAGCCTCCACCTCTGGGGCTCAAGGGATCCTCCCACCTCAGCCTCCCAAGTAGCTGGGACTACAGGCCTGTGCTGCTCACTAATTTTTGTTTTTCTAGAGATGGGGTCTTGCCATGTTGCCCAGGCTGGTCTCAAACTCCTGGGCTCAAGTGATCTACCTGCCCCGGCCTCCTACAGTGCTGGGATTACAGGTGTGAGCCACCATGCCTGGCCCCTTTTTTACTTGTCAGGGAGTCTTTTGACATCTTGCTCTATCAGGTCCGTTCTGTCCAATGGCAAAATCTGTTAAGAAACCAAAACTTGGCCAGGTGAGGTGGCTCACGCCTGTAATCGCAGCACTTTGGTAGGCCAAGGTGGGCGGATCATGAGGTTAGGAGATTGAGACCAGCCTGGCCAACATGGTGAAACCCCGTCTCTACTAAAAATACGAAAAATTAGCCGGGTGTGGTAGTGCACTTCTGTAGTCCCAGCTACTCGGGAGGCTGAGGCAGGGAAATTGCTTGAACCCAGGAGGCGGAGACTGCAGCGAGCCAATATCATGCCACTGAATTCCAGCCTGGCGACAGAGGGAGATTCCCATCTCAAAAAAAGAAAAAAACCCTAAAACCTAAGGGGTTTGGCCTAAAACACCAATACCTTGCAGATAGCAAGTAGCCCATACAGTTAAAATAAAGAAATAAGGAGCACGGGTTTTGGAATCAGACAGACTTGGGCTTGAATGTCACTTACTGACTTTCAACTCATCACACTTTAAGTCTCTGTTTCCTCACCTGTGAAATGGGGATGATGCTACTCTCCACTTCCTAGGGTTGCTGAGCGGGTCTGATGGATTTTATTGCCTGTGATGTAGTGCCTGGCCCTTCCTCAAAGCTCAATGCATTTTTTACAATGTTGTTTTGTTGCTTCTCGCTTCTGGCAGATGGTCCAAGCGGAAGACACTGCCCCAGGCATCGTGGAGATACAAGGGGCTTTCTTTAAGGAAGTGTCTCTCTTTGATTTAAGGAGGCAACCTGGATTCAACTCTACAGTCCTGAAGGATAAGGAACTTGGAAGGAGCCAGGTATTACCATGAAACACAGATCGATCCTGTATTTCTGACTATCTGTCTTGTGAGAATGAATGGTCTGTTTTAAGGTTAATTTGATAAAAGAAATTTATTTCTGTGGGATTAGTATAGGAGGCAGAATAGTATAGTGTTAAGAATTTGGACAGGCTGAGGCAGGAGGATCGCTTGACGCCAGGAGTTCGAGACCAGCCTGGGCAACATAGCAAGCAAGATCCTGTCTCTACAAAAAGTTAAAAAATTAGCCAGGCATGGTGATGCATGTCTGTGGTCCCAGCTACTCAGGAGGCTGAGACAGGAGGATCACATGAGCATGGGAGTTCCGCAATGCAGTGAGTTATGGTCATGCTACTCCACTCCAGTCTGGGCGACAGAGCGAGACCCTGTCTCTTAAAAAAAAAGTTAGACAAGACCTGAGCATGAATTCTGGCTCCCACTTATTTATTAGCTTTGGAGAAGTTCCTTATATGGCCTCAGTTTTCTCATGTGCGAAATGGGGATAATTTTGATAATAAAATGAGGGTCACTGATACATGCCACCTGGGCTGTGTACTGTAAGTATTCGCGGCTATTATGTGTATTATTAAATGCTGTGAGCATTGAGGCCGCTTGGGGGGATGGTGCTGTTGAAGTGGATGCTCTGCCTTAGTACCATCGTTGACTACCTTTGTATTCAGTCAGTCTTCATTACATGCATCCAGCAAATGTTTATCAAGCACAGCCCAACAGTGCGCCAGGCACTGCTCACAGTGCTGAGTGTGCAAAAGTGAATGAAACGACACAAATCCCTGTCTGTTCCAGGCGCTCTTGCTCAGGGTCTCTCATGAGGCTGGATGATGTCCCGCTGATCTATTGCTGTGTCACAAACCACCTCTAAATTTAGTGACAGTGGCAACCGTTTTATTTTATTCTGTTTTATTTTTTGAGACAGAGTCTCTCTCGGTCACCCAGGCTGGGGTGCAGTGGCACAATCTTGGCTCACTGTAACCTCCTCCTCCTGAGTTCAAGCAATCCTCATGGCTCCACCTCCTGAAGTAGCTGGGATTACAGGCACACACCATCATGCCCGGCTAATTTTTGTATTTTTTATAGAGACAGGGTTTCACCATGTTGGCCAGGCTGGTGTCGAACTCTTGACCTCAAGTGATCTGCCCGCCTTGGCCTCCCAAAGTCCTGGGATTACAGGCGTGAACCAGGGCACCCAGCCAATAGTTTTATTTTGGAAAATACATTCTGCCACCGAAGACTTCAAGATACTTTTGTCTCGGCCATTGAGCTGATGGGATTGCTGTTTCCTGAGATGGGGAAGACCATGGGAGGGTCCCAGAATTTGACCCTGAGCCCAGGAAAATCTCTGGGGCCACAAACAGTGTCCAGAACTTTCCTCCATCGTCCATTCCTTTTGCCTGGGCTTTTGTGCTGCTTTTTGGCTCTCAGCTACCATGTCTAATGCTAGCTCATAATTTATTCTGTCTGGGGAATGATACTCAAAGTTTCAGAGTCTATAAAATAGACAAATGTAGTACTTGATTGCGTCTGCAAGTTAGGGATTCTGTAAAATTATGTTCCTTAAAACAAATGACTCCCCTGTCTACTAGGCATTGTTCTAGAGTGCTCATTGGGGGGTGGTTTGAAGACAGTGCATGCTGCTAGCTGCAGGTACTTTATTGCTGGTGCTTTCTAGCCCATCCTGGTTTATTCTGGGATGCCTGGTGTTCAGAACCTGGCAGGTGCACATGTGAATAGGAGACACAGGGAGTTCTCAACTGGTCAGCAGCTTCCTAAAGCACAGGAAGTAAAACTCCAGCCCTGCCACCAATGTCTTTGCCTCTCATCTGCCTCATGGGGTGTAGAGAATCATCTGGAGTGTGAGAGTGGGGCTCTGGAATTACCTTGACACTGGTTCAAATCCAGGCACTGCCACTTAGCAATGGTCTAGTCCTAGGTAACTCACATAGCCTGTTAAGCCTCCATTTCCCCATCTGTAAAATGGGATTGTGGAATGCCTTCCTGATAGGGCCTCACAGTGTTGGGCACACGCTGAGTGTGCCATCAGTGCTAACGATCATTCTCTTCTCGCAGGCTCTGTTCCTGTATGAGCTTCTGTTAAAGACCACCAGAAGGCCTGAGGAGCTTTTGAGGTAGGAAAATGTAACTCGGCCTGGGTGCTGAACAGGCCTTTCAGAGCCTTCTGCCAGAGCAGCCTACTTTTCCAGGTGGGAGAGTTAGGCAGTCACATCTGTAGCTTGTATCTGATCATATCTGCCTTCTCTCGCTCTTTCTTTCCTCTCCTCCTCACTTCCTTCCTCTCCCGAGTGCCTTGTTTTGTTTTCTAGTGCTGGGCAGCTGGTCAAAGGCGTGACCTGCTCACACATTGATGCCATGAGCACTGACTTCTTTCTGGCCCATTTCCAGGATTTTCAGAACAACTTCGCCCTGCTTTCACCCTATCAGGTACCGTTAAAGCATTTTCCAGCTTCTAATTCTCTCTCCCTACCCCAGTCACTGGGCCTGGATTGGCTGTGGCATCTAAAGATCTTTATGCCAGAATCATTCAGACGCAAGTGATGACTTAGGGCCAAAGATTGAGCCAGGTTTTTTCCAGTTTCTTTTTAAACAGCTCCAAATACCCACATCACTACAGCCAAAGAATCAACAGATTGGTTATTCCATACTCAAATTTAAGCCTTAAAATATATTCATAAGGGACAGTATTTTGTGTGTTCATAATTATGTTCCCGTGGGATGGAAGGTACTCCTTCAGCTAATATTCCAACACTTTCCAGGAGTAGCTGTGAATGCAAACAGTACTCTGAGAACATTTTCTTTCTCACTTAAAACTTCATTTTCTAAAAGGTTATGGAGGCTATTTAACCTTTGGGGAGACTAGAAGCAGTAACTGATTTCTTTTTTTTTTTTTTTTGAGACACAGTCTTGCCCTGTCACCCAGGCTGGAGTACAGTGGCATAATCATGGTTCATTGCAGCCTCAACCTCCTGGGCTCAAGAGATCCTTCCGTCTCAACTTCTTGAGTAGCTGGAACTAAAGGCACACACCACCATGCCTGGCTAATTTATTTATTTTTTGCAGAGATAGGGTCTTGATATGTTGCCCAGGCTGGTCTCAAATTCCTGGGCTCAAGTGATCCTCCTGCCTCAGCCTCTCAAAGTGCTGGGATGACAGGCATGAGCCACTTCACCCAGCCAGTGACTGATTTTTCAGTGTCTAAGCTAGTAAACACAGGCCTTACAGCATTTGAACTTTTGGTGTGAACCGCTGGCTTACAGACTCCTGTAATGGATATTAAAAAGCACCTTCTCAACTCTGGCCTTGTGTTTCAGACCAGAATGAAGAATTTCCAAAGAGTAAATTATCTCCCAGAAAACCAGGAAGCATAGAGTGCTTGGTGTATAATCCTTCAAGATCATTACAGGAATATGCAAAGTTTTAATGAAGCTCTCTCATTCCCTTGGACTGTTAATTCTGTTAGTGATTCTCAAAGTTGAGCTTGCATCAGCATTGTGTGGAAGGCTGTAAAAACACAAATTGGGGGCCCCACTCCCAGAGTTTTACATATAGTAGGTAAGGGGTGAGGCCTAATACTTTGCATTTCTAATCAGTTTGCTGGTACAAACCACTGAACTATATTAAAAGACCTGCCCAGGTGGGCAAGCCAATAACTGAGCAAATGGATGGAAGCTAGACCTGCTTTGAGGAAGACCTACATGTTCGAGCAGGAAGAGTTGCCCCAGTGAAGGTGCTTTCCTAGGCTTCCAGCTCTCAGAGCCTTCAAATACCAGTTAATTAGAAAATTTGCCTTTCTCGTTTATATTTTTACTAAAACACATTATTATTATTATTATTATTATTATCATTATTATTATTATTGAGACAGGACCTTGCTCTGTTGCCCAGGCTGGAATGCAGTGGTTCAATCTCACTGCAACCTCCGCCCCTGGGTTCAAGTGATTCTCCTGCCTCAGTCTCCTGTCTAACTGGGATTCTAGGTGCGCACCACCACACCTGGCTAATTTTTGTATTTTTAGTAGGGACGGGGTTTCATCATGTTGGCCAGGCTGGTCTTGAACTCCTGACCTCCAGTGATCCACCAGCCTCAGCCTCCTAAAGTGCTGGGATTACAGGCATGAGCCACCACGCCCATTCTGAAAACACATAATTATTACACACACACACACACACACACACACACACACACACACACACACACAAACAACCAATACAGAGAAAGTAAAATTTCCCCAAATTTTCCCCAGAGCAGTTGTTCTCAACAGAGTACTGTTTTGCCCTCTTAGGGGACTTTTGGCCATGTCTGCAAACATTTTTGGTTGTCACAACCGGAGCAGAGCTACTGGCCTCTAGTGGGTAGAGGCCAGGGGTGGAGCTCAACATCCTACAATGCGTAGGACAGCACCACTACACAGAGGTACCTGGTCGAAAATGTCAATAATACTGAGGTGAGCAACTGTGTTTCAGAGGTAACTATAAAGAACAGTTTGCTATTACTTTTGAGAGTTTTCTTTTATATATAAAATATAGGCCGGTCACAATGACTCATGCCTGTAATTCTAGCACTTTGGGAGGCTGAAGTGGGAGGTTCATTTGAGGATAGGACTTTGAAACCAACCTGGGAAACATACAGCAAGACTCTAACTCTACAAAAAAATACAAAAATTAGCCAAATATGGTGGCACATGCCTGTAGTCCTAGCTACTTGGGAAACTGAGGCAGGAGGATCACTTGAACCTGGGAGTTCAAGGTGGCAGTGAGTTATGATGGAGTCACTGCATTTCAGCCTGGGTGACAGAGTGAGACTCTATCTCTAAACCAAATTTTAAAAAAGTATCTATATGTAATATAAAAACCACAAGTGGGCCGGGCACAGTGGCTCACGCCAGTAATCTTAGCACTTTAGGAGGCCGAGATGGGTGGATTACTTGAGGTTAGGAGTTCGAAACCAGCCTGGCCAACCTAAAAAAATTTTTAAAAAATACAAAAAAAAAACCCCAAAAAAACCCACTAAAAATACAAAAAAAAAAAAAAATTAGCCGTGCATGGTGGGGGGTGCCTGTAATCCTAGCTACTCGGGAGGCTGACGCAGGAGAACTGCTTGAACCTGGAAGGCGGAGGTTGCAGTGAGCTGAGATTACACCACTGTACTACAGCCTAGGTGACAGAGTGAGACTGTCTCAAAAAAAAAACAAAAAAAAAAAACACAAGTGAGCTCATACTATACATGCTGTTCTGTTTATATATATAGCTAAGATATATATATGTATAAAACTATATATATAGTTAAGCTATATATAACTATATGTATAGTTAAGCTATATATAACTATATGTATAGTTAAGCTATATATATAGTTTAACAGAATTGTGTGTACAATATGAGCCCATTTGTGGTTTTTACATTATATATAATATAACTATATATATGCACATGCATAAAATAGCACAGACATCATTTAGTGTTAATATATATATAAATCTACCTTATTAAAACAAAGTAGGTGCACTATTCCATTGTATGTATATACCATAATTTACTTAACCAATCCCCTGCTGAGGAACATTAAAATTATATCTCCCTTTCTTGCAGATATAAGCAAAATTGCGATGAGCATTCTCACACTTAAATGTCCGTGTTCATGTTTGTTATTACCTCAGCGTTCTCATCCATAAACTGGGCACAGTAGTGGTACTTACATCATAGGGTGCTCTATTGCATAAATGAACACGTATGAAGCACTTAGAATAGTACCTGGCACATGGAAAGCACTGTGTTTGTTCTTCTTCTTACTGCATTAAATCCCCAGAACTGCTTAATCTTTCAGGTTAATTGTTTGGCGTGGAAATACTGGGAAGTTTCCAGATTGTCTATGCCACCTTTCCTCTTGGCTGCACTCCCGTAAGTGAACATCAGCCCCCACCTTCTGGCTCATCAGTGAGATCGGTGGGAATCACTGAAGTCAAAATGATTCTCTCCCCACTGGGTTTTCTTCAGGAACCAGAGGCAGAGTGGAGGATGCCTTAGAGAGTTAAGCCCTTGAGATCCAGGATTTCAATTCTGAGTATCACACAGACATTTGAGACAGACCTTCTTGCTTTTCCTGTTATCTAAAAACCAAGCCAAAGCAACCCAAGCCTGAATGAGTGTCAGTGAGGCAGGTCCCATCTGGCCTGGCTTTGCGGCTGTGCCAGGCTCCAGGGGAATCAGAGTTGAGGGGAGCAGTAGGCGTTTCTCCTGGCATGTGTGAGCTTTTGGGCCTGCAGGGTGGCCCTGCTTTTCAAACATGATCTGGACATTGTTTCTCTCCTTCTCTCCTTCTTTATTTCCCTCTACCTTTTTTTGCTCTTATTGTCTTCGTTCATTCAAAAAAAAAAAAAAGTTCATTGAGTACTTGCTGTGTGCTAGTTCTCAGATAGCTAAATTTTCTATCTGAAGATTTAGAAATTCCTATTAATTTATAAGACCTTATAATCTCATGGTGGGAGAGGGAATAGACAAACATGAAGCCAATTATATCAGGTTGATATTTGGTTGAAAGCAACAGAACTGAAACTGAAACTGGCTTATGCAATAAAAGGGAATTTTTTGTTCAGGTAACTGGAAAGTTCAGAGAGGGACTTCAGGCATGGCTCGATCTAGGGGTGCAAATGATGTCATTTGTCTCTTGTCCCAGCTTTTCTCTGTTGGCTTCACTATCAGGCAAGTTGTTCCTCTGTGGGAACCCTGGAAGATCTAAGGTTAAATTTTCCCAGTTTCATATTCAGGGAAAATAGAAAAATGTTCTCTTCCCATCATTCTCAATACACATCTTGGGTTTGACTCTCATTGACCTTAATTGGGCGAATTTGTTTTCCTTGAACCAATCAGTGAGGTTGGGAGGATGGGTAACTTTGACTGACTTCAATCTGTATTGCACCCCTGGAGCTGGAGAGAAACCACAAGGACTTAGAGTGAGGGAGATGGTTCTCCAAGAAAAACTAGGTGCTTTCCAAGAAAGCCAGGTGCTGTTACACACCTCTGTTAGGACAGAGGTGGAAGAACATGTTTGGGGGAAGATGTTGAATCTGGTTCTTGAACAGTCAAGTGGTGGGTTTGACTAGGCCAGATGGGTTTCATGCAGCCTTTCTCAACTTTTTTATTGCCTTCCAAAGGAGAGGCAAAGGGGAGGGATAATGAGGACTGGACATAGAGGAGGGAATATCACCCATAGACTGGAGAGACAGGGGAGACCGAACTAATGCTGGATAGAGAGTTTAAGATGGACATTCCAGGCAGTGGAATGGGGATGTCCGGTTCAGCAGTGGGTAAGAAAAGCCAATCACTCTGGGAACACATGGGGGTATATCTGCAGAGTAGATAGGGGAGAGAAGGCCAGAGAGTTAAGGGACATCAGATCATGGGGGCTTTGTAAAGTGAGGTGTTTCACACATATTCTGTGTGCAGCCATCAGATTTATATTTCAGAAAGATCATAGCCACTACCCACATAGAGGATAGAATGCAGGGAGGCTGAATGGAAAGAAGGGAGACAGCTGAAGATTATTTCAGTAACCCAGATCTTGGCATGGCACTTCTACCACTCATTCATGTCTCAGCTCAAATGGAACTGCCTTAGAAGGGGCTCGTTTGATTATCCCCATTGTCATTCTCTTTTACAGAGCCATTTTATTTTCTTCCTTACATTAATTAATTAATTAATTAATTTATTTATTTTTGAGACAGAGTCTCCCTCTGTCACCCAGGCTGGAGTGCAGTGGTGTAATCTTGGCTCATTGCAACCTCCGCCACCTGGGTTCAAGAGATTCTCCTACCTCAGCCTCCCCAGTAGCTGGGATTACAGGTGTGCGCCACCACGCCTGGCTAATTTTTGTATTTTTTGGTAGAGACAGGGTTTCACCGTGATGGCCAGGCTGGTCTCAAACTCCTGACCTCAGATGATCTGCTTGCCTCGGCCTCCCAAAGTGCTGGGATTACAGGCGTGAGCCACCATGCCAGCTATTAATAGCTCAAATGTCTTGTTTTGTTCACTGGTTTCTGTGTTTCTTCTCTCTGCTAGAATTAAGGACCACTTGTGTCTTGTTCATTGTTATATTTGGTGCCTAGAACAGTGCCTGGCTTACTGTAGTTGCTTTGTAGATATTTGCTGGATGAATGAAGAAATAAATAAGACAGTGGTACTGGGAATGGAGAAGTTAGAATAGATTTTTTTGTTGTTGTTGTTTTGAGACGGGGTCCCATTCTGTCACCCAGGTTGGAGTGCAGTGGTGCGATCTCAGCTCACTGCAACCTCTGTCTCCCAGGTTCAAGTGATTCTTCCACTTCAGCCTCTAGAGTAGTTGAAACCCCAGGTGTGCATGCCACCATGCCCAGCTAATTTTTTGAATTTTTGGTAGAGATGGGATTTCACCATGTCGCTCAGGCTGGTCTCAAACTCCTGATCTCAGGTGACCCACCTTGGCCTCCCAAAGTGCTGGGATTATAGCTGTGAGCCACCACACCTGGCCAGAAGTAAGAACAGATTGGGATAATGCTAAGGAGATAGCAATGACAGGCTTGGGATAAAGAAAAAAAGGAGTGTGGGATAGCATAGAGGCGGAAGAACATGTTTGGGGGAAGACGTTGTATCTGGTTTTGGAACAGTGAAGTGGTGGGGTTGAGTAGGCCGGATGGGTTTCATGCAGACTTTCTCAACTTTTGTTAATGCCTTCCAAAGGAGAAAATTTTAATTTCTCCTGAATGAAAGAAATTATACACTGAGGAAAAATATTTTGAGTAGGAATGAGCTTCAGTGGGTTACAGATCGTTGTCATAACAGTCTTTTTTATCTCCATCCAAACCAGTTTCTCCTTCTTGAGGGTGACTTTGACCCTGTTGAGAATACATTGTCAAGAGCTGAAGGATCAAGAGTGGAAGGCAGAGTTCTGGACTGGAGATGACAGAATTTCTCTTTCCACTCTTTTTCTTATCTTTCTTTCTCACTTTCTAGTTATTCTCTCTCCTCGTTGTCTCTTTTTTCATCTACTTTTTCCTTTCTTTTTCATCTCCCCTCAACCAGTCCATCAATCAACATGTCTATTTACGAGAACCCATTCTCTGATCAATGCTCTGGGGCATAGAAGAGGAGCATGATGGGAAGTTTGTTCCCACCCACAGAAGAGGGTCATGATGGGAAGTTTGTTCCCACCCATAGAAGAGAGCATGATGGGAAGTTTGTTGCCCATTCATGGAAGAGGAGCATGATGGGAAGTTTGTTCCCACCCATAGAAGAGGAGCATGATGGGTGGGAAGCTTGCTACCTGCTGCAGGGAGCCAAAGCATCACTGGGAAGAACAAACATTTAAAGAATGTCTTTGGGATGAGCTCTTGGGCAGGCGGACCCTGATTTTAGGGGCCAACAGGAGCAGCCATGTGTTCCTCCTCTTGTTCTCCCCATCTCTCTCCAGGGCCCGCTACCTGGCTTCTGTCCCAGCCTCCCAGTGTGTGCCCTTTCTGATCAGCCTGGGGAAGAGCTGGTTGGACTCCTTGGTTTTAGATTCCCACAAAAAGACTTCAGTCCTCAGGAAAGTGCAGCAGTGCCTGGTAAGAAAACTCTTCCTGGGTGTCCCCTCCCTCTGGGTATCTGTGGCCATCTTGGGGAGCCCTGTGAGGGATCTGGCTAGGATCTTGAGCCTGCTGTGATGGCCAGAAGTCTGACTGGTGGGTCTTGAAGCTTACTCTAAAGTTGCTGGTTGGAACAATCTTTTCCATTGGTTCTGGAGACTTCTGCCCCACGGCCCAAAGGAGGGGAGGCTACTCTGGAGGAATGGAAAGAGCACAGTACCCAGAGACTGGGTGCCAGTGATTGGTTATGTGGCTTTGGGTGAATCACCTTTCCTCCCTGAGCCTCAGTCTTCTCATCTGTAAGGTGGGGGGAGTAGCACATCCCCCTTAGAGTTTTTTTTTTTTTTTTTTTTTTGGGACAGAGTCTCACTCTGTCACCCAGGCTGGAGTGCAGTAGCACGATCTCAGCTCACTGCAACCTCTGCCTCCCAGGTTCAACTGATTCTCCTGCCTCAGCCTCCCAAGTAGCTGGGACTACAGGTGTGTACCACTACACCCGGTTATTTTTTGTATTTTTAGTAGAGACAGGGTTTCACCATGTTGGCCAGGATGGTCTCAAACTCCTGACATCAGGTGATCCATCCACCTCGGCCTCCCAAAGTGTTGGGATTACAGACATGAGCCACCATACCTAGTCTCCTCATAGAGTATTGAAAACATGACATGGGCAATGTATTATTTAATGTAAAGGCTCAAAGGCCAGATTGTCTGGGTGTGAATCCTAGCCTTGCCACTAGCTGGCAGTTTCTTTTTCTTTAAAAAATGGATAATAGTAGTACTTACTTCTTACAGTTACTTTGAAGATGACTAGATTGAGACCCACAGATACTCAGGACGGTGCCCGCACATAGGAAACACACAATAAATGTGAACTATTTTTGTCATTTTGTGAAAGTGCAAAAGAGCTTTGAAGGCTTTCAAGTGGCATACAAACTTTGAAGTGCTGTTTTCATTGTTGTGGTGCCAATAGTATAATGGTGGTTGAAGTCTGGAATATTCTCAGAGCAATAACAGTGACAGCAGCGCTCAATTACTGAGTGCTCCTGGTGTGCCAAGCCAGGGTTTTCCAGATTTCTGAGGCCTGCATCCCTGGGGAAGATCAGGTCCTGTTCCATCTCTAGGAATCCATGGCAGGGTAGGCAGTTAAGATCCTGGAATCTTTAAGAAGTTTGGGATCGGAACTTTTTTTTTTTTTTTTTTGAGACAGAGTTTTCCTCTGTCACCCAGGCTGGAGTGCAATGGCATGATCATCTAGGCTCACTGCGACCTCTGCCTCCCGGGTTCAAGCAATTCTTGTGCCTCAGCCTCTCGAGTAGCTGGGACTACAGGCATGTGCCACAATGCCTGGCTAATTTTTGTATTTTTAGTATAGATGGGGTTTCACCATGTTGGCCAGGCTGATTTCGAACTCCTGGCCTCAAATGATCTGTCTGCCTCGGCCTCCCAGAGTGCTGGGATTATAGGCATAAGCCACAGTGCCCACCCCACAGGATGTGTTTCTAATGGCTCACGATCTTATGCTCTGTTGGAACTGCCCATTGGCTCCACTTTTTGGGTTCAGGACGACTCCATTGCTGATGAGTACACTGTGGACATCATGGGGAACCTGCTGTGTCACTTGCCGGCAGCCATCATCGACAGGGGGATCTCCCCCAGGGCTTGGGCGACTGCTCTACACGGCCTCAGAGACTGCCCAGACCTCAACCCTGAGCAAAAGGCTGCAGTGAGGCTCAAGCTCCTGGGACAGTATGGGTGAGGAGCGGCTGGGTTTGGCTTTTGGTGGTGTGGTATGCTCTGTGGAGGGACACTCAACCTTGGCTCTCCTGCCCTGCAAACAGAGTCTCTGGCTTAGGATGAGATAAAATTCTTATGCTTATTTTGGAAATGTGACCTTTCTTCTTTTGGCTTCAGATTTTTTTTTTTTTTCTTAGACGGAGTCTCGCTCTGTGGCCAGGCTGGAGTACAGTGGCACGACCTTGGCTCACTGCAACTTCTGACTCCCTGGTTCAAGCGATTCTCCTGCCTCAGCCTCCCGAGTAGCTGGGATTACAGGCATGTGCCACCACGCCCAGCTATTTTTTGCATTTTTAGTAGAGACTGGGTTTCACCATGTTGGCCAGGATGGTCTTGATCTCCTGACCTCGTAATCCACCCACCTCGGCCTCCCAAAGTTCTGGGATTACAGGCGTGAGTCACCGCGCCTGGCCTTGGCTTCAGATTTGCTGTAAAGTGGAATCAATAGTAGCTGCCCTAAAAATCTCAAAGAGTTGTTTCTTACACAGCTTGGCATATGAAGGGGAAATTTGGAAAAGGTGGCCCTTTACAGATGCAAGGTAGTGGTATTATTATTAGTTTAAAGACTATTTTTTTTTTAAATGGGGTCTCGCTCTGTCACCCAGGCTGGAGTGCTGTGGCACAGTAATGGCTCACTGCAGCCTCAACCTCCCTGGGCTCAGGTGATCCTCCCACCTGAGCCTCCCAAGTAGCTGGGACCACAGGTGCACATCACTGTACCCAGCTAATTTTTGTATTTTTTTTTAAGGGATGGAATTTCACCATGTTGCCTAGGTGGGTCTTGAACTCCTGGGCTCAAGGGATTCACCCACCTAAGCCTCCCACAGTGTTGGGATTATAGGTATGGGCCACCATGCCTGACCCTAGAGACTATTTTTAATACTAGTTTTAGGTTCTCAGAAAAATGGAGAAGATAGAGATTTCCCATATCTCTCTGACCCCGTACACGCATAAGCTCCCCATGATCAATATCCCCCACCAAAGTTGTACATTTGTTAGAACTGATGAACCTATGTTGACATTATCGTCATTGGATTCTCATTATCATCCATAGTCCATATTTTACATTAGGATTCACTCTTGGTGCTTTACATTCTATGGGTTCAGACAAGTATATAATAACATGTATTCACCATTATAGTATCATACGGAGTATTTTCACTGCCCTAAAAATCCTTCCGGGCTTTGCCTGTTCATTCCTCTCTCACTCCTAATTCCTGGCAACCACTGATACTTTTGCCTTTTCTAGAATATCATATATTTGGAATCATACAGTAGATAGCCTTTTCAGATAGACTTCTTTCACTTAGTAATATGCACTTAAGTTTTCTCCAGGTCTTTTTTTGGCTTGATAGCTCATTTCTTTTTAGTGCTGAATCATATTTCATTGTCTTAATGAACCACAGTTTATTTAGCCATTCACCTACAGAAGGACATTTGGTTGCTTCCAAGTTTTGGCAATTATGGATAAAGCTGCTATCAACATCCATATACAGGTTTTCATGTAGACGTAAGTTTTCAACTCCTTTGTGTAAATACCAAAGAGTGTGTTTGCTGGGTTATATGGCAAAAACATGTTTGCTTTTGTAAGAAACCAACAAAATGTCTTCCAAAGTGGCTGTATGATTTTGCATTCCCACCAGCTGTCACTGCTAATTGGGCAGACCTCCTTTAGAGATGTCGCCAAAGATAGTGTAATGCTCTTCACTGTAGGCATTTATGATCTATACAAGAATAACAGTGGATTCTGGGTCAGTGCCTTTATTTTATCCTGCCAAGTTCAAGAGAAAGGTTTTTTCTTATTCTAAGAGAAGACTGTTATGGTAAAGTAAAAGGAAGAAATATATAATTACTCTTCTATTGAGGAGGGAGAAGAAGGACACACTGTGATGTAAATGGCAGAAATTCAATAATTTAATTCAAACTAAAGAGAACGGGAATGTATTGAATTCAGGAATGGAATGTAACGGGAAACTCCACTGGTGGTCTTCAGGCATGGCTGAATCCCGTGTCTCAAATGATATCTTCAGGAATATGTTCCTCCCATCCCTCAGCTCTGTGTTCCTTGGTGTGGTCTTTACTTTTTCCACTTGGTAATATGAATGTCCTCCAATATCCTCCCCTACTGCCAGAGATACCAGAGAAAGGAGAGCTTCTCTGATAGTTCCATCAAAACTCCCAGGGATGACTCTGATTGGTCAGCCTGCATCACATGCCAATTTTCTTGGTCAAGGAAGTGGGACCATGTGATTGACATGAGTATAAGACAATCTATTCCTGAAAGAAAAGGGTGCTGGGGGAAAAGGCAACAGATGTCCACCACAGCATGTTTTTTCACTTTACTGGTTATTATCTCTTTTTAGACTCCCTCAGCACTGGACAGCCGAGACCACGAAGGACTTGGGACCCTTTCTAGTACTTTTCTCAGGAGATGAATTAAGCTCTATAGCCACAAAGGTAATGTTGTGCTCCATCTTAAGAAGGCTGAAGGAGTTTGAAGGGGAGAGAAAGTGTGGTCAGTTATACAGCATTGGGTTTACTGCTGTCTATGGTTCTGGAAGCTTCCTCCCTGCCTCCAAGGGCTAAGATGTTTCCAGCTCCATTCCAGGATGTGCAAGGTTCTGGAAAAGGGAGTGAGTCCACAGCTAAATGAACTCAGGCCCTTTTGTGTGGCCCCCCAGGCAGATGTGTGCAGACAGATATTACTTAGCTACCACTCTGCTATTAGTGTGCATCTCACACGCACGTCTGTTCTGGCTCTCACACTGGCTGGTGCCCTATGCACATGCACATGTATGTCCAGTGTATGCAATCACATGTGCAAGCACATTTAATCCAATAACAAGTCTTTATTGATCATTACATTTGGGCATGACGCTTTTCTAGGAGTAAGGCTCCAGAAGTTAGACAGTCTAGACCAAGGGGCATGCAAAATAAGCATGAATTAGTCATTTGTGCTGCATAACAAAGCCACACAATCTCAAGGGCATAGAACAATTCGCATATGTTCCTTGCTGCCTGATTTGTGGGTCGCTGGGGCAGCCCTGCTCTAGAACTTGTTTTTCTTACCATGAAGGTATGAAACTACCAAAAAAGGGAAGGGATAAGTACAATTCTCCTTAAGTCCTAGGTTGGAAGTTGGCACGCTGTCACTTCTGCCACACTCCAATGGCCAAAGTAAGTTACATGACCAAGACCAACTTTAATGGGGCAGGAAGGAGTCTCCTTCCATGGAGGTGGAGGGCAGGAAAGGAGTGAATGTTTGCTGAATGACAATCAGATCCCCCACAAAGCACATCCACACACTCTCATACCTGCACTTGCAGGCACAAGGTGCACATGGTCACACATGCTCAGCAGGGCCTGAACACACACAACTTCACCTAGGATCACACGCAGCACATTCTGAAGTCCAGTCACAGTAAAATCATATTCTGGATGTCTGAATATATAGTTATAAGCAGTTGATGCACACATGTTTATTTTTATTTTATTATTTTATTTTATTTTGCGATGGAGTCTCCCTCTGTTGCCCAGGCTGGAGTGTAGTGATGCAATCTCGGCTCACTGCAACCTCTGCTTCCTGGGTTCAAGTGATTCTCCTGCCTCAGCCTCCCGAGTAGCTGGGATTACAGGCCCCTGCCACTATGCCCAGCTAATTTTTATATTTTTAGTAGATATGGGGCTTCACCATGTTGGCCAGCCTGGTCTTGAACTCCTGACCTCAAGTGATCTGCCCGCCTCGGCCTCCCAAGTGCTGGGATTACAGGCGTGAGCCACCATGCCCGGCCCTGATGCACAAATGTTATATATCCATCTATTTTTTTTCCTTCCTTGTTTTTCTTATGTTTAGATGTTTATTATTATTTTTATTTTTCCATAAGGTATTGGGGTACAGGTGGTGTTTGGTTACATGAGTAAGTTCTTTAGTGGTGATTTGTGAGATTTTGGTGCACCCATCACCTGAACAGTATACACTGCAACATATTTGTAGTCTTTTATCCCTTGGCCCCTCCCACTCTTCCATCCAAGTCCCCAAAGCCCATTGTATCATTCTTATGCCTTTGGGTCCTCATAGTTTAGCTCCCACATATCAGTGAGAACATCCATATATCTATCTAATCTTAAAAAAATCAACTTCTGAAATTGAAAAAGTCTTGCATCAACACTGTGAAATCTCAAAAACACAGTGTAGAGTTAAAAAAAAACCCAGATTGCAAAAGAATATCTATAGTAGGATACAAAGTAAATAAATAAATAGTAGCTGAATTAATTTAAAGCAAATGTAAGCCAAGTTTATATGTAAGAGAAGTGTAAAAGTGAATGCCAAATTCAGAGTGACAGTTACTTCTGGGGAAGGAGGAAGGCAAAGAGTGAAGGAGGGACTTATTATTTATATTGTGATGTTTTATTTCTTAAGTTGGGTTGTGAGGACATGGGTGTTTTGTTGTATTATTCTGTATACTCTTTTTTTAAATACTGGAAATGTTTAATAAAGCAAGTAATACATGCTCCTGGTTAACAAATCCCAATCGCACCAAAGGTAATAGGATGAGAAGCAAGTCTCCCTCCCACCCCAGACTTCTAGTTCCCTAGCCTCCCTCTTCAGAGGCAATTGCTGTCCCCAATCTCTTCTGCATCCTTTCAGAAATATCCTGAATATCTATATAACAAGTTTTATATAGGTATAAAAATACCTATATAACAAGCCTCGCCAACATGGCGAAACCCTGTCTCTACTAAAAACACAAGAGCATATACACACTCTTCTTTAGAAAATACAAAATGGAAAATGCCATTCACTCCGCTATGCATATTGCTTTCTAAAAGTTAACTGTCTTAGAGTGGTTGCCTTCAGCCTCAGCTGCACATTAGAATCACCTGGGGAGATTCCAAGAGGGACCAATCCATGGTATCCAGCCCAGCCCGACTGAGTCAGAATCTTTAGGGGCTGGCTCTGGGTGTCCCAGGTGACTCTTAGGTACAGCCAGGGTTGAAGAACTGCTGGCTTAGACTGTGACTCTAATTCTGAAGATGAGACTAGAAAGGGGAGCTACATAGGCTGAGAGGCTTGCTCTCTGGGTGAGCCGGGACCCAGTGAGGCATAGCTGTTTGTAGAGCCTGATGGATTATCTGGGCCCATGGGCAGGCCTTCTAATAAAATCCCAAGTCTTGACAAAGTGTATTCGTTCTAGATGAGAAATGGCACTTTCTCCAAGGCAACCCAAAGTCCCCTAAGTCCCCTCATTGCTAGTCTCCACCCAGGATGTTGAGACAACCCTTCTTCACCTCCTTTTCATGACAAATGTTGTGTTAGGCAATTCTTTTTTTCTTTCTCTTTTTTGAGATGGAGTCTAGCTGTGTTGCCCAGGCCGGAATGCAGTGGCACGATTTCGGCTCACTGCAACCTCCACCTCCTGGGTTCAAGTGATTCTCCTGCCTCAGCCTCCTGAGTAGCAGGGATTATAGGCATACACCACCATGCCGAGTGAATTTTTGTATTTTTTGTAGAAACGGGGTTTCACCGTGTTGGCCAGGCTGGTCTTGAACCCTTGACCTCAGGTGATCTGCCTGCTTGGGCCTCCCAAGTGCTAGGATTACAGGTGTGAGCCACCGCACCTGACCTGTGTTAGGCAATTCTTGCATTGCTATAAAGAAATACCTGAGACTGGGTAATTTATAAAGAAAGGAGGTTTACATGGAATACTATGTGGCCATAAAAAAGAATGAGATCGTGTTCTTTGCAGGGACATGGATGGAGCTGGAGGCCATCATCCTTAGCAAACTAATGCAGAAACAGAAAACCAAATACCGCATGTTCTTACTTATAAGTGGGAGCTAAATGATGAGAACACGTTGTCACATAGAATGGAACAGCAGATACTGGGGCCTATTGGAGAGTGAAAGGTGGGAGGAGGGAGAAGATCAGCAAAAATAACTAATGGGTACTAGGCTTAATACCTGGGTGATTAAATAATTTGTACAACAAACCTCCATGACACAAGCTTACCTATATAACAAACCTGCCATGTACCCCTGAACTTAAAATAAAAGTTAAATTAAAAAAAATAAAATAAAAAGGGCCAGGTGCAGTGGCTCATGCCTGCAATCCCAGCAGTTTGGGAGGCCGAGGCGGGCAGATCACGAGGTCAGGAGATTGAGACCGTCCTGGCTAAGAGGGTGAAACCCCGTCTCTACTAAAAAATACAAAAAATTAGCCGGGCGTGGTGGTGGGCACATGTAGTCCCAGCTACTCGGGAGGCTGAGGTAGGAGAACGGCGTGAACCCAGGGGGCAGAGCTTGCAGTGAGCCGAGATCGTGCCCTGCACTCCAGCCTGGGTGATAGAGCGAGACTCCGTCTAAACAAACAAACAAACAAACACTGCCAGGCACAGTGGCTCACATCTGTAATCCCAGCACTTTGGGAGGCCGAGGTGGGCGAATCACTTGAGGCCAGGAGTTTGAGACCAGCCAGGCCAAGATAGTGAAACCTTGTCTACAATAAAAATAAAAAAAAATTAGCCTGGCTTGGTGCTGCATGCATGTAATCCCAGCTACTCAGGAGGCTCAGGCACGAGAATTACTTGAGCCTGGGAGGTGGAGGTTGCAGTGAGTGGAGATCACACCACTGTATTCCAGCTTGAGCAACAGAACAAGACTCTGAAAAAAAAAAAAAAAAAAAGAGACAAGAAAAGAGGATTGATTGGCTCATGGCTCTGCCGACTGTACAGGAAGCATGATGCTGGCATCTGCCCAGCTTCTGGGAAGGCCTCAGGAAACTTACAATCATGGCGGAAGGCGAAGGGGGAGCAGACACATCTTACTTGGCCGACACAGGAGCAAGAGCGTGATGGGGGAGGTGCTACATGCATTTAAACAACAAGATCTCGAGAGAACGCACGCACTATTGTGAGGACAGTACCAAGGGGATTGTATTTAACCATTCATGAGAAATCTGCCCCCATGATCCAATCACCTCTCACTGGGCCCCACCTCCAACACTGGGGATTACATTTCAATAAGATTTGGGTGGGGTACACATCCAAACTATGTCAAATATAAAGTTTAGTAAAAACTTAGAAATAGCACCAAACCAAAAAAGGGGTAGGTACACATACATTTTTTTTGTTTTTTTCTGAGACAGGGTTGTACTCCCATCACCCAGGCTGGAGTGCAGTGGCATGCTCTCGACTCACTACAACCTCAGCCTCCTGGGCTCTGGTGATCCTTCTGTCTCAGCCTCCTAAGTAGCTGGGATGACAGGCTCATGCCACCACGACTGACTAATTTTTGTATTTTTAGTAGAGATGGGGTTTCACCATGTTGGCCAGGCCAGTCTTGAGCTCCTGACCTCAAGTGATTTGCCTGCCTCGACCTCCCAAAATGCTGGGATTACAGGTATGAGCCACCACACCTCGCCTAACCTACATTTTTTGTCGATATTACCAGATTGCTCTGCTAATAGTGCACAGTTTGACAGTCCCACGGAAAAATGAATGTGCCCAGCATTAAGTATTAGCACTTCATTTTATTTTTGACAATCTGATGGGTGAAAAGTGATTTACTTATGTTTTTTAGACTTTATTGGATTTTTATTGAAGTTGAGTATCATTTTATAGGATTCTTTATAGAGACCACATTAGTGGGACTAGGGAATAGATTTATATGAGAAGTTGCTATAACAAAGAATGAAGGCAGTAAGTAGTGTGACAGTTTCAACTCTAATTTCAATCTGTATTTAAGGGGTTTTAATTATTATTCCTCTTCTTTCATCTTCTTTCACACAGTTTCCTGAGATCCTTCTGCAAGCAGCTTCCAAGATGGCCAGGACCCTGCCCACTAAAGAATTCCTCTGGGCTGTCTTTCAGTCTGTTCGGAACAGCAGTGATAAGATCCCCAGCTATGACCCTATGCCTGGTGAGTGTTTTCAGGGTATCTGAGCCATTGCTGACATAGTAATTAATGTTTTGGGCAGGGTCCCTGACATCAAGAGGCCTCCTTATGCAGGGAACTGGATGAAATGTCTGCAAAGCAATAGAATGACAAAATCTATAAGCAAAAGAATTACACTTTTGGTTCAGGTGCGGTTGCTCAAGCCTGTAATCCTAGCACTTTGTGAGGTTGAGGCAGGCAGATCACTTGAGGTCAGGAGTTCGAGACCAGCCTGGCCAACATGGCGAAACCCTGTCTCTACTAGAAACACAAAAATTAGCCGGGTGTGGTGGTGCATACCTGTAGTCTCAGCTACTCAGGAGGCTGAGACACGAGGATTGCTTGAACCCAGGAGGTGAAGGTTGCAGTGAGCTGAGATGGCACCACTGCACTCCAGCCTGGGTGACAGCGAGACTCTGTCTCAAAAAAAAAAGAGTTACACTTTTGTAAAGTGACCTGGAATCATGTCCCATACTCCATACCCAGGCTAGTAGGTTTAATGCGTGAATATGTGTAACAAACATTTCAGTAGGATTGACTTAGAGGACCAACATGGATTAGTGGTTTAACATAGCAGTGACAGGGCCGGGCTGGCTACATTTCACTCCTGAGTCTGCCACTTACTGGCTGTGTGGCTTTGGGTAAGCTCTTTAACCTCTGTGTGCCTCAGTTTTCATCCTTTATCAAATGGGGATAATGAAAGTCTCTACCTCACTGGGTTATTGTGAGAATTAATGGGTTTAAACCCAGAAACATGTTTACCGGAATGCCTGGCATGTAGCAGATCTTTAATAAGTATTATATATTTTTAAAATTTGATTTTTTTTATTTTTTGAGATGGAGTCTTGCTGGAGTGTCACCCAGGCTGGAGTATAGTGGCATGATCTCGGCCCACTGCAACCTCCACCTCCCAGATTACAGCAACTCTCCTGCCTCAGCCTCCTGACTAGCTGGGATTATAGGCATGTGCCACCACGCCTGGCTAAGTTTTGTATTATTAGTAAAGACGGGGTTTCACAATGTTGGCCAGGCTGGTCTTGAACGCTGGCCTCAGGTGATCCACCTGCCTTGGCCTCCCGAAATACTGGGATTACAGGCGTGAGCCACTGCCCCCGGCCTAAAATTTGATTTTATAGAGGCAGGGCCTCGCTCTACCACCCAGGCTGGAGTGCAGCAATCATGGTTCACTACAGCCTCGACCTCCTGGACTCAAGGGATCCTCCCACCTCAGCTTCACAAGTAGTTGGGACTACAGGCATGAACCACCACATCTGGATAATTTTTTATTTTTTTGTAGAGATAGGGTCTTACTGTGTTGCCCAGGCTGATCTTGAACTCTGAGCCTCAAGTGATCCTCCTGCCTTGGTCTCCCATAGTGCTGGGATTATAGATGTGAGCTACCATGCCTGTCCAAGTGTTAGATATTTTATTATTATTACCATGCACCTACTAAGTGCAGACTGGGGCCAGGCATGAGGAGACAAAGTTAATCACCCCCAGTGATAGTAGTTGACAGTCAGTGCTTGCTTTCATCCACCCAACAAATATTCGTTAAGCACCAATTTTGTAAATAAAGAGCTTACTTTCAAATGGAGGGTAGCAAGACAATAAATTTCCATACATAAGTAAAATATATGGTATATTGTATGAAAAGTGCCAAGAAGGAAAATAAAGCAAGGGAATGCACCACGAGTGTTGAGAGGGGACTGTCATGTGAAAAGAGAATCATGAAGGAACATCTTATTGAGAAGGTGACATTTGAATGAAGACCCAAGGGAGAGTGGGCCATGTGGATATTTTCAATTAGAGTCTTCCAGGCAGAGAGTGCAACAGGACCACTTCCATGAGTGGGAGGTAAGGGCCAGTGTGTTTGGAGGGGAGTGAGAGACAAGGCCAGCCATGTAGTGACTGTTAAAGGAAACCCTAATGACTTTGGCTTTTACTCTGGGTGGAGGCATCGTGTGACATCGAGCAAAGAAGTATCACAATTGGATTTGTGTCTACCTTGGGTGATTATCCCTCCATGCATTATCTTGTTCTCCCGTTTTTTTTTTTTCTTGGTGAATGTGGGGTTTTATTGGGTAATGGAGGTGGCTCTCGGTGGGATGGATGGGGAGCTAGAAAGGGGATGGAGTGGGAAGATGATCTTCCCCTGGAGTTTGGCTGTCCTGTGACCAATCTCCTCTCCAACTGTCCCCAGCCAAACTCTTCTTGGCCTTCAGATGCTCCTTTCTCTGCCATGCTGCTCTTCTGCTCCTCTTCTCTTCTGTTCATCTGCTCATCTGCTTGTATGCTCATGGAGCCTGGGGTTTGGGGTTTATATGGGTACAGGATAGTGGGATGTGGCAGGCCAAAACCTAACATTTGGGCGTGAAAACAGGAATGCCTATTCCCATTTAGGGCTGCAGATTTCCAGGCTTGGGTGTTCTCTTGTTTTTTAAATGAAGGAAACTGGGGCTTAGGAGACTAAGGGACTTGTCTAAAGTCACAGAGTTAGTAAATGGCAGTTCTTGGATTTGTACCCAAAGTTGGTGGTGACCACCACTGGCTCCCACTGCCCTCAAGGTCTAGCAGTCCATGTCATCATATTGCAGAGCTCTTACTGTGTGCATGTGGTACACAAAATAAGGCTTTCCATGCTCAGGGGAAGGAAGCTCTGGTATCAGTGCATAGTTTGAGTGTTCTTTAGTTGGTTCTGGGTATTAATTGCTGCTGTGCTTTAGTGATTGATGGATTAGCAGAATTACCGCTTGGTTTTATATTAATTTGTGTGTGTGTGTTCACTCACTCCACAGATATTTGCTGAACACCTACGATGTACCAGGCTCTATTCTAAGCCCTGGACAGACACAGTGATAAGACCAAGTTCCTGATATACTAGTCAACCATTCTGCCCTCTCTAGTTCTGTGCTATCACTGATGTTGTTTTCACTAGAGGGTGGGCTGGGGGTTGGCCTAGGGAGGGATGGGTCTTTAGTCCTCTCCAAGTGGCTTATGATAAAGATGTTTGAGGACCACAACTGGCATCTTTGATCTGGTCTACTTTTGCCTCGTGATTGGAATGCAGTGAATTTCCATTGAAGGTGCAATGAGAAGAGAGAGGCCATGGGGCTCGGGAAATACCCTGGCCTTGGGTGGGGTTGGTGCATCTGTCAGCATCAGTGGTGGTCTGCGGCTAAGATAAGAAATCCAGGGTTGCTCTTAAGGATCCTAGAGTTTTCTCCCAGGTTGGGCACATCAGATCCAGCAAAGACAATATCTCACTTGCATGTTGGTTGGTAGCTGGTTTGAGTAGGTAAGGTTCACATTATTCAAAGACCGAAATGGATGTTTTTCCTGTTGCCAAGAGAAATGCAATAGGCTCATTTCTCTTTTCTCTTGGGATGGGAAAGCCACAACCCCCACTATGATTTTCATGGACAGCAACTCATCTTCCTGGTTTTTATTTTTTATTTTATTTTGACACAGGGTCTCACCGTTACCCAGGCTGGAGAATAGGTGTGATCACGGCTCACTGCAATCTTGACCTCCCAGGCTCAGGTGATCCTCCCACCTCAGCCTGCTGGGTAGCTGGGACTACAGGCATGTGCCACCATGCCTAGCTAATATTTTGTAGTTTTTTTTTTTTTAGAGGTGAGGTCTTACCATGCTGCCCAGGCTGGTCTTGAATTCCTGGGCTCAAGTGATCCTTCTGCCTTGGCCTCCCAAAGTGCTGGGATTAAAGACATGCGCCACCGCACAGCCCATCTTCCCATTTTTATAGGAAGGCTGCTGCATAATTTTGGAATCTTTATGCTGGGCTGCAAACTCAAAGGCATAGGGGGTAAGATAGGCAACAGAAATTGTGTATCGAGTGCTTACTGTATGCGTGGCACTGTTCTAAGTGCTTTACATATAACACATTTAGTTTTCACAACCATCCTATGAGGCGATTTTATTTCCATTTTATAGACAAGAAAACTGAAATACAGAGAGGTTAAATAGCCTTGGATTTGAATCGAAAGTCAGGACTGTTCACCACCAGCTCTTACTGCCCTCAAGGAATTTGTAGTTTAATTGTAATGTTGCACCGCTCCTAGTTTGTGCATGTGGATGTGCAAAAAGCTGGCATTTCCATGACTTTGTTACCCAGTAATTAGCAAGAAATGGCAGAAGTGGGATTCAAACTGGTCCCTGCCTCCTGCTCTCTGCTTTTACTCTGTAGTCCCTTCCATGCATAAATCTGACTGGCAAAGAATGTTACTCATTTCAATACACTAACATTTCCTGAAATTCTCTTTCCTCTTCTCCTTCCCTGCATCTCTCCTTTCTTCAGGTTGCCATGGAGTCGTGGCCCCCTCTTCTGATGACATCTTCAAGTTGGCCGAAGCCAACGCCTGCTGGGCCCTGGAGGACCTGCGGTGCATGGAGGAAGACACATTCATCAGGACCGTGGAACTGCTGGGAGCTGTCCAGGGTTTCAGCCGGCCTCAGCTGATGACCCTGAAGGAGAAAGCAATACAGGTGAAGCCCACCTCAGGGAGGAAACATTAAACAGAGGAAAAAAGAAAAACACCAAAACCAGTTCAGCATTTCTGCACATAGAACCCTCCTCGAGCAGTTTTCCCATACATCATCTTGAAATTTTACTGCATCAGCTCAGTGATATTGTGATCTCCTTATCTGAGAAAGGAGGAAATTTCCAGTTCCTCCCTCTTAGGGCTGTGGCAGAGAATGGGATGAGATGTGTCTTGGCATCTAGCAGATGCTCAGTGAATCAAGTTCTGTGGATGTCCCAGTGCCTCTGACCAAGGCGGTTTGCAGGAATTAGGCTTTATTCCTTCACCTGGAGAGCCCCAGCTGCTGCTCACAGCAGGTTTTCTCAGAATCATTTGCAAATTTGTCTGAAAATATAACAGAAAGGAGTAAAAAGAGGACTGGAAGTAGCTTTCCATCTTTAAAAAGGTCCCTTTGTTGGCTGGGTGCAGTGGCTTATGCCTGTAATCCCAACACTTTGGGAGGCCGAGGCGGGCGGATCACGGGAGGTCAGGAGTTCGAGACCAGGCTGGCCAACATGGTGAAACCCTGTCTCTACTCAAAATGCAAACATTAGCCAGGCGTGGTGTCATGTGCCTGTAGTTCCAGCTACTCAGGAGGCTGAGGCAGGAGAATGGCTTGAACCCGGGAGGTGGAGGTTGCAGTAAGCCAAGATTGCGCCAGTGCACTCTAGCCTAGGCGTCAGAGCTGATACCTTGTCTCAAAAATAAATAAAAATAGGCTGGGTGCAGTGGCTCATGCCTATAATCCCAGCACTTTGGGAGGCGGATCACGAGGTCAAGAGATCGAGACCAGCCTGGCCCACATGGTGAAACCCCATCTCTACAGGTGGCATGCACCTGTAGTTCCAGCTACTCGGGAGGCTGAGGCAGGAGAATTGCTTGAACCCGGGAGGCGGAGGCTGCCATGAGCCGAGATTGCGTCACTACACTCCAGCCTGGTGATAGAGCGAGACTCTGTCTCAAATAAATAAATAAAAGGAAAAGGTCCCTTTGTGGCCTGTTTTAGCTTTTCTTTCTTTTTTTTTTCTTTTTCTTTTAAGACAGAGTCTTGCTCTGTCGTACAGGCTGGAGGGCAGCAGCGCGATCTGTGGTTCACTGCAAACTCTGCCTCCCGGGTTCAAGTGATTCTTGTGTCTCAGCCACCTGAGTAGCTGGGACTACAGGCACAAGCCACCATGCCTGGCTAATAATTGTATTTTAGTAGAGACGGGGTTTGTTTGGCCAGGCTTGTCTCAAACCCCTAGCCTCAAGAGATCTGCTCACCTTGGCCTCCCACAGTGCTGGGATTACAGGCATGAGCCACTGCACCCAGCCCTGTTTTAGCTCTTTACATGGTTGTGGAATATCTAGTTACCCTCAAGGGTTAAACAATTCAATGTCTTAAAATTATAAATATAACTGTATTTATGTATTATATGAGTACTTCAAGTTTATTGTAGAAAAGTCAGAAAATAATAAAGAAGAAAATCAGTGATAATCTTTTACTCACTGTTGATATTTTGATAAGCACTGTTCAGCAGATAAGCACTGTTGATATTTTGGTATATTCACTTGAAGCTTACCAGACTCCAAAACTATGTATATAAAAAATATTATTTTATATATTTCATACATATATCTCATGTTTTACAAAAATGATATTATACTTACCTACTATTCAATAACTTGCTTTCTACACCCAACAGTACAGACTGCATATTTTTTCATATCCAAAATGTACATCTATGTCAGTATTTTATTTATTTATTTATTTTTTGAGATGGAGTTTTGTTCTTGTTGCCCAGGCTGGAGTACAATAGTGTGGTCTTGGCTTACTGCAACTTCTGCCTCCCAGGTTCAAGCAATTCTCCTGCCTCATCCTCCCAAGTAGCTGAGATTACAGGCATCCGCCACCATGCCCGGCTAATTTTTGTATTTTTAGTAGAGATGGGGTTTCACAATGTTGGCCAGGCTGGTCTCGAACTCCTGACCTCAAGTGATCTGTCTGCCTGGCCTCCCAAAGTGTTGGGATTACAGGCGTAAGCCACAGCATCTAGCCTATATCAGTATTTTAAATAGCTTTGTAATACAATTAGCCTTCCATATCAGTGGGTTCCACATCTGCAGATTCAACCAACCTCAGGTAGAATGTATTTAGAAAAAATGATCCAAATAACAATATAACAATAAAAAACAATACACATAAAAATACAGTAGCATTTTTGACATAACATTTTGTACATATTTACATAGCACTTATATTGCATCAGGTATTATAACTAATCTAGAGATGATTTAAAGTATACATGAGGATGTGCATAGATTATATGCAAATACTACACTATTTTATATAAGGGACTTGAATATCCATGGATTTTGGTATCTTTAAGAAGTCCTGGAACCAATCCTTGGTGGAGGTATCCACAGGGGCAACTTCATTTTATTTATGGTTAGTTCTTATTTATTTAGCTAATTGTTAGACTTTCAGGTTGCATTAAAAAAATGCCTCAATGTATGCCTTTATACATATACTGTTGGGTACTTGTCTCATTTACTCAGGCTAAATTCCCAGAGGTGGAATTTCTGGGTCAAAGAATATAAATACTTTAAAAGCTTTTGATACAGATAGCCAAATTGCCCTCTCAAGAGTATGTACCAACTTATATTCTCAACTACAACAAATGAGGGTATCCCTTACCTTGTATCTTTCCAGTATCGTAAATGGTGATAAGTCTTTATACTTCTTGACATGTGATGAATCAACATGGTCTGATTGTTTTTAATGTATATTTCTTTAATTATGACTGAGAATAAAGTTTTCCCCATACATTTAATTTTTCTTTTGTGAATTCCTTGTTGATGTCTTTTGTCTATCTTTTTTTTAAAACAAATATAGTCATGTTTTTATTATTGATTTAAAAGAGAGCTTTATATTAAGATTTACCCTATGTCTTTTTAATTTTTATTTATTTTTTATTAAGGGATAGTTGACAAATACAAATTATATATATTTATGGTGTATACATATATACAATATGATGTTTTGATGTATGTATACATTGGGGAATGGTTAAAGCAAGCTAACATGTCAATCACCTTTCATACTTGTCCGTTGTCAGTTTTTGTTGTGAGAATATTTAACATCTACTCTCTTCACAATTTTCAACCATTCAACACATTATTATCAACTGTGGTCACCATGCTGCACAATAGGTTTCCCTATGTCTGTTTTATTTTTATTTCTTTGAGACAGGGTCTCGCTCTGTCACCCAGGCTGGAGTACAGTGGCACCATCTTGGCTAACTGCAACTTCTGCAAGTGAGTCTTGTGCCTCAGCCACCCAAGTGGCTGGGATTACAGATGTGCGCCACCATGCACAGCTAATTTTTTTTTTTTGTATTTTTAGTAGAGGCAGGGTTTCGTTATGTTGGCCAGGCTGGTCTTGAACTCCTGGCCTCATGTGATCTGCATGCCTTGGCCTCCAAAAATGCTGAGATTCCAAGTGTGAGCCACCGCACCTAGCCTCCTTATGTCTATTTTAGATACTGCCTTTGTCCATTCAGGCTGCTATAACAAAATATCATAGACTGGTAACTTATAAACAGAAATTTATTTCTCACAGTTCTGGGGGGTGAGAAATCAAAAATTGAAGCACTGGCAGATCCAGTATCTGGTAAGGACTTGTTTTTCATAGATGGTGCTTTCTCACTGTGTCCTCACATGGTGGAAAGGGACTAGCTTGTAGCTAGCTCTCTGGGGTCTCTTTTACAAGGGCACTAATCCCACTCATGAGGGCTCCACCCTTATGACCTAATCATCTCCCAAGGCCCAACCTTCCAATACTATCACATTGGAGATTAGGTTTTAACATATGCATTTTAGAGGGGCACAAACATTCAAATCATTGTAAATACCATCACAGTGTTCAGTCTAATCTATTTTCTTTTTTTGCCTAAAGGTTTGGGACATGCCATCTTACTGGAGAGAACACCATATCGTCTCCCTGGGGCGCATTGCTCTGGCTCTTAATGAGAGTGAGCTGGAGCAGCTGGACCTCAGCTCCATAGACACTGTGGCTTCCCTAAGCTGGCAAACAGAATGGACCCCGGGACAGGTGGGTGGATGTTTCTGGGTCTTTTAACTATTCCATATTTATAAGAGCTGCCTTCATATCCTTACTGTTAATTTCCTCATGATGGTCATTTTTGAGTCTGTTTCTGTTGACTGATTTTTCTCTTAGTTATGAGTCATATTTTCTTTTTTTGTTTGCAAGCCTAGCAATTTTGATTGGGTGATGAGCATTGTGGATTTTACATTGTTGAGTATTTGATTTAGTTGTATTTCTTTGAAGAGTATTGGGCTTTGTTCTGTCATACACTTAAGTTACTTTCAAATCAGCTTGATCCTTTTGATGCTTCCTTTTGAGTTTTGTTAGGGTAAAACCAGAGTGACCTTTATTCTGTTGTTAATTTATCATCATTACTGTGACATGATTCCTTTGAGGATGTTACCTAATGCTCCATGTATTTCAAGATCTCTCTACTTTGGCTGGTGAGAATGTGAACTATTTCCAGCTCCATATGAGCTCTGGAAGTTGCTCAGCCTAATCCTTTCTGATTACTGATGACTCTTTTCCTGCCTATGTGGAGTTTCACTCTTTGCATGTGCAAAATAGCAGTCAGTACTAGACATCTCTGCAGCTTTCTGGAACCCTCTGCAGTTTCCTCCTCTCCAATACTTTGCCCAAGTGATAAGTGCCGTGGCCTCTCTGAACTTGGATATCTGTATCCTCAACTCAGCTGGGCCACTGGGCTTGTTTTGGTTCCTCTTCCTGATCCATGTCTTGGAAACTGCTTTTTGGCAGTAAGTGAGGGTAATTTTAAGGCTCATCTTGTTTGTTTTTCTTCTTCTGGGATTATGATTCTGTTGTTCCATATCCGGATGCAGTTGTCTGATGTATTTTGTTAAATTTTCTAGTTGTTTATGGTGGGTGGCCAATTCCTATGTTAATTAATCCTTCATGGGCTAAAGAAGAAGTTCTTCCCAGAATTTTAATTGTTTTGATTGGGAGAGGAGTTTAGGGTGTCTAATCCACTGTACTGCTGGAAAGGGAAGTGTTAGCCCTTCCATGTTATCTTCGTTCTTAGGCAGCTCTCTCAGTGGTCATTTTCAGCACTAGGCTTATATACAACCTAATTAACAAGCCCATAAAAATGTGCCTCTTCTTTATTAGTTTTTGGAAAAGCCTCAGCATTGACTCCACTCATGTAGTTGCCCGCCCCTGAGCAACCACTCTGGTCAGGGGTTGAATATGTTGGTTGGCGAGGCCTGCATCAGGGAGCGGAGTCCATCTTATCAGCATCTCATGACCACATGAGCCGAGTGGGGAAGGATATGTGGTGGGCTGATTAAGGTCCCCGAAAGATGTCCATGTCTGAACCCCTGGAAGCTGTGACTATGTTAACTTATGGAGCAAAAGGGACTTTGAAGATGCGATTAAGGATCTTGAGATGAGGAGGTTATCTTGGATTATTTGGGTGGGCCCAATGTAATCACAAGGGTCCTTTTAAGAAGGAGCAAGGAGGGTCATAGATAGAGAAGGTGACATGATAATGGAAGCAGAGGGACCTAGAAAGAGATCTGAAGGTGCTCTGCTGCTGATTTTGGAGATGGAGGATGGGGCTATGAGCCAAGGAAATGCAGGTGGCCTCTTGAAGCTAGAAAAAGCAAGAAAATGAATTCTTCTTAGAACTCCCAGAAGGAACCCATCCTTCTAGTCCATTTTAGGACATACAGTCTCCAGAACTATAAGAGAATAAACGTGTAGTTTTAAAGCCACTATGTTTGGGGTAATTTGGTAGAGTAGCAATAGGAAGCTAATGGAGGGTAATTTTCCAAAGAAAAAGTGTGGACGCTGAGCAGCCAAAACCAATGAATGTCCCCCTACTCTTTTGAGCTTTTTGTAATCACGGTGGCCATGTTTCATAACTCTGAGTGGCACCATTCAAACAGAATACACTGTGAATGGTGCACCCCTGGAGCTGGGCAACATGCAGATCCTGGCCATGAAGATTACATGAGTTAATACTTGAAAACATTTTGAACAATGTCTGGTACATAGTAGTCAATAAAAATTAGCTGTTTTTATGTTGATATTGACATCATTGCATTGTCATCATCAACATTATCATCATTACAGCCCCTTTCTCTGGGTTAGTCTCCTCCTTTGCAAGATGAGAGGGTTAGCCCCAACAATCTGAGGTTCCTTCCAGTCTGATATTCTATAATCCCATGGTTCTTTGACTCTAAAACTGGTTTTGACTAGTTTGAGAAGTGCCACATCACACTGTGCTATTAAAATCATTCTATTTGCAGGCTCGGAGAAACAGAAAAATACATGCAGAAACTAGGGTATCTCCTTCCCTTCGCACCGATTTTAATTCTCATGGATGGCAGTGAGATTTATCAATATGTTTGAAGAGGATATGAAAACCTAACATTTGCATGTATCATTTGTAGTCAGTTCTTCAACTTTAGCTCCCAATCAACCTTAAATGCAGGTTTCTAGATTAATAGTCAGACCTGACGGAACTACATTAACAGATAGTTCAGCTCAAAAACCAATATAAGGGAAAAAACTATTATAGAAGCCAGAGGGATGAACAGAGAGATTGAAATCTTAAAGCTATTCATTTTTCAACAGTTAATATTGCCTAAAAGTGTTGGTATTAATTGTCTTGGAATCATTACATATACACTGGTCTCGTCACTCAAGGAAATTTATTTTAACTTATCACCTTGCAGGCTGAGCTTGCATTTTCCGGGTTTCAGTGGCAAGGACAATTTAATACCATATCTTCAAAGTAATTTTATTTAAATTGTATTTTTGCACTTTCATTTTAAAGTGAGCGTGCCTGATAGTTGAGGAGCCCAAATTGCTCTGAGTCAACTAGTGAAACCTGATTATGAAGACTTAATAAGAAAAATTTGAAAACTAACTTGAATCTCCATCTTTTCTCCATAGCCAAACACCTTCACTGGCTAAGAGTATGGGCCCTGGAATCAGACTGCCTGGGTTTTGATCCTAGAACCATCATTTTCTTTTCTCTTTCTTCTTCTTCTTTTTTTTTTTTAGAATGAGTTTTGCTCTTGTTGCCCAGGCTGGAGTGTAATCTCCACTCACTGCAACCTCTGCCTCCCGGGTTCAAGCAATTCTCCTGCCTCAGCCTCCTGAGTAACTGGGATTACAGGCATGCATCATCACACCCTGCTTATTTTGTATTTTTAGTAGAGACGGGGTTTCTCCATGTTGGTCAGGCTGGTCTCCAACTCCCGACCTCAGGTGATCTGCCCGCCTTTGTCTCCCAAAGTGCTGGGATTACGGGCAGGAGCTACGGCGCCTGGCCAGAACGATCATTTTCTAGCTGTGTGATCTTGGCCTAGTTACTTAACCTCTCCTTGCCTCAGTTTGCTCATCTGCAAACTAGGGATACTATTAATACTTACCTCATAGTGTTATTTAGGAGGATTAGATGAGATAGTATGTGTAAAGTGGTCAAAGTGGTGCCAGCACACAGTATGCACTCAAGAAATGTTAGCTACAATAAATGTTAGCTATTACCACTTTGGATATACAGTCCCATTAAGTCAAAGACATATAAGTCTAAGCATGGTGTTACTGCATCCCCCGCCCCCATAGTAGCTGTGAGCTTTGTAATCATGGAGGACAACTTGATGAGGACACTGACCAGTCCGATTTTCAGAAACATGAGAAATCTTCCTGAAGCCAGTCTATTACATGAAGGCAGCAAAATGAAGCATGTCAAATAATATATATTGCCCACGACTTTTGTAAGTCACTCACTCAGATGTTGTTTCATTCATTCATTCATTCACTCATTCATTTACTTACTCAAGAAGTACTTATTGAACTCCTACTCTGTGGCAGGCATTATGCTAGGTGCTGGGGACTCATTGGTAAACTACCTGGATATGGTCCTTTTCTTTTGGGAGCCTACTTGGTGATACAGACAAAAAAGTGAGTAATCAAAGTGAAAAATTTGAAAAATCACGATAAGTGATGCGGAAAATGGACAAGGTGCTCATGGGAATAGTGGGAAGAAGGGCTGTTTGAGATGAAAGAGTCCAGAGGGCAGTTTTCTCTGAGTAGGTAGCATTTAAACACACCTGAGGGGTGGGAAGCACCAGCCCATGAAGACGGAATTTCATTGCAACATTTCACAATCTTCCTCAACACTTTCTCTCAACACCTTAATGATCTATATTGTGTGATGGGGATGACTAACATTAAACGGAGATGGGGGTCGGGCATGGTGGCTCATGCCTGTGATCCCAGCACTTTGGGAGGCTGAGGTGGGTAGATCACTTGAGGCCAGGAGTTTGAGACCAGCCTGGCCAAAATGGTGAAACCCTGTCTCTACTAAAAACACAAAAAATTAGTTGGGTGTGGTGGCGGGCGCCTGTAATCCCAGCTACTTGGGAGTCAGAGGCATAAGAATTACTTGAACCCTGGGGGATGGAGGTTGCAGTAAGCCAAGATCATGTCACTGCACTCCAGCCTGGGTGACACAGTGAGACGCTGTCTCAAAAAAAAAAAACAAAAAAAAGCAAAGAGAGTTGGGAAGATTGACTATAGCCTGTGATTTTCGCTTCCACTTAGGGGTCTCTCCTTGGATGTCTCCTCATCTTTGCCTTGTGAGGTCTTATAATCTCTTTTACTTGCTCCCATGAGCACTGAAGGAACCAGACTTTATTTTGTGAGACAGAGTCTCCCTCTGTCACCCAGGCTGGAGTGCAGTGGCACAATCTTGGATCACTGCAACTTCCACCTCCCAGGCTCAAGCAATCCTCCCACCTCAGCCTCCCAAGTAGCTGGGACCACAGGCACGTGCCACCATGCCTGGCTAATTTTTGTATTTTTTGGTAGAGACAAGCTTTCACCATGTCAGCCAGGCTGGTCTCAAACTCCTGACTTTAAGTGATCCTCCTGCTTCGGCCTCCCAAAGTGCTGGGATTACAGGTGTGAGCCACCGTGCCCAGCCCAGACTTTATTTTGTAGCTGATCTTCATAGGATTGGCTTGGATGCCTCCTCAGGTCCTACATAGGTAGATAAAATGAATCAGCACATGTTTAGTTACAAGTGGCAGAAAACCCAACACAAACTGGCTTGAACAAATAAAGGGGCTGGGTGCACTGTGCAGTGGCTCATACCTGTAGTCCTAGAACTTTGGGAGGCTGAAACGGGCAGATCACTTGAGGTCAGGAGTTTGAGACCAGCCTGGCCAACAGTGAAACTACTTCTCTACTAAAAATACAAAAATCAGCCAGGCATGTTCATGCCTGCCTGTAATCCCAGCTACTGGGGAGGCTGAGGCATGAGAATCGCTTGAACCTGGGAGAGGGAGGTTGTAGTGAGCAGAGATCATGCCGCTGCACTCCAGGCTGGGTGACAGAGTGAGACCTTGTCTCAAAAAAAAAAAAAAAAAAAGGAATTTATTGACTCCCATTACTGGAAAGTTCAGGGGTAGTGTTCAGATACAGCTGGATCCAGGATCTTCAACACTCTGGGTGGGAATCTGTCTCTTATCATGTTTTTGAACTTTGCTTTTCTTTGTGTTGGCTTCATTGAGAGACAGGCTCTATGCCTGCATGTGGTAGGTTCCAGCAGATCCTTGTGTATATCCTTCTAAGTTCAAGTCCAGAGTAAAGAAAGCTCTTCCCCTAATGCTCCACTCAAAGTTCTGGTTGACTCTGGTTAAATCACATGTCCAATCCAGAACCAGTGACTGCAGCTAGGCTAAGGTATGAATTGAAATTCATCACTCCTGGAACTTGGTGCAGTTAGCTTTGACTGAACCACATGAAGCAGGAATACAAGAGAGGTGGTTCTCCAGAGGAAGTTATGAATGATGAATAGCCACTGTGCTAGAATTATGGAGACTTATGTGTCAGCCGCCTTAAATCAAGGCTTAGTTTAAAATAGTTTAACACCAAAGCATTTTGTGTGCTACTCTTGGAATTGAAGAGTAAACATTGGAATTGAAGGGGTGAACATATTTCTGTAGGACCACAGAGGAAGAAAAAATCATTAAGGGGTAAACATATTTCTGTAGGACCATAGAGGAAGAAAAAATCATTCTGGCTGAAACCTCATGAAGAAGGTGACATTTGAGTTGAACCAAAGAAAAAAAAAAAAGAATGTCTGCACTTGGAAGTGCAGAAGGGCATTTCAGATGAAAGGACTGGTTTGAACAAAGGCAAAGAGACAGGAAATTATAAGGTTTTGTTGGAGGTTGTGGAAAGGCTGGGTGCGGTGGCTCATGCCTATAATCCCAGCACTTTGGGAGGCCGAGGTGGGTGGATCACTTGAGGTCAGGAGTTTGATACCAGCCTGGGCAACATGGTGAAACCCCGTCTCTACAAAAAATACAAAAAGCCAGATGTGGTGATGTGCACCTGTAATTCTAGCTACTTGGGTGGCTAAAGCACGAGAATTGCTTGAACCTGGGGAGGTGGAGGTTGCAGCGAGCTGTGCCACTGCACTCCAGCCTGGGTGACAGAGCAAGACTCCGTCTCCAAAAAACGAAAAAAAAAAAAAAAAGGGAGAAGAAACGTTGTGGAAAAAGATGCTGGAAAAGTTTGGATCCTGATGCAGAAGAAGTTGTATGTCCAAACTGTCTGAGGGTCATAAGAGTGACTGAAGGAAATAAGCAGCAGACACACAGGACACAAGTGCCTTTAATATTGGTGAAGGATGTAAGAGATTCATTGCCTGAAGACACTTTCATAGATTAGGGGACATACTCAGTTGAAGTAGTATCTTAAGGACATGAACTTGGATGCAGAGGCCAGGATGGTTTGGAGTGGGGATTCCAGAGGAGTAGGATGGGAGATCAGTCAGGAGACTACAGCAACAGCTTATTTATCCCCTCAGGCCTGGGGACCTTGATCATTCCTGGATGGTTTATCTTTTATTCTTACTATTTTTTAGGCTGAATCCATTTTGCAAGGGTACCTGGATGATTCAGGATACAGTATCCAGGACCTGAAGAGCTTTCATTTGGTAGGACTTGGTGCAACCCTGTGTGCTATAAACATCACTGAAATCCCACTTATAAAGATCTCAGAATTCAGGTAACTAAAATATGAATGTGCAAAATGGCAAATGGGTTAATTCATCCATCCATCCATCCATCCATCCATCCATCCATCCATCCATCCATCCAGATATTCCACCTCCTGACACTTGGCACCTTTCTGGGCTAAAATCCCACTGGGCTAATGGGATAAGCTGGATCTGCTGTCCCTGCTGAGCCTACTGTGCAGTGTGTGTGTGTATGTGTGTGTGTGTGTGTGTGTGTTTGTTTGTTTTTGGCTGAAGAGTCCAAGCTCATATTATATCCCTCCCTCTTTAACCACTACCAGGGTGGTAGTGGCCAGAATTGGGACCCTGCTCTGCAGCACACATGTCTTAGCCGAGTTTAAGAGGAAGGCTGAAGTTGTGTTTGGGGATCCCACTGAGTGGACCAGTTCTGTCTTGCAGGAGCTTGGGACCATTGCAGGTAAGACTCACCCTGAGCATACCTTTCTCTCTCTTTCCAAACTTAAATGTGGGGACACAAAATAAAACATTATCCTTGGCCATGTGTAGCAAACATCAGTGGCGTTACAGTAGAACCTACATTTCATGATTTGAAGTTGCAGAGGGTGGGTCTGCAAATCTGCTTTTAAAACAAGCTCTTTTGGAGATTCTTGTGTACACTAAAGTTTGGAAAACCGCTAGTTTAGAATGTGATTTAATTGGCCCCTAAGTAGGTTTATACAAAATTTGAAAGTGTGTAAATTGAAGTTCCTTCTGGGCATGCGTTTCACTGTAGGAGGCCAATCAGGGCTAATGTGACCCACATTTTTTTTTTCTGAGTTGATGAAGGAACTTGATTCCCCAGTGTGATTTCCAGGGCCTTTTGTAAGGAATGATGCCTGCCTAGAACACTCAGATCTGAACATTATGCAGCACCATTAATAAAACAAGCGGAGTTCTGATGGCTTGAACTAAACCCCCGTGATTCCTTTTTCTCCCCAGCTGGATTAACTAAGGCAGAGCTCCGGATGCTTGACAAGGATTTGATGCCATATTTCCAGCCATCAGCAATAAAATGCCTTCCTGATGAGATATTCAAAGTAGGTGCTCAGTTCTTCAAGGAGAAATGGGAGCTTGACCCCATTTCAAATCACACAGGGAAACAGGTGATGGGCCTTGGAATTTAGAGGCTTGTGACCAGGCTCTGCTGATGGGGTCAGAGGAGATCTGTGTGAGTTTAGGTGTTTTTAAAAAACATTTTTCTTAAAATTACAATATGTAGTTTAATTATATTTATTTTTACGGTCATCTTCTCTTCTTCTAGCAGGTGGTACTGATTTTCTACTTATGGTGGTATGACAGGTTCATAAACCCTTACGAAAACCCCTGGGGACAGATATAGTTCAGAATTCAGAATTTCTCAGATTTTGAAAAGATCACCCTGTACATTTACTGTATGTAACTTCATACCCCCAGCAGTGTCTGGGGAAGCACCTTGTAAGCAAACACATTAATATTTCTGTGAAGAAATCTGTGACAAGCCACACTAATTGGAATAAATAGAGACTATAAATAAATAGCCTCACATTACTTCAGGTCAAGTTTTGCTGATAAATAAGTTTGACTTAAACTTTGGGGGAAAACTTGCAGTTTTCAGATTATTTTTGGACTTTGGAATTGCAGATGAGGGATTGTGGACCTCTGTAACATTTCCTTTTAAGATATAATTAAATAAAAATATTTTAGTTGATTTAGGTCAGGCATGGTGGCTCACACCTGTAATCCCAACATTTTGGGAGGCTGAGACAGGCCAATCACCTGAGGTCAGGAGTCTGAGACCAGCCTGGCCAATGTGGTGAAACCCCATCTCTATGAAAAATACAAAATTAGCTGGGCGTGGTGGTGGATGCCTGTAATCCCAGTTACTTGGGAGGCTGAGGCAGGAGAATCACTTGAACCCGGGAGACAGAGGTTGCAATGAGCCAAGACCACACCATTGCACTCCAGCCTGGGCAACAAGAGCGAAACCATCTCTCTCTCTCTATATATATATATTTTTTTCTATATATATATATTTTTAGTTGATTTAAAGAAAAGTATTAGGAAAATCACAAGAGGACAGGTGAAAAACTGCTATGAAAAAATTGAGAGGGTGAAATTGGATCATTTGAAGGAAGGGAAGCAGGGTATCTAATGACAGGTCCTTTTTTTCTGTCTGTATACAAGATTAGGGGAGTGTTTGGTGGGAATAGTCTGCTCTGATGAGGAGGCAGTCATTCTGGTGTTCCTGTTTGCTGCGTAATGTGGGAACACATTTTGTCCAGCACTTCTGGATAAAACACACAAACCAGGCTCGACAAACTCCCCCAGTGCCACATCACTTGTTCATTTCAAGAAAGATAGCTGAGGCCGGGTGCAGTGGCTCACACCTGTAATCCCAGCACTTTGGGAGGCCGAGGAGGGTGGATCACCAGGTCAGGAGATTGAGACCATCGTGGCTAACATGGTAAAACCCTGTCTCTACTAAAAATACAAAAAAATTAGCTGGGGTGGTCACATGTGCCTGTAGTCCCAGCTACTCAGAAGGCTGAGGCAGGAGAATGGTGTGAACCCGGGGGGCGGAGCTTGCAGTGAGCCAAGATCGCTCCACTACACTCTAGCCTGGGCGACAGAGCGAGACTCTGTCTCAAAAAAAAAAAAAGAAAGCCAACCTTCAATCACTTCAGCATCCTGGACAGTTCCGAGCACATTGCAGGCATAATAGCTGTTTGAGGGCAATAAATAGCAGTCCTCAAAGCCATTGAGCAAATACCTGCTTCCCCTCTGGGGCACTCTGCATGGGACAAGCAGCTTGGTCTTGGATGCTGGCATTTTGCTAAGCACTTTCTCTTGGTCTTGTTTGGAGTGCTGTTGTGCTGCTTCCTTGTACAGGTATTTATCTATTCCAGAAATCCCTACTGATCACCTACATTGTGGCAGGCTCCAGGGTAGGTGCACCTAAGGATGCACAGGTGAAGGGGTTATCACATAGTGCCTTCAGGGGCCTAAAAGGTAACATAAGGTGCAGTAGGCTGGGTAGAGACCGAAGTGAACTGGAGAGCCTTGTCTAAATGTGGAGGCTGCTTCTCATTCCTAGCACATTCATGCAGTGTGGCCATGTGGGCCCAAGATTGCTGAATTTTCCTTTTCACTTTTTTCGAGAAGAAGTCAGAAATCTTCATTTTCATATGGAATTGCTTGATAATTAAATGTTGGCAGCCAATCTGAATTTATTTTTGAAAACACAGTGCCGTAGGCCTAGAGATTCAATCTGGCCTGTGGGTCGCAAGTCAGCAACATTGATAAAAGAGATAATTTTTAGAATACAGACTCTGTGTTAATGGTATATGGAAGCCAAAAAAGTACCTCTCTGACCACCCCACCGTGTGTGTGTGTGTGTGTGTGTGTGTGTGTGTGTGTGTGTGTGTAGTGAGAGGAGAGGAGGTGATGCTGAATTTTAATTTTTTTGAGACAAAGTCTCACTCTGTTGCCCAAGGGAGTGCAGTGGCACAATGATGGCTCACTGCACCCTTGATCCCCTGGGCTCAAGCAATCCTCTCACGTCAGCCTAAGTAACTAGGACTACACACTTGGCTAATTAAAAAAACTTTTTGTAGAGAAGGGGGGTCTCACTGTGTTGCCCAGGCTGGTCTCGAACTCCTGAGCTCCGTTAATCATTCTGCCTCAGCCTCCTAAAGTGCTGGGATTGTAGGCATGAGCCATGGCGCTTGACCGACCAGATGCTGAATCTTGGAGAACAGCTGGCGATGAAGAAGAAACAGTGTTCCAGGCAGAAAGAGGTGCACAGGAAGATGCTGCCTCTAGGGAACTGTAAATATTGGCACCCACTCTCCTGGAGTGAAGAATGCCATGTGTGAGGCTGGAGAGGTGGGCAGAGTTTTTTCCAGGAGCCTGAACTGTGTTCTGGAGTGGGGTTCCTGGAAGGGCTTTACACAGAGGGATATGATTCCAGGGAAGTATCTACCTGGACAAAAGAGGAGGAGAGGGTGACTGACAGGAGAGGAAGGGATGAGGGAGCATAAGCATCTTTCCCAGATTCTTCAGGGCCTTTAGAAAATAAACATGATGATATAGAGTCCCCTTCGTATTCCAGTCCCATTGGAACGAGTCACCAAGTCCTTTGATCTGGAAGTGACTTCAGAAGACACCTTGTTCACAGTCCTTGAAGACATAGTCTGGCTGGCAGAATTTCCAACTCATGTTGTCCATAGCAGATATCACCAATAGATGACTGCATTTTCCCTCCATGGAGCCCTCACAGAGCTCATCACATGGTGCTCAGGCAGTCAAACCAAAGGATCAGAATCAGTCAGCAGAGGAGATGAGTTCTCTATGCCGTCTCACATTTATCCCCAAAGCCCACGGAGGCTGTGTAATTTGTTCAAGGTGACACAGCAAGTATGTGGCAGAGCAGGGGCTCGAATTCAGGCCTCTGATCTTTAAGGCCTGTGTTTCCCCCTCCACATCAGTGTTTCAGGAGGTGGAAGACTTGAAGCACTGGGAAGCTGTCCTGCATTGCATTAAACAACATTGCCACATAGGGAGGAAATCATGCTTCCCTTTTCAACTCTCCATTAGTACTTCTAAATACCTCAAGAAGGAAGTGTCAATTTAACCCTGTATAGTACATTTTATATTCTCTCTCTCTCTCTTTTTTTTCCAAGAGGCCAGGGGTTCAGATATTGTTGGCGGACAAATCTAGCTAGGATTCAACAATATTGTTTTATTTTTATTTTGCGGCTCCTATTTAATGCTTGCTTATGGCAAGTCTGCCGGCTTTCCATTTTTGGAAACTTCCATTTTAAATTTTCTATTTTTAAATGCATTTACTTTGGTAGTGCAAGAGTGATCTAATTTTAAGGAAATATCTTAAAGAGGACCACACATGATACACACAAGGGGATGGCAAAGTTGTGTGCATCCTGCGCGGACGCCCGAGATGTGGGAAATCCGGGGAGGGGCCCCGTGTGAGGGTGCTGCCCCTTTGCCTCCTGCAGGAGCTGTCCGCGGAGCAGATCGCCTCCCTGGGTCCGGAGAACGCCGCGGCGGTGACCCACGCCCAGCGCCGGCGGCTCAGTCCACTGCAGCTGCAGAGCCTCCAGCAGGCGCTAGATGGCGCCAAGACTCACTCCTGGCAGGACGCGCCCGCTAGCGCCGGTCCCACTAGAACCTCATCCTCGCGTTCTCCCGCAGGTGAGCAGAGCCGCCCTCTGCCCCGCGTCCCAGCCCCACTCTCCTTCCTTGTCCTCCCTGTCAGGCCTGGGGTGGGGAGGTTCTTAAGATTCAGAGCGAGGTCTCTGACAGTCACTGGGGATTCTGCCCTCAGTGAAAAACCCAAAGTCCCTATCAAGCTTCCCTACCAAGCTTCAGAATTAGTGATTCTCAACTATGGCTGCCCTTGGGTGGGGGGCATTAAACATCTTCCAGTTCTCCCGCCCCTACCCAGAACGCATAACATCAGAAACTCAGGACTAATTTCATTTTAGCCGCTCCTTTGCAAACTCCCTCCTCACTATCCAATAATAATGAACTATTATTATTATTATTATTTTGACTCAGAGTCTCGCCCTGTCGCCCAGGCTGGAGTGCAGTGCCGCGATCTCGGCTCACTGCAACCTCCACCTCCCAGGCTCAAGCGATCCTCCCACCTCAGCCTCCCAGTAGCTAGGATCACAGGTGTGTGCCACCACACCTGGTTAATTTTTGTATTTTTAGTAGAGATGGGGCTTCACCATGTTGGCCAAGCTGGTCTTGAACTCCTGACCTCAGGTCATCTGCCCACCTCAGCCTCCCAAAGTGTTGGGATTACAGGCGCGAGCCACCAAGCCTGGCCTGTCCAATATTAATTAATTCAACCCATGTTTACTGGGCACCTACTATGTTCCAAGTCCGCAGTAGGGGCTGGGAATACAGAGGTGACCAAGATAGATAAGGCCCTCTTGTAAATGAAGAAGATATTTCAAATCTGACAAGACCAGGGAGGGTGATAGTGACTGAGGGCTGAGCTAAGATAGAGAAGCCTCCCCAGGGAGTGGCATTGGATCCTGGGAACATGGCCTTCTTTCCTTTTTCTCCCCCATGCCTTTCTTACAGCTCTCCCCATTTCCCCTTCACTTTCTCACTTCTTTGTGATAACTTCTGTTCTTAACACCACATTTGGACCATGCTCTGGGGAGATAGCTTCTAACAAGATGGGGAACAGAGATGTTCCCTGCCCTCATTGAGCTCTCAGTGCAGCCTGGCGGGGAGGGAAGACATGTACCCTGGTGAACATGAGGCAGGTGCTGGGTGCTGAGATGGGGAACACACATGGGTCAGGAAACCTCCTAAAGTCAGTGATGTCTCAGGTGAGACACAAGGTGAGAAGAAGATGGGCTTAGCGAGGTAGACAGTGTCTCAGGAGTAGGTACCGGCATGGGCAAGTGCCCAGAGAAGTCAGAGGACTTGGTGCTTGACTAAAACCTCCACTCCACCTTTTCCTGACTTGAATGTCTCCCTGTCCTGCCTTCACATAGGGATGGTGAATTGGAGTATTCCCCATTTCTACAGCCACAAGTGGCCAGAGGTGGCACTTGAAAACATAAATCATGCCTTTTGATGTATTATATTATTACTTTAAAACACTTTTCATTGAGGCTGGGCACATTGGCTCATGCCTGTAATCCTAGCACTTTGGGAGGCCGAGGTGGGCGGATCACCTGAGGTCAGGAGTTTTGAGACCAGCCTGGCCAACATGGCAAAACCCCGTCTCTACTAAAAATACAAAAATTAGCCGGGTGTGGTGGGGGGCACCTGTAATCCCAGCTATTCGGGAGGCTAAGGCAGGAGAGTTGCTTGAACACTGGGGGCAGAGGTTGCAGTGAGCTGAGATCATGCCAGTTCACTCCAGCCTGGGCAAAAGAGCAAAACTCCATCACAAACAAACAAACAGCAACAAAAAAAACTTTCCATTGAAATATGATATGCATATATTTGAAAGTTATTTGTAAATGTTATAGCGTTTTGCATGAATAGATAATATGTGCAATAGATAATGCACAGGGTTCCGAATATATAAAGTCTGCAAGGCATGTGGTGAAATCTTTTCCTCCAGCCCCTGTCCCCCAGCCACCCTGTTCCCTCCCCAGAGGCAACCAATGTTAGCAGCTTCTTGTGTATTTGTCCAGAGATATTCTATGCATACACAGCAAATCAAATATAGATGATCTCTGCACTTTTCACAAAAGCTTATTATACACCTTATTCTGCACCTTGTATTTTTCACCTAACAATATACTTTGGAGGGAGTTCTGTATCTGTGCACAGGAGCTGTGCCATTGTTGGTTTTATGGCTATGCCGTAACTGTATTCAACCAGAGGTCTGTAGATGGACCTTGCAGTTGTTTCTATTTTTTTTTTTTTTTTGCTGTTATGAACAATGCTGCAGCTCCTGACCTGATATAATTTGCATCTGTGCAAGTATGTCTGTAGGATAAACTCTTCAAAGTGAGATTGCTAGATCACAGGGTCTGCATTTATAATTTTGATGGATGTTGGTCGGATGTGGCAGCTTATGCCTGTAATCCCAGCACTTTGGGAGGCTGAGGCAGGTGGATCACTTGGGGTTAGAAATTTGAGATGAGCCTGGCCAATATGGTGAAACCCCGTCTCTACTAAAAATGCAAAAATTAGCCAGGTGTGGTGGCACATGCCTTAGTCCCAGTTACTAGGGAAGCTGAGGCAGAGGAATCGCTTGAACCTGGGAGACAGAGGCTACAGTGAGCCGAGATGGCGCCATTGCACTCCATCCTGGGTGACAGGGCGAGACTCTGTCTTAAATTTTTTTTTTTAATGGATGTTGTCAAATCCCCTGCAGAAAGGTGTGACCAGTTTTCCCTTGAAACAGCAGTGTCAGAAAGTGATGAGGGCCCCTTAAAAAGATGTTTCCTGCATGTCCCTGGCTGGGCAAGATCCTGGATGCCCCTCCTTCATTCACCCCAAGGGCCTAAGTGAGGGCTGCCATTGGATGAACCCTTCCTATGGACCAGAGCCCTAATCTTTTCTTTCCTAAAGTTGCTTAATTATCAGAATCACCTGGGAGAGATGCTTAAAATACAAATTCCTGGGTCTCCTGGCAGACTTGCTAAATCAGAATCTCCAGGGGATCCTGGAATTGGTGTTTCTAACAAGCTCCCTAGTACATGCTGACTGACACAATCTCATTTAATTCTCACTCCCCCACCCCTCCTCCTCTTTGGGGATCATTGTTCCCATTTAAGAGACGAACAAATCAAGGCTCTGCATCAAGTGGCCCCAGAGAGAGACTCGGGGAGTTGGACATCATGTGTCTACCTTCTGCTTGCTGCCAGAACTTCATGTGTACTCTTATTTTGTATTTGCTTTTAGGAGCTCTCCAGTCGTGGGGTCTTTGGCTTGGTTGTCCCCTGCTGGTTCTAATGGCCAAGCTCCTGTGGTGAGTGGCCTGAGCGCATCGTCCTGTGTTGCCCCAAGCAGCTGGCCAACATGTGTAGAGACAGGATGCTCCAGATGGTGGGACACCCTTCCCTGGATCCAGACCCTCATCTAGGGCAGGGAAACCCTGGGGCCTTGATGGTGAAAATGCACCCCAAATGAAAAATAATTATTAAAAATGATCTTGCAAATTATTTTTAATTTTTTTAAATTTTAATTTTCATTAGTACATAGTAGGTATATATATTTATGGGGTACATGAGATGTTTTGATACAGGCATGCGATGTGTAATAATCACATCATGTAAAATGGGGTATCCATTACCTCAAACCTTTATCCTTTGTGTTACAAACAATCCAATTGTACTCTTTTAGTTATTTTAAAATGTGCGATTAAATTATTATTGACTATAGGGTCGGGTGCAGTGGCTCATGCCTGTAATCCCAGCACTGTGGGAGGCCGAAGCAGGTGGATCACCTGAGGTCAGGAGTTCAAGACCAGCCTGGCCAACATGGTGAAACCCCATCTCTATAAAAATACAAAAATTAGCTGGACATGGTGGTGTGCGCCTGTAATTCCAGCTACTCGGGAGGCTGAGGCAGGAGAATCGCTTGAACTGAGGAGCCAGAAGTTGCAGTGGGCAGAGACCATGCCACTGCTCTCTAGCCTGGGTGACAGAGTGACGTTATCTCAAAAAAAAAAAAAATTACTGTTGACTATAGTCATCCTGTTGTGCTATGGAAAAGTAGGTCTTACTCATCTTTCTGTTTTTTTTGTACCCGTTAACCATCTGCCTCCTCCCCACCAACTCTCCCATTACCCTTCCCAGCCTCTGTTCACTCTCCTTCTACTCTATCTCCATGGGTTTAATTGTTTTGATTTTTGATCTTGCAAATTCTTAAGCCCACTCATCTCCTCAGCAGGAAGCCCTTCTCTGTCCCATTGCAGCCTCTTTTGTTTTCCAGCTTGGAGACAGAGAACCTGTGGGGAAGGAAGGGTGTTTTCTGTTAACAGCACGAGACCCTTACAATCAAGTTGCTGCCCTCACTTTAGAGAGATACCAGAGAGAGGCAGTGCAAGAAAAGGCACCATTTTAGCCAGGGCCTCATCTAGTTTCTACTTGGGCTTAATTTCACTTTCTTGAAGCTACAGGCTACATTGGATTTCTCCTCTACGATATTTAGCAGAGCTGAAATAAATGAATCCCTGAGCAGAAGCCAATATTCTTGCCTGATTGCTGGGACTAATTGATGTTTTGGTGGGCATTGCATTGGTTGGAAGTTAAAACATTTAACATGGCTCAACGTTAAATCAATTTAAAAATACATTTTTCAGGTGTCTTCCATTTCCTTGGGACTCAGCTGAATGGATGGCTGTGAAGTTATCATTAAACTCTCAAAATATTCCCTGTTTTTGGTGGAGATGGTGGTGGCTCTTCTGGTTTTAAGTTGCTCTGGGCTTTGGGGAATTGGTTGAAATAAAAAATAAAAGTACATTGGGTAAGTCAGTCACTGATGTGATCCTGGCGGGCTGAGAAAACTCCACCCACTGGCTCGATCCTGCTAGAATGAAGTTACTTCCGGGAATTGCCAGGATGCTTTTAGCCTTAGGTTTAGGAAGTCAGGGCTCAGGGAAGGGGGGCAGCAGTGGTGTTTGCAAACACCTTCTCGAAGACAGCATCACAGCTGCTTGTCAGGGCGTTTCCCTGGTGGCATCCTAGGTGCTTCTGTTCTGCCATCAGCACACCTTGGGTTCTCCTCCTAGTCACCTATCCACAGTAGACATCTCATCTGGAGGTAAGAAAACTGCATGTTTCCGAAAATCTTGGTGTCCCTAAAAGGCGGTGGATTTTACAAAGCGTCATGAGTAGGTGTTGCAGAGGCTGGAGTGTATTTTCAGAGGTCACGTGGTTTTATAGAAAACTAAGACTGCAGTGTGAAAGGTGTGATCCTGTGATCCTGCACGTGTTATTTAATGTCTGACTTGGTTTTCCTTCATCCTGGCAGGGAAGTAGCAGCAAATGGGTGCTCCTCAGGTACAGAACATTAATTTTTTTTGTTTTTGTTTTTGAGATGGAGCCTCACTCTGTCACCCAGGCTGGAGTGCAGTGGCATGATCTTGGTTCGCTGCAACATCCACCTCCCGGGTTCAAGTGATTCTCCTGCCTCAGCCTCCTGAGTAGCTGGGATTACAGGCATGCGCCACCATGCCCAGCTAAGTTTTGCATTTTTGGTGGAGACGGGATTTCACCACGTTGGCCAGGCTGGTCTTGAACTCCTGGCCTCAAGTGATCCGCCTGCCTTGGCCTCCTAAAGTGCTGAGATTACAGGCATGAGCCACCGTGCTTGGCCCAGAGCATTAATTTTCTTACAAACAGCAGCCCCCAGTTTAGCTGGGCTGGACCAGCTGCTTGGAGAGGGGTTCTTGATGAAAACGTGTCTGCACAGACTCCCATGAGGATGTCCTTGGATCTCAATCGGTATTCTCACTTTCTGCCAGTCTTGGATTATCCTGGACAAGAAAAAGCAAACAGTAACAAAATCCACTCTCCTGCGAGTCAGGCTTCACACTGCCGACTTCATGTAGCTTTTGTATTTCATCTCTCTTTCTGGTCATTTGTTTCTGATCTAATTCCTGTTTCTTTCCTCCCATCTTGAATAATGACTCCCATTACAGAGGGCTGACTCTGGGTCAGGCTGTCTAAGGGCTTTCACTGTGTCATTAGCTCATTTCATTGTGGCCATGCTCCTGCCAGGTAGGCACTGTTAGGATTCCCATTTTCCAGATGAGGGGACTGAGTGTGAGAGAGGTTAAGGAGCTCTTGTCTAAGCTTCCCAGATAGGACAAATTTGAATCCTGACTTCTTTATCTCTGCACTGTGCTGCCTCCTGGACAGGTGTCCTTTAACTTCTCTAATAAGTCAGATCAGAGAGAGATTCTGTAAATCCCTTCACCTCCTCCTCTGGTGGGAGGACAGTTTGCCTCACAGCACATATAATTGGTGATCGCCCCAGGCAGGAAGACAAATCTAGCTGATGCCCTGCAGGAACCCCAGGGTCTCAGGTTGAAATGCACAGTCCTTTGCATGCAGGAAAGCAGCAGGTCACGCTGGCAGGTGCTGCTCCCATTCACCTTTCAATGTCAGCTCTCCTGATGGATTTCTAGCCTCCATCCTTCACAGCCCTCCTCAGCTGGAGGCAGGGATCACTGGCACTTGTATGCAGATCACAGCATGTTGGCTCTGGTTCTTATCAGTCAGGACCTGTGCCATTCTGGCTTCTAAATTTTTTGAATATCACCCCAGTTAGATCCTTTTGCAGAATCTCTACCTTCAGGCCCGCTCCAGACACCAAGCCTGGCTTGATGGGGGCTGCAACTTCAGCCTAACATCCAGTGGAACTTACAATGAAGTTATCCTCTCTAGTCCTGGTACCCAGGGGTTCAGCCACAGCTGCTTGTGATGGGCTGTACTACCAAACAGAGGTTACTGTGTCTTGGGGCATGTGTGTGCTTACTCTGCTTTACTGAAGTCATGGAAGAGAGTTACAACACAGTAAACAACTTAATATTCAATACTAGGCATTTTTTGTCCTTAAAAGTCCTTTGCCCACTTTTGCCTCTTGAGGGGCCTTTAGAAATATTGGGCCAGGCGTGGTGGCTCATACCTATAATCTTAGCACTTTGGGAGGCTGAGGCAGGAGGATCACTTGAGGCCAGGAGTTCATGTCCAGCATGGGCAACATAGGGAAATCCTGTCCCTACCAAAAAAAAAAAAAAAAAAAAAAAAAAAAAAAAAGGCTGGGGGCAGTGGGTGGGTCACTCCTGTAATCCCAGTATTTTAGGAGGCTGAGGCGGGCAGGTATCTGAGCTCAGGAGTTCAAGACCAGCCTGGGCAACATGGTGAAACCTCGTCTCTAGTAAAATACAAAAAATTAGCTGGGAGTGGTTGCACGTGCCTGTAGTCCCAGCTACTTGGGAGGCTAAGCAGGAGAACTGCTTGAACCTGGGAGGTGGAGGTTGCAGTGAGCTGAGATTGCACCACTACATCTGAGTCTGGGCAACAGAGTGAGACTCTGTCTCCAAAAAAAGAAAAATTAGCCCCCGCCTGGTGGCACACACCTGTAGTCCCAGCCACTCAGGAGGCTGAAGTGGGAGGATCGGTTGAGCCCAGAATTTTGAGGCTGCAATGAACTATGATTGTGCCACTGCACTCCAGCCTGGGTGATGGAATGATCTATATCTATCTGTGTATGAGATATATATCTCATATACAGAAAAGCGTAATACAAACTACCTATGGTATTGGAAGAATCCCAGGAATCGTTGGAGGTCTTGAATGAATTTGAAGAGGGTACTCGTTCAAGACTAGTTTAAGACACACATTTTGTAGATGTCCCAACTAGACACTGTGTGGCCTGGGAATATAGATGTAGATAGATATCTATATCTATCTATATATGAGATATATAGCTCTCATATCTTATATATATGAGATATATTTCATATATATAAGAAAATAATATATATGAGATACGTATAACTCATGTATATGATAATATATCATATGTATAAGATAATATATGAGATATATATCAAAGATTATATTTAGATATATAATATATCTAGATTATATATAGATATATAAGCTATATATAATCTTATATATGATATATATTTCTTATAAATATATTATAACATAATATAATTGAAAAAAAGTAAACATTGCAGAATTCCCAGGCCACACAGTATCTAGTTGGGACATCTACAAAGTGTGTGTCTTAAAGTAGTCTTGAACTGAGTACCCTCTTCAAATTCATTCAAGACCTCCAACGATTCCTGGGATTCTTCCAATACCATAGGTAGTTTGTATTACGCTTTTCTGTGGTCGCTTCCCCGATTACTGATTGTTTCAGAAAGAGACATGGGCTTGGCTGATCCATGGAGATATCTGCAGCTTGCCAGCAGCTGAAGTCTTTATTTGCCTTTATCTCCGTTGTGGCCTCTGATGAGCCAGACTACAGAGATGCTGATGAAATCTGGGAGGCAATGGTGGAGGCTGTAGTTTCCCAGGAGAACTCTGGCCCTGGGGAATTCCTTCCAGTCTCTGAGTCCCTGTGGCACATCTCCATGTGTGGCGGACTAGGTGATTGCTCCTAGTGATTCTGCTTAGTTCCTTTATTAGAATTATAAGCTTTTTGCCATGTGACTTTGTAGTACATCTCAATAGGTAGAGTCTAATTCCTTGCCCTTCTAACTTTGGGCTTTGGTCATTGGAATGTGAGCAGACACATTTTCCCCCAGCAGAAGTTTTAAATGTGCTGCATGATTTGACTTGACCTCTTGGCAATTGCTTCTCATGTGAAGGGACATGTGGAGCAGACCTGAACTCAACCCAAACCTTGGAGCCAAGCTGAGCTCAGCAGAACCTAGCTGAGCTCAGCCAAGCCAAACCCAGTGTAATCACAGCCAATCTGAAGACTCAGAAGCAAGAAACAAATATTTGTTATAGGGATCTATTGGGATTTGAGAGCTATTTCTCTTTTTTTAAGTTATTGTTATTTTTTGAGATGGAGTCTCACTTTGTCACCCAGGCTGGAGTGCAGTGGAGTGATCTCGGCTCACTGCAACCTCTGCCTCCTGGGTTCAAGCACCACTAGTGCCTCAGCCTCCCGAGTATCTGGGATTACAGGCAGTGCCACCTTGCTTGGCTAATTTTTGTATTTTTTGGTAGAGACAGGGTTTCGCCATGATGGCCAGGCTGGTCTCAAACTCCTGACCTCAGGTAATCCACCCGCCTTAGCCTCCCAAAGTGCTGGGGTTATAGGCATGAGCCACCGTGCCAGGCCTAGGGAGTTCCTTGTTATTGTAGCAAAAGCTGTCTTATATATCATGTCATTAACATGCCCACCTTACACAGTGCTGGTCCCATTCTGATGACAGGAAGATGATACATTTTATCCTTTACCCTTACCATCATTTACTATGTACACTATGCCCATTTGTCAAGCTCTTCTGCCTCCAAAAAGTGCTATGGTACTTGATACCCGATAATAGTCTTTAACTTCTGTCATGCACCCATTTATTTCCCATCTTCAAGACCAAGGGTCGTAGAAATCACAGGAAAGCTGGGGTCAGAACTTATACTCATAACATGGTTGTTCCACCTACTTTGCCATGGCAGACTTTGTATCTCATGGCTCACTTAACTACTTCCCTTGAGCACTCACTGTTCTAACACTCATTTCCCCCAAATCTACAACTTAGCTTCTCTCCCTGGTGCAGTCAAGGCCCTTTTACCTGGAGTCTCCCAGAAGGATTTTCAGGTCATGTGCTATATTAGCTCATCCTTAGGGAAGAACGTTCCAATTGAAGAAGCCATCTGACTCTCCCCCAGGTGTGTGGTCATCTTCTCTGCTCATGCTGGAAGATGGAAGACCCTTTGAAGTAACTTAGTTCAACAAATCTGCCCTTAAGTTGTCTTCCCCCTGGGGATCTGCCCCATCTTCGTCTTCTCCCTGCCACACCAGGTTCATTGAGAGCTCACTCTCCCCCACGGTCCTCTCTCATGCTCCCTGGCATCTTGCAACAGGGAACTTGAGATGCTGATGGGCAGTTGGGTGGATTCTCAATGGTGGCCAGTCCAGCTCCAGGACCTGCCATACTGGCAAGGGTTTTGGGTTGGAGGAATCGGCATGACAACTCACCAGCCTGTATTCCACCCGAATGTAAGCTTCTGTGGGCAGGAGGCTCATCTGTCTTGTTCGCTGCCATGTTGCTACTGCCAAGCAGTCCCCAGTAGGCTGGTCATGGCTGGTGTCCATTACATATTTGTGCAGCATATGGGTGAACATACACACGTCCTTTCTGAAACAAAATTGAACTCAGTAGGACACTCACTCAGGCAAAGATTGGGAAGCTTTAGATCCATTCTGGAGGAGGGGGAGATAGAATCAGAATATATTCATTTAACAAACATTTATGGGGAACCTACTTTTTTGGCAGACCTCATGCTACAGAAACAACAGTACACAAAGCCCTGCTTTCATGAAGCTTACAGTCTACCGGGGACTGGGAGAGGCGGACCATAAACACACACATGCACACATATACATGTTCACATCCACACACCCCTGTATCAGATAGTGATAAATATTATGGAGCAAAGAAATCTGGAGGAAAGGATCGAGAGCTCCAGATGGTGATGGTAGGGATAGGGGTGGTGCAGAACAAGCTTTAATAAAACATTAGGTGGTCAGTAAAGGCTCTGCCCTCAAGAGGGATACAATCGCTTCTTAAAGGTCCCACCTCTCAATGCTCCCACTTTTGGGATTCAGTTTCAACATGAGTTTTGGGGGGTCATTTGAATCAAAGCACATGGTGTCCACCATCAGCTCTAAGTTTACAGCCTAACACTTCCGCAATAACAAGAAAGAGAGAGAGAGAGAGAGAGAGAGAGAGAGAGAGAGAGATCTTTCCTAGTTACTTCAGCAAAAGTCCCCAGGTTAGGTCTGATTGGGCTTGCTTGAGGCAGGTGCCCATTTCTGATCTGACCACTGTGGCCCAGACAATGGTTACACCAATTGGCCAAGGCTAGGTCTGATTACCCTAAATCCTACCACAAATAACATTGACTGAGCAGGAAAGGACTGATTCCAGAAGAGATCAATTACTAACATGTGGTAGGCAGAATTCTGAGATGGCCCCCAAGATCCCTGCTCCCTGGTGTGCACAATCTGTGCAATCTCCTCCTCTCCAGTGCTGCACAATTAGAGGATGTGATGGAATAGCCCTGCCCTGACTGGGCTACTAGTTAGTTGATTTTGAGTTAATCAAAAGGGAGAGCATCTGGGTGGGCCTGACCTAATCAGGTGCACCTTTAAAAGGGACTAGGCCCTTCCTGAAGTCAGAGATGCTCAAAGTGTGAGAAAGCCTATGGAGAGGCCACAGGGCAAGGACCTAGGTTTGTCTTTAGGAGGTGAGAGAGGTCTCTGGTCGATAGCCAGCAAGAAAAAAGACCTCAGTCATATTGATGCAGGGTAGATGAACTCCAAACTGGGGCTTAGCCTGTGAGGGTTCTTGGCCTTGCCCAGGAAAGAATTCAAGGGCAAGCTGGAGGTAGAAGAAAACAGCTTTACTGAAGCGGTGGTGTTACAGCTCCTGCAGTGTTACAGCTCCATGACGGCTCCTGCAGAGCAGGGCTACCCTGTAACCAGAGAGTGGCATCTCTGGGCAGTTTTGCAGTCATATTTATACCTGCTTTTAATTATATGCAGATTCAAGGGTGGTTTCTGCAGAACTTTCTAGAGAAGGGGTAGTAACTTTAGGTCATCAGGTCATTGCCATGGAAAGGGGTGGTAACTCCCAGGTATTGCCGTGTCAATGGTAAACTGACCTGGCACACTGGTGGGTGTGTCTTAGGGAAAGCTGCTTCCCTCCCAGCTCTGTTTTAGTTAGTCCTGAACTTGGTCCGGTGTCCAAGCCCCACCTCCAGAGTCAAGTCCTGCCTCCTATCTCAAGATAATCAGAAGGAGCGGAAGTCTGAAAACAACCAATCATCCTGGAAGAAGACCCTGAGCTTTAGATAAGACTACAGCTCCAGCTGACACCTTGATTTCAGCCCCATGAGACCCTGAGCAGAGAATCCGGTTGAGCCGTGCTTGGATTTTGACCTATAGAGCTGTGAGATAATACATTTGTGTTGCTTTAGTTGATGCACTTCTGTCAATTTGTTACACAGCAATGAGAACTGAATAAGGGAGAAACAAATGCTGGGTAGACAGAAGCGACGGATGTGCATGAGGAGCTGAGACAGACAGCTGCCTGGAATTGAGCCTTACTTAACCTGGAAGGTATGACTATGTCTGTGAATCCTCATTGGAAGAAGTTTTATTGGTCAGACATCCTGTTCCATGTCAGCCTCTCCCTCTAGGATCTTTTGCTTCCTGCAAGGAGTGGGGCCTGGTATGTTTATCTTTTGCATTTGTCATTCATAGTGACTCAGCATCAATTCATCCTTTCCCACAGTATTGTGAATTTCCTTTGGGGAAGCACACTTTTGGTACTCTCCAGTGGATTAGGTGGCATTAGCCCCACCTTCACTCCAGTGCTGGGCCCTGATTCCCTTAAGTCAATTAGCATACTCCATTCCCCAGGCCATAATGACTGATTCAGGGATGGACCAAAGAGAGCCAGGCTTTGGATTTTTTATTCAACTGTCAGAGTAAAGAGAAAGAACTTCTCTTTCCTCTGCACATGAATTGGGCAGCCATCTTGAAATAGTAAGAAGAGAAGCTTTATAAAGGAATGAAATTAAGAAATGGAGTGAGAAGAATGGAGTTAAGAAATGGTGTGAGGTCAGGCATGGTGGCTGACACCTGTAATCCCAGAACTTTGGGAGGCTTAGGTGGGTGGGAGGATTACATGAGCCCAGGAGTTCGAGACCAGCCCTGGCAACATAGTGAGACTCCCTGTTTCTATAAATAATGAAAAGAATTAGCTGGGCATTGTGGTGCATGCCTGTGGTCCTAGCCACTCAGGAGGCTGAGGTGGGAGGATTGCTTGAGCCTGGGAGGTTGAGGCTATAGTGAGCTGAGATTGCACCATTGCACTCCAGCTTGGGTGACAGAGTGAGATCCTGTTAAAAAAAAAAAAGAGAAAGAAGGAAAGACAAAAAGAAAAAGAAAGAAAGAAGGAAAGAAAAAAAGAAAAAAGAAAGGGTGTGAGAAACACTGGGTCCTGGCAAAAGATGTTGGCACCTGCATCAAACCATACCTGCAGGTTTGCCCCTGGACCTTTCAGTTATATGAACAAATATGGGTTGGATTTCCTTATACTTACAAGTAGTTGGGTTGCTTTCTTTTTTCCTGTTTATTTTTCTTGCTCATGAGATGCACACAAATTGTTTTTTATTATGGGTATAAGTGATCACAAAGTGCCCATTTTCTCTATAACCTGAACAGAGAGAGTATGGGCATCTCAGCTTCACTGGGCCACAGCATCAATCTTTACCCTGAATTCAGCTTTGATGCACCTGAGTGCCTGATGAGCTACAGGGATCCTGTTTCTGAAAACTTTACGTGGGTGACAAAATAGCAAAATAGTGTGTGAGGCCTTTGCCTTGAGACCTGGGTTTGTTCCGGAGACAACTCTAATGGAGGAGAGAGATTTGCTCCTCCCACTCTCCTCGCTGACATTTGGCCTCAGGGGACTGAGTCATACCCGACTGACTCCATGTATATAAGTGTGAATGGCAGTCTGGTAGTCCAACCAGGTGATGCTTCCTGTCCCCGGAGGGTAGCCAATATCATCTCCTGCTTTTCTTCCTTCTGATTTAGCATCACTCAGGGCAGGAATTCTGGGCTGGAGGAGAGGGGCCTATAGTTCTCTTGTATGGTCTGAGTTTGCTCACACAGCAACCTGCTCTTATCTAGTCTGATTTTTTTCAACAGCATCCTGTTGTACCTTGTCATCTGGCTCTGTGGACAGGCCTTTCTGGTCTTCACACTGATGCAGGTTTGTTAGTTTTTTTCCTCCTTGTTAATGTATAGTCAGGAATTTAACATCCTTGACTGTCCTCATCATCGGACACCCTCACTAGTCTTGTCAAGTCTTAGCTATACAAATGAAAGCATGGAAGCTTGGAGGTGATATGTCATGATGCTGAATCCTAGGACTGAGCCCCGTGAATATGCTGTTAAGGTTCTTCAATCCCCACTTGCCTTCTGGGCCTGCCGCTCTTGCAACATCCTTGTGTCATGCTCAAAGACCTTTGCAGTGCCCAGTTCTGTGTTTCCTAACAGCGTCTTTGTTTTGGGTGCATTCTTTGATATTGGATGCTTGAAATGGACTAATCAGGTCCTGGCAGGCAATGGATGCACATTAAAATCAATTACTTGAGGAGAGTTTAGCAAAGAGAGTATTTACAGAAGCATGGACTGGGTTAAATGAAACAAAGGATGTGAGGAACTCTGGAACTGTCAACAGCACAGAGCCCTTACCAACCAGGTCTAAAAGGGAAGGGGAGAGAGACTCCTGGAATCCAGAAAGAACTGTAGTGTGATTACTCAACCTTCCTACCCACTGCATAGACAAAACCAGTTTGCTGAGACTGTGGTATTGCAGTGAAGAAAGAGTTTAATTAACTTGAGGCTGGCCATGTGGAAGAACTGGAGTTATCACTCAAATCAGTCTCCCCAAAAACTTGGAGGTTGTGGTTTTTCTTTTCTTTTCTTTTTGAGGTGGAGTTTTGCTCTTGTTGCCTGGGCTGGTGTGCAATGGTGTGCTCTTGGCTCACCACAACCTCCGCCCCCCGGGTTCAAGTGATTCTCCTGCTTCAGCCTCCCAAGTAGCTGGGATTACAGGCATGTGCCACCATGCCCGGCTAATTTTGTATTTTCGGTAGAGACAGGTTTTCTCCATGTTGGTCAGGCTGGTCTCGAACTCCTGACCTCAGGTGATCCCCTCACCTTGGCCTCCCAAAGTGCTGAGATTACAGGTATGAGCCACCGCACCCAGCCTGTGGTTTTTCAAAAATAGTTTGGTGGGCAGAGGACTAGGCAATGGATGCTGCTGATTAGTTGGGGATGCAATAGAGGTGTGGGAAATGGTCCTGGTGCTCTGAGTCCACCTCTGGGTAGGGGCCACAGGACCAGTTGAGTCATGAGTTACAAGTCCAGGTGGGGTCAGTTATTTGCCAGAATGCAAAGTCTGAAAAACATCTCAAAAGACCAATCCTAGGTTCTATAATAGTGATGTTATCTATAGGAGCAATTGGGGAAGTCACAAATCTTGTGACTTATAGAACAATGGCTGGTTCTAAAACTATGCCTAAGACTATGCCTCCATTTTAGCAGAATTCAGGCCCCTCCCTAATCTTGTGGCCTTTCCTTAGTTTTACAAAGGTGGTTTCAGCCCTGAAACAATGAGGGAATCAGTTTTAGTGGAACACTATTATCATCCTTGCTTTCAAATTAAACTATAAACTAAATACCTATCCAGGTGCAGTAGCTCACACCTGCAATCTCAGCACTTTGGGATGCCAAGGCAGGCAGATCGCTTGAGCCCAGGAGTTCAAGACCAGACTGGGCAACATGGCGAAGCCCCATCTCCACAAAAAATACAAAAAAATTAACATGCGCCTGCAGTCCTAGCTACTCTGGAGGCTGAGGTGGGAGGACCACCCTGAGACCAGGGAGTTCGAGGCTGTGGTGAGCCGTGATCATGCCACTGCACTCCATCCTGGGCGACAGAGTGAGGCCTTGTCTCAAAAAGCAAATAAATAAAATAAAAAAATTCATCTCATGATTAACTTGGCCTATGCCCAGGAATGAGTGAGGACAGTTAGCCTGTGAGGCTAGAAACAAGATGGAGTCAGCAACACCAGATTCTCTCACTGTCATAATCTTTGCAAAGGCAGCTTCAGTAGCTGTGAGAAAGAGCCGCCCAACAAGGGCTGTAGCAGCTTTTCCCAGTGGCGCCAATGCTTCCCTAGTCCAGGCTCTGGGGAATTCTCTCTTGGAAGACGCAGCAGGCTGGAGTTGAGGGTGGGGACTTTAATCCTCCTCTGCACATTGCCAGGAACCACCTTTTCCCTTCCAGAGCAGACTTTCATTTTAAAAGCTATTTTGTGTTCATCTTCTGAAAGCCCATGTGTTTGCTCATTTCCAGGAGAATTTTTATGACTTCTACACTTTTAAAAAGCTCATGTGAAGCTGCCTGGCTTTCTGTCTAGGTTTTGGATACTTTCTTCTTGCGCCTCCAAATCCGCTGTCCGTTCTTCTCAACTCTGGTGTGCCCAGGGAGCCAGACTGGCCAGTGGGGACCCAGTAGGAGATTGGAGGGTGGAAGGGGAGGTCAGGGTATTTATTCCTTTGGCTTCTTTCCTTCCGGGCTGAGAGTTTGCAGTAGCTCAGTTTCTCCCTAAAGGCCACAGTTCCTGTTGGGCAGTTCTGTCTTACAGCGACAGCTCTCTCTGGGTTCCAGGATTCTCTCTCTCTCTCTCCTTCCCTTTTAGACCCCACTGTTGATAATACCAGCGTGCTCCACATCCTTGTTTTCTCTTAATCCTGTCCACACTTCTGTAAATAATCTCTTTCCTAAACTGTCCTCAATTACCCCATTGGAGTGTGCATCTGTTTTTTGCTGGGGCCTTGATTGCTCCATTTCAAACACCCAGTGTCAAAGAATTCACCCCTGAAGGCTGCAAGGGGAACCTCAGGGAAGCTTCTGCAATGTCTCTCTGTTTCCAGGTGGTAGTCCACCTCCGGCGTAGCCTGAACCAGGTCAATTAATGCTGCCTATTTTATATGATCAAGTTTGTCATTGAGGTCGTGAAGATGCATACCTCTTACTTCTGGCTTGGGGACAGTTGGGCACTGCCCCGTAGTTAATGACTGTGGATACAGTTCTCAAATTAATCTGGGTGTCAGCTGAGTCCATCAGCCAGTGAGTAGCCCCTGATTGCATGGCCAAGGAAAACCAAAACTTCACCAGGGTTTCTGCAAATGACTGTCTCAGGACTCCTTCTGGTTGCATGCTATCGATGTACCTCCTTGCCCCAGGTGTGAATCCTCTGAAATAATTCATAGTGGAACATTGTGGTAGACAGCTTCTAAGATGACCCCAAATGATCCCTGCCACCTCATATTCACGTCCTTTTGTGACCCCTTGCCCTGACTGTGGGCTGGACCTAGTGACTAGCTTTTATTTTTTTATTTTCACTTAAAAAATAATTTCTCGGCCAGGTACGGTGGCTCACGCCTGTAATCCTAGCACTATGGGAGGCTGAGGCGGGCGGATCACGAGGTCAGGAGTTCAAGACCAGCCTGGCCAACATAGTGAAACCTTGTCTCTACTAAAAAAAAAAAATGCAAAAATTAGCTGGGTATGGTGGTGCGCTCTTGTAGTCCCAGCTACTTGGGAGGCTGAGGCAGGAGAATCGCTTGAATCCAGGAGGTGGGGGTTGCAGTGAGCTGACAGTGAGCTGTCTCTTTTTTTGAGACAGGGTCTTGCTCTGTGGCCCAGGATGAGTACAGTGACACAATCACGGCTCACTGCAGCCTTGAACTCCTGGGCTCAAGCAATCCTCCCACCTCAGCCTTCCAAGTAGTTGGGACCACAGGTGCACATCACAATGCCTGGCTAATTTTTAATTTTATTGTAGAGAGGAAGTCTCCCTATGTTGCCCAGGCTGGTCTTGATTTCCTAGGCTCAAGTGATCCTTCTGCCCCAGCCTCCCAAAGTGCTGGGGTTACTGGCATGAGCCACTGCGAACAGCCTATAATTTCAACTTTTATTTTAGATGTAGGGGATACATGTGCAGGTTTGTTACATGGGTATGTTGTCTGTTGCTGATGTTTGGGGTATGACTGGTTCTGTCATCCAAATAGTGAGCATAGTTTGTCAGCCCTTTTGTCTCTCCCTTTCTCTCTCATCTAGCAGTCCCCGTTTTTTTTTTTTTTTTTTTTTTTTTTTTTTTTTTTGAGACAGAGTCTTGCTCTGTTGCCCAGGCTGGAGTGCAGTGGCATGATCTTGGCTCACTGCAACCTCCACCTTCCAAATTCAAGTGATCCTCATGCCTCAGCCTCCTGAGTAGCTGGGATTACAGGTGCTTGCCACCACGCCCTGCTAATTTTTGTATTTTTAGTAGAGACAGGGTTTTGCCATGTTGGCCAGGCTGGTCTTGAACTCCTGACCTCAAGTGATCCGCCCAGCTTGGCCTCCCAAAGTGCTGGGATTATAGGTGTGAGCCACCATGCCCAGCTGTAGTCCCCAGTTTTTATTGTTCATATGTTTATATCCATGTGTACCCAACGTTTAGCTCTTGCTTATAAATGAGAACATGCAGTATTTGGTTTTCCATTCCTACGTTAATTCACCTAGGAAAATGGCTGCCAGCTGCATCTATGTAGCTGCAAAGGGTATGATTTTGTTCCTTTTTATGGATGTGTAGTATTCCATGGTATATATGTACCACATTTTCTTTTTCCAATTCTCCATTGATGGGCACCTAGGTTGATTCAATGTCTTTGCTTTTGTGAATAGTGCTGCAATGAACATATGGGTGACTAGCTTTTAATCAGTAGAACACAGCAAAGGTGATGGCATTTCAGTTTGAGATTAGGTTACCAAACACACGGACTTCTGTCTTGCTAGCACACACTCTGTCTTGCCTTCTTGCTGATACTGAACCTAACTTGGGTCCCCCTGCCCAGCACAGCAAAACCAAACATTGATATTGGGATTGTAGCAAGAGGAAGTAGGGTATTTATTGGAGGGGCACCAAGCAAAGATAATTAGTTAATGCTTAAGTCCCAAGCTCCCGGATGGCTTATAGGTAAGGATTTGTAATTGCAGGAAGGCAGAGGTTACATGCAAAGTTATAAATCAATATATGGGAGGCTCTACATTGGTTTGACCTAAAAAGGCAGGACGTCTCAAAGTGGGAACCCATGGGTCAAAGGTAGATTTAAAGATGTTTTGATTTGTAATTGGCTTAGGAGGAGAAGCCTTGTCTAAAAATTTGAGATCAGTGGAATGTTAGTTCTGGCCTGGGGTGTGACTTCCTCTACTCCCCTTAGGAAGAAATTTAGAACTGAGAAAAGTGTTAAGAGTTTAGCCTTCAGGTCCCCCTTATCTGAGTTGTGTTGCTGGACCTTGTGTGTTGCTGGACCCATTTAGTGGGGAGTCCTCATTTTTGAAAAACAATCTATGAACATTAGTTTTTATAGGGAAGCCAAACATCCCATGATTTTAACTTTTTTGCCCATTATTCTAAGCTACTATTATCTTCTTGCTTATTAAGTTGTTTATTGATGTATTTATTTATTTCTGAGACAGAGTCTTTCTCCATTGCCCAGGCTGGAGTGCAATGGCATGATCTCGGCTCACTGCAACCTCCACCTCCTGGGTTCAAGTAATTCTCCTGCTTCAGCCTCCTGAGTAGCTGGGACTACAGGCATGCGCCACCACTCCTGGCTAATTTTGTATTTTCAGTAGAGATGGGGTTTTGTCATGTTGGCCAAGCTGTTCTTGAACTCCTGACTTCAAGTGATCCAACTGCCTCGGCTTCCCAAAGTGCTAGGATTACAGGCATGAGCCCCCGTGCCCGGCCTTATTTATTTTTTAAGGGCTAGCTAAGTGCCTGGAATTTTTCTTAAAGGAACTTAAGATTTTTCTTTATTTCTATGTTTGAGGGTGGGAGTGCTGCATGTCCCTAAGAGAGGTCCCTGTTCTGCCTCATTGCCTGCTTGCTCTGATAAATCAAGCTGTTGTGTTGTGAGCTGCCCTTCGGAGAGGCCCACGTGGCAAGGATCTGAAAGCGGCTTCTGACAACAGTTCATGGGAAACGAATCCTGCCAATAATCATGTGGGTGCACTTGGAAGTGGATCCTGCCCCAGTTGAGTCTTGAGATGAGACCTAGCTTACACCTAGATAGCAACCCATGGGAGACCCTGAAGCAGGGGGCCCATCTTCGAATTCCTAACCCACAGAAACTGTGAGATAATAAATGTGTTGTTTTAAGCCACTGAGTTTTGGAATAATTTGTTACACAGCAATAGATAGCCGATATAGCAGTGTAGACTTTAGTTGATGATTCCGGTGGGGAGACCAAAGTGAAATTTACATTGCACACTTCACAAAAAGTAACTAACTAACCAACCCATCAGTCATTTCTGTGCTTCCTCAGCCCTCTCAATGCTGAGGGCTCCTCTTTCTTGCTCTTGTTCTCTCTCAATATCATTTTCTAATTTGGCCATGTCTAGCTTCATTGCATATTATCTTTCTCTGGATTGTCAGTTTTTTCTGTGTCCATTTTGGCAGAGAATTTTAGTTTTTTATGATTTTTTTTCTTTAGAGATGGAGTCTCACTCTGTTGCCCAGGCTGGCCTCAAAGTCCTGGGCTTAAGCAATCCTCCCCACTTGGCCTCCCAGAGTGCTGGGATTACAGGCATGAGCCATCACACCTGGCCCTTTCTACTTCTACTCCCAAACGTGTTGGCCAACTCCTCAAGGTATTCAGCAGGAAAAAATCCTCTCTATTAATGCAGCGCACATTTCCTGGGCAGCAGTGTGGGTTATAGATACATGAAATATCTATTACATAAGTCTCTCAGCTTCTTCCTGCATATATTGCTATTCAACTGCTTAAAGCTATTGAAAAATTCATGCAAACAAAATTTTAATCTAACAGAGAAAATATCTTTGTGACATTGTTCAAATCAAGTTATATCATGTATGAAGGAGAAGCACATTCCACCGAGAAAAGCTTTTTAAACCCTCTGCTTTTTGACATTTTAACCAGTATGTTAGATAAGAAGGCTGGTATGGAAATATAGTTAGCAACATTGTTGGAAAATATAGGCTAGAAAAGAGTTCAAGAATATGTATCCATTGAACTTGATGAAATAATTTTAGAAGCTGAGGCTGTGAAATCTTGACAGCAAAACTGAAGAGACACTGTAGAGTTCCCATTTTGCAGATTTATATTTGGTTGGTTCATGCAGGCAGACTCCAGGAGAACTAAGACTTTGTTAAGTACCTAACACATACCCAGTAAGAAGGATAAATGTAGGTGTTCACATCAGGGTTTTAAACACGTGATCCAATAAATCAGCAAAAAGGCAGCAAAGCAATTGTAGTAATGGTTAAAAAAAAAAAAAAAGGAGTGGGGAAGACTTCAGGAGCAGGAATTGTATAAAAATACATCCAAATGTGGCTATTTCTGACTACTTCATTTAAATGTGAGCCTCTATCCGTTCTCACCTGGATTCCAGCAAGAACTTCCTAGCAGTTTTCTCTGTTTGAGATTTGCTTTCTTGGGGTCTATTTTCAACAAGGCAACTGGAATAATACTTAAAAAAAAAAGTATCAGGCTGGGCACGGGGGCTCATGCCTGTAATCTTGGTACTTTGGGAGGCTGAGGTAGGAAGGATCACTTGAGGTCAGGAGTTTGAGACCAGCCTGGGCAACATAGCTAGACTCTGTCTTTACAATACATAAATAAATAAGTAAATACATACATTAGTCAGGTGTGGTGGCACATGCGTGTAGTCCCAGCTGCTTGGGAGGCTGAGGTGGGAGGATCACTTGAGCCTGGGAGGTTGAGGCTGCAGGGAGATGTGTCCCTGCCACTGCATTCCAGCCTGAGTGACAGAGTGAGACCCTGTCTCCAATCTCTCTCTCTCTCTTCTATCTTCTATTTAATTTATCTATCTATCTATACACACACACGAAGTATCAGAACATTATTCATGATAGCCAAAAGGTTAAAAAAACCCCAAATGTCCATTAGCTGAATGGATAGTTAAATTGTTGTACAGTATATCCATACAATGAAACATTACTTGGCAATTTAAAAAATGAAGTATGAGTAGTCATATTTATAGAGACAGAAAGTACAATGGTGGTTGCCATACCAGGGACTGGGGTGGGGTGGGGAATGGGAATTGTTGTTTAATGGGTACAGAGTTTCAGTTTGGAGAGGTGACAAGAGTTCTGGAGATGGATGGTGGGTATGGTTACACAACAGTGTGAATATACTTACTGCCATGAAACGATACACTTGAAAATGGTAAAGATTGTTAAAAAAAAACTCAAAAGGACTGAAGTGCTGATATATGCTACAACATAGACGAACCTTGAAAATCTTATTCTAAGAAGCCAGATGCAAAATGTCACATGTAGTATGATTCCATTGATATGAAATGTTCAGAATAGGCAAATGTATAGAAAGTAGATTAGTGGTTGCCCAAGGCTGGGTAGGGGTTTTGCGGGAAGGGTTGAGAAAATGGGGAGTGATGGCTAATGGGTAAAGACTTAAATGGGTGATGGGATGATAAAAAGTTCTAACGTAGATTACGGGCAGGTGCTGTGGCTCATGCCTGTAATCCCAGCACTTTGGACCCGAGGCAGGTGGATCACTTGAAGCCAGGAGTTTGAGACAAGCGTGGCCAACGTGGTGAAACCCCATCTCTACTAAAAATACAAAACTTAGCCAGGCGTGATGGCACATGCCTGTAATCCTAGTTACTTGGGAGGCCAAAGTGGGAGGATCGCTTGAACTCAGGAGATGGAGGTTGCAGTGAGCTGAGATCACGCCACTGCACTCCAGCTCTGGACAATAGAGCTAGACTCTGTCTAAAAAAAAAAAAAAAATTATAATGATGGTTGTACTACATTGTGAATATATAAAAATCCATTGAATTGTAAACTTTAAATGGGTGAATTTTATGTCAATTAAAGCTATTTTTTAAAAAAGACCTATATGAAAAACTTGAATTTTGGGGAGTTAGTTGTATTAACCAGGCCCTATCCAGTCTTTTTTTCAAAATTAGAGATGGGGGTCTCACTCTGTCACCCAGGCTGGGGTGCAGTGGCGTGATCATAGCTCACTTCAGCTTCCCAAAGAGCTGGGATTACAGGCGGATGCCACAATGTCTGGCTAACTAAAAAAAAATTTTTAAGAGATGAGGGGTCTCACTATGTTGCCCAGGCTGGTCTTCAACTCCTGGCCTCAAGTGATCCTCTCGCCTCAGCTCACAGGCGTGAGCCACCATACCTGGCTTATCTAAGAAAGCCACCATACCTGGCTTATCTTTCTCTCATCTTGAGAAAGAATGAATTCAGTTTGGTTACTGCACATTGAAGAGTAAGCTATCCTCAACATCCAGTAACACACCATAGCCTTTCCAAAGGTAGAAATGGTGATAGGGTCAAATAAGTATTTGTTTCACAGCATTTGAAGAAAAAAAGGCAGATTATGTTATTCCTTTGCTCAAAACCTTCCAGTGGTTTTCCATGTTAATGAGTGGAAACTAAAGTTCTTAAAATTGCCTACAAGGTCCAATACACTCAGTTTCCCACCTGCGACTTGTTTGAGCTTACCCCCTACTTCCTTCAGCCATGCTGACCTTCTCCCCATCCGTCCCATGCCCTGGACCCACTCCTGCCCCAGGCCTTTGCACCTGCTGGCTGTGACCTCCGCCTCCGAAATTGTTTTGCCAAATTCCCTCATAGCTTGCTCACTTATACCTTCTTTAGTTCAAATGTCACTTCTTGGCCACCTGTCTGGCCACCCGCCACGGAAGTGCATTCCTGACATTTTCTGCTTTTCCGCTTTTCTTCCCTCCTTCATTTTTTTCCCATGACACACCTGCACAATACACAGTTTGTTCATTCTTTGGTTCATTGTCTCCTCACACCCACTCAAGAATGTAGTACAAAGGCAGGGATTTTTGTCCATCTTGTTCACCGCTGTATCCTCAGTACCTTTATAATGGTGTTTGGCACATAGTAGTAACTCAATAAGTATTTGTTAAATGAACAAATGAAAAGCTGCCATGTGTTCAAGAAGTCATTGTGTGTTGCATAGGAAAACAGTAGCTGTTAAGGAGATACCAGCATCCTACAAATAGTGGAGGAAAATGCCATGCAAGTTGCCAAATTGATTAAAGTGTGCCTTTTAACTTGTAGACTCCGGAGGGTAGCTTACACAAATATGAACAATTGTTCCCTTATATGTACAATTTGCCCCTGATTTTTCATTCCAGCTGTCACACAATTGCCTGGAGGATATTTTTTTTTTTTTTTTGAGACGGCCGTCACCCAGGCTGGAGTGCAGTGGCATGATCTCGGCTCACTGCAAACTCCACCTCCCAGGTTCACACCATTCTCCTGCCTCAGCCTCCTGGGTAGCTGGGACTACAGGTGCCCGACACCACGCCCGGCTAATTTTTTTGTATTTTTAGTAGAGAGAGGGTTTCACCTTGTTAGCCAGGATGGTCTCGATCTCCTGACCTCATGATCCGCCCACCTCGGCCTCCCAAAGTGCTGGGATTATAGGCGTGAGCCACCGCGCCCGGCCGAGGATTGTTAAACATCATTTAATAAGTGGGTCTTTGCTGCCCTTCTCCCAGGAATAGAGTGTATAGAGTTGCCCATGTGAGAAGCAGCCAAAGCCCAGGTCAGCACCTGCAATGAGGAGTGGCTGCCTGGTTGAATGGAGCGGGGCTTCTGTTTGAAACCTCACTGGTTTTCTCTGTTGACAGCATCTTGATATATATGGCATGTGTCTCCTGACCTTAGTGGCCTCTCACAAAACTCTGGAGCATAACAGTGCATCTCTTTGAGATTCTCTTAGCAGCATAGTCCATAGGTGAATTCTCTATGGACTATGTGTCTTATATTTTAAACCAATTTAAACCAAACCCATCACAAAAGTACCCTCCAACTTTGGTGAAAACCTGTCCAGCCATTTTCTTATGATATTGTAAGACAGAAACTTAATTTTTTTTTTGGAGACAGTCTTGCCTTGTTGCCCAGGCTGGAGTGCAGTGGTGAGATTTCAGCTCACTGCAACCTCTGCCTCCTGGTTTCAAGCGATTCTTATGCCTCAGCTACCTGAGTAGCTGGGACTGTCGGCACACACCACCACACCCGGATGATTTTTGTATTTTTAGTAGAGACAGGGGTTTCACCATGTTGCCCAGGCTGGTCTTAAACTCCTGGCCTCAAGCAATCCACCCACCTTGGCCTCCCAAAGTGCTAGGATTACAGGCATGAGCCACCACGCCCAGCCTGTATTTTAATCTCCAGGTAAAATAAGAACCAGAAAGACTGGGTCTTGTGTTTGCAGTATGTGGAACTGCAAATTAAGACTTTCAAATAAGGTTGAAGCCCGAGAGACAATGGTAGGTAAGGGATGGGTCTGTGGAGGGCTCTGGACAAAAACCTATGTCTACCCACAATTGGTATGCAGATTATCTTGAGTAGTTGGGATTACAGGTGCCTGTCACCATGCCTGGCTAAGTTTTGTATTTTTAGTAGAGATAGGGTTTCACCATGTGGCCAAGCTGTTCTCAAACTCCTGACCTCAAGTGATCCACCTGCCTTAGCCTCCCAAAGTGCTGGGATTACAGGCATGAGCCACCACATCAGGCCTAGAAATGGTATTTAAGGTTTACTTATCTGATAACCTGATTTCCTCCCTAGAGAAAGAATTAAATTGTTTTTAGCTGATTGAATGGGGGCTTGGGTGACATTTCAGGAGAGTTAGAAAGTGTACGTGTATATTTAAAGACTGATTTGTAAGTTGACACTTGAATATATGTAAGAGTAGTCAACTTGGTTTGAAACAGTCTTTTTTATTCTTTTTGGTTTATTGGTAACTGTGAGTTGATTTATCCCTAAAATAGTTCAAAGCCTTTTCTGTTTTAGCTCTGGGAATAATGTTTTTCTTCTTTTCAAAGATGTAATATTTCTGTTAACACTATAGAAAGATAAGAAAGATAAGAACCTTCAGGGCTCTTTGAAGACAAAATTGTATTCTGAATTGGGCATTCATTAGACTGAGCGGATAAATCTCTAAATCTGGGTTTTATGATTTTAGGTTTGTTTGTTTAATGGATTTCTTTGCTTAAACTTCAGGTGCATGCATGATAATTTTGAAGAGCAGAGAGATGGACAAATGTGATTTGATTTATAAGTCTTTTCAAAGGCATTTGAAAATGTATTTCAGGTTTAGTTAAGCTTATTTTTCACACTCTTAGTTGAAGGCAGGAGTGATTGTTTTCCTCCCTCCACACCTCGAAAGATGGAATGGTTTTTCACTTATAAATTTTTCCATCTCAGAAAAGGAGGAGCAGAGGTTTTCTAGAAGGGTTAAGAATAAAGGTGGGGAAGGCAAGCCCTTGTTACCATAAGAGCAGGAATCCATACGGAAGAGTGGCTGGTTTAGATTTGCTGGCTTGAGAGTGGATTATTTTATCCAACTCTTGATCAGTGTTGTGAGAATTAAGTAAGATAATGGATTTAAGGGGCTTAGAAGTGTCCAATCAATGTTAGCTACTGTTGTTATTCTCAGTACTACCTGTAGGCTTGATGGATATATTTGGAGACATTTGTACCAAGGGTTATGGGGCAATAAGTGCGTGGTTCACCATTTGGCCCAGTGAACTTTTCAGGACTTAGGATGAGGAAGGCGGGAAAAGCCCTGGGGCTGGCAGGTTTAGAGGGAGACTCTTGCATTATGGTCCTGAGAGCCCCAGGATAGGAGATGACCTTTATCACAAGATCTGAGAACTGCTGCTATCTCGGGCTTCTGGGATAATGAGCTGGAAGCTCACACTCTGACAATGGAGGGATTTTTTTTTTTTTTTGATGGAGTCTTGCTCTGTCACCCAGGCTGGAGTGCAGTGGCGTGATCTCGGCTCACTGCAAGCTCCGCCTCCCGGGTTCTTGCCATTCTCCTGCCTCAGCTTCCCGAGTAGCTGGGACTGCAGGTGCCCGCCACCATGCCTGGCTAATTTTTTGTATTTTTAGTAGAGACGGGGTTTCACTGTGTTAGTCAGGATGGTCTCAATCTCCTGACCTCGTGATCCACCCTCCCCGGCCTCCCAAAGTGCTGGGATTACAGGCATGAGCCACCGTGCCCGGCCCAATGGAGGGATTTTTTATAGCATTATGTCTACCTGGCTTTTCATATGACTTGTGTCCTGCTCATGCAGCTTTGATGACTTCTGAAGTACAGATGTTCCTTGACTTACAATGAGGTTGCATCTCAATAAACCCACTGTAACTTGAAAATATCTTAAGTAAAACTTGCTTTAATACACCTAACCTACTGAACATCATAGCTTAGCCTAGCCTACCTTAAACATGCTTAGAACACTTACATTAGCCTAAGGTTGGGCAAAATCATCTAAAATAAAGCCTGTTTTATAATAAAGTGTTGAATATCTCACATAATTCATTGAACATTGTACTGAAGGGGCAAACCAGAATGGTTGTATGGGTACTTGAAGTACAGTTTCTACTGAATGCACATTGTTTTTGCACCATTGTAAAGCTGAAAAATTGTAGATTTAACCAATGTAAGTTGGAGACCATCTGTGTTTTGTTCCTCCTTAAAGCATACAAAAGTGTAGCCAAAGAGTGTTTCAAAGCTGGATTACATAATGAATTATTATTATTTTTTTTTGAGATGAAGTCTCGCTTTGTTGCCCAGGCTGGAATACAGTGGCGTGAGCTCGCCTGACTGCAACCTCCGTCTCCTGGGTTCAAGCGATTCTCCTGCCTCAGCCTCCCGAGTAGCTGGGATTACAGGCATGCCTGGAATTACAGGCACACGTCACCACACCCAGCTAATTTTTGTATTTCTAGTAGAGACAGGGTTTCGTCATGTTGGTCAGGCTGGTCTCAAACTCCTGACCTCAAATGATCTACCCGCCTTGGCCTCCCAAAGTGCTGGGTTTACAGGTGTGAGCCACTGCACCTGGCTGAAAATCCAGATTTTTGTCCAAGATTGCAGAATAAATTGCCTGGGACAAGTCAATGAGTGAGGAGAGATAAGTCAATGGACTGAGAAGGGGTAAACTCAGTCTTGCATAAACAGAATACAGAGGGGATTTGGGTGGATGGGGAGCAGTGAGTGAATGGGCAAAGATAGGACAAAACCAAGCCCACTTAAAGAACAATAATATTACAAAGGACAAAGTTGAGAATAAGAGGCAAAGGGAGGAAATTTAAAAAGCACATTTTTGAGCACTGACTAGTGATGCTTTCCCTGCATAATCTCATTTAACCAGTTTAACAACCTTAAAAAGGAAGTAGTAGTGTTCTTATTTCATAGATGAGGAAACTGAGGCTTGGAGACAGGAGAAATGTTCAGAGAAGACTGTTTCTAAAAGGGTATGTGGTTAGCTATATTCTAAACATTCTTGATACCTCCCCCAACCCCCCTGCCCTTGAATAGTCACTGTCTTCCCAGCCATCATCTATTCTACCTTCAAAACATATCCCCAGTTCATCCACTGCTTCCCATTTCCTGCATTGTCACCCTAGACTACCACTGCGTCTCAACATATACAGCCTCTCGATTCTCCTATTTCCTAATCTGCCTTCTGCTTAAATTGTTCTTTCAACAAAATCCAGAGAAACCCCAAACAAGTGCACATCTGATAAAGATACTGCCCTCATTAAAACCCTCAAAGGCTCCCTTGCAATTACTTTAAGAATCTCAAGTGCTCATGCTGGCCTGCAAGACCCAGCATGACCTTGTCCCTGCCAGCCTTTCTGGTTACATCTTCTTCATCATCTCCTTCATCCCGGTGCCCCACCAATGCAGTCCTTTCATGTCTCTAACTGCATCCTCGCTTTCCTTCTCCGTGGTCTTTACTCATGCTCTCCTTGCTACTTAAAATACTTTCTTTCCACTTTGCACTGACAAAGTGACTTGTCTTACAGTTCTCACTTTAAACATCACTTTTCTAACTTTCCAAATTAAGCCTCCTGTACTTATTAAGAGTGGCATATTTTTCTTTGGGACACTTCACAATATAGAATTATGTACTTGTTTGTGTGATAATTTTTTTTTTTTTTTGAGTTGGAGTTTCGCTCTTGTTGCCCAGGCTGGAGTGCAATGGTGCGATCTCAGCTCATTGCAACCTCTGCCTCCCCGGTTCAAGCAATTCTCCTGCCTCAGCCTCCCAAGTAGCTTGGATCACAGGCATGCACCACCATGCCTAGCTAATTTTGTATTTTTAGTAAAGATGGGGTTTCACCATGTTAGTCAGCCTGGTCTTGAACTCCTACTCCTGACCTCAGGTGATCCACCTGCCTCGGCCTCCCAAAGTGCTGGGATTACAGGTGTGAGCCACCATGCCCGGCCTGTGTGATAATTTGTTTAACATCTATATCTCCCTAGTAGACTATAGCTCCACCTGGTGAAGGAGTGTGTTTTTATTGCTCACTATTGTATTTCCAGGGCCTCATGAAGTGCTGCCAGGTAAATAGGCCCTCCATAAATATTTATTGAATGAATACGTGAATGAATGAATGAATGAACTGCACCTAGGATTGCTGACAATTCTGGCTTTTGGGACTTTAGTGTCATTTTTCATTTACTTTCTTAAAGAGCAGTAAGTTTAAACTTATACTTTCACCTAGAAGACAGAAGAGTTTTTGAAGCAAAACCTTGAAGCTCGTGACGTGTGCCACGTAATGAATGGATGTCCACCCAATTCAAAGTCCCTGTGTTGTGATCTGACATGACCTCTGAGCTTGCCACAATGAACTTGACCACAAAGACACTGCGTGCACTGCCAACCACAACTAGCAATTGAGTAGCAAGCAGTGGTGTCAATCTTAAAAGCCTAAGATATTCTTAGATGCTTATTTTTATAATCAGTTTTATTATAGAGTTGCTAAAATGGGCCCAAACCATATGTCTCTCCATCGAGAAAAGTCAGCACTGACTGCATGAAACAAAACACTTGCAGAGACATTGAAAAGCCACTTGTTTGACTTTGGAAATAGAGCGCTAGTATTTTTTGCAACTCAAAAGACAAGCCTTGTCTTGGAGCAGTACAAGGAGAAGTGCAATCAAACCAATAGATAAAAAATCATTTGTCTCTTCATTCGAGGTCGGTTTAGAATCACTATGAAAGGTATATGCAATAATAGAAAGCCTGGTGAAGCCCGGAGCTGCAGAAAAGGGTTGAAATTATTTTGGGTCAAAAAGAGGCAGCCAAGTTGAAAAAGGTGCCCTTATTGAGTGACACCATCAAATGGGTTCAAAAGACGTGCTTGAAAATTGGTGGAGAGTCCCAGAGGCAGCTAGTTCTTTACATTTTGATGAAAGGGGGAGACATCCATGACTTGGCTATTTTGCCATCTTTAAAATAATGAAGTCTAAGAAGGTATGCTGATTTTCCCAATGCTGAATGGTATAGCAGCTGGTGAATTTTCAATAAGATACACTTTTCTCCTGTTCTAGCAAGTTTTGATATTTGCCATTTGGTTCCAGAAACTTATTGTGTCTATGTTCCTAAAGCACTTTGACTCTGAGAGAGAGGACAAACTGAACCTGATATATGATGTTTGTGCCCCTTGACGGAGGCTGAATTTTCTGAACTTGAATGATCAATACAACAGTGTCTTGCTAAAAATTGTCTCGCAGAAAATTTTTCATTCATTTTTCTTGATGGCAAGTAATGTATTCCTTCATCAGAACAATTAAACATCTTTAATGATTTTTAAAGACAGGGTGTAATTACATGCACATGATAAAAATTTAAGCAGCACCAAGGGCGTACAGTGAAAATTAAGTCTCTTTCCTGACTGGAGATCATAGTATGAGTGTTTCATGGCTCCTTTCAGAGAGATTCCATGTCTAGCATTTATACATGCACATAAATTCATTTCCTTTTTAAAATTAACACAAATGACAGCATGCTGTATTCTCTCTCTTTTAAAACATTGAGATGGGGTCAGGCGCGGTGGCTCACGCCTGTAATCCCACACTTTGGGAGGCCGAGGCAGGCAGATCTCCTGAGATCGGGAGTTCAAGACCAGCCTGACTAACATGGAGAAACCCCGTCTCTACTAAAAATACAAAATTAGCCGGGCGTGGTGGCACGCACCTGTAATCCCAGCTACTCAAGAGGCTGAGGCAGGAGAATTGCTTGAACCCAGGAGGCGGAGGTTGTGGTGAGCCGAGACTTTGCCATTGCACTCCAGCTTGGACAACAAGAGTGAAACACCATCTCAAAAAAAAAAAAAAAAATTGAGGTGAAATTCACATAGCAAAATTAGCCACTTTAAAGTGTACAATTCGGTGACATTTTACTCCATTCACACTGTTGTTCGGTTATCACTTCTGCCTAGTCCCAAAACGTTATGTTCTCTTTTGCAATTTACTATTGCTCTTTCACTTAAAAATCTATCATGGAGATTGTTCCATACTAATACATATAGATTCATGTCTTCCATCTTCATCCTATGGGTAACCCTTGTGCCAGACCTGGAGATGAGCTGCTCAGATCCTCCTTAAACAAAGGCTCTCTGTCCAGCTGTGGGGAGTGAGGAGCTGATAGCCTTAACCTGGCAGCTCTTTCAGGGTCCCCTTAGCTGTTAAGTCATGGTCATGCTCTTCTTGGAGTGGCTCCCATCCAGTGACTGAGGGTACAAGGGCCTGACCATTTCTCTAACAGGCAATCTTTGCTGCCTTCTGAAATGGTGGTAGCTCTAAATTGTGCTCTAATGGCCCCTCCTGCCCAATCCTATCTCTTCTGCTTTTCTGGCAGAGGTGTTACTCCCTAATGAATCTTTTGCATTCTATCCGGGCATGCGCTTCTCGGAGAACCCAACCAACATGTACAGTATCTCATGTACACAGTCTTCTAAGGATTGACACTGAGGTTGCTTCTGGATTTTTGCAATTACAGATAGTGCTGGATACAAATCTTTGCAAATATACCTTGCACGCATGCATGAGAATATCTGGAGAATAAATTCCTAGGGTCTAATTGTGGGTCTATTTAAATTTTGCATAAAAATTTGATACATGTTTTCTAACCACCTGCTCCTCCCAAGAGGTTGCACCAGCTTACAGTCCCACCAATCAGGGAAGAGGGATTTTTTTTTTTTTTTTTTTTTTTTTGGGACAGGGTCCGGTCCTGCCACCCAGGCTAGAATACAGTGGCGTGATCATGGCTCATGGCAACCTGGTCTTCCCCAGTTCAAGCAATCCTCCCGCCTCAGCCTCCCCAGTAGCTGGGATGATAGCCGCATGCCACCACACCCAGCTAATTTATATTTTACTTTTTGTAGAGACAGAGTCTCACTATGTTGCCTAGGTGGATCTTGAATTCCTGAGCTCAAGCGATCCTCCCACTTTAGCCTCCCAAAGCTCTGGGATGACAGGTGTGAGCCACCATGCCCTGCCTGAGAATTGTCTTCTCACACCCTTGTTAATAGAACTATTATCACATTTTAAAATGTTCTCAATTTTGTAGGTGAAAATATGTCATAGTAGTTTTAATTTGCTTTTATTTTATGATGAGTGAGGTTGATTGTATTTTCAACTCCTTAAAAATGATGACAAGCAAATGAAAACTATTTCATACTAAAACAAGCAGAGAAGATAAACATTTGCCATGGAATCTTGAGATAAAACACAATGCTTTAAAGAAATCCTCCGCTTGTAGAGGGCTACTTTGTGCTAAATTTCCATACATCTTTTGGCACAAATTCTCCTTCCTATTAAGAAAACTGTGATAGAAAAATTTGAGAAGTCCCGCATATTGATGTAAGATTTTCTTAAAGTACAGGAGGAAAGGTGTCTACCTGTATAAGGGATTTCCTGAGTACTGAATCTATTAGGTTTGGACATTAAGCATGTCATAATTTAATATGTATAATGAGTTAAAATGATTTTTTTCGGGAGTTGTTGTGAGTTGGCAATTAGAATGTTTTAATTCCTACCATTGGTTACACTCTGTCAGGCTCCATGAGATAAAGGTAATGGCAGAAATAATTACGTTTCCTGTTTTCCCAAATGAGTCTAAGGAGGAACCAGGGCAGGGAAGGCTAAGCTCCCATTTCAAATGTAACAGCTGTGAGTGCAAAGGACCAGTGGGGAATTTGTCCTGTCTGATGACAGGGGCAAGTTGAGGTGACATAGGAAAGGAATATCATAACATTCTGAGCTTTGGTCACAGACCAAGGCTATATCTATTAATTAATGGTCTATTTATTTTTATTTTTATTTATTTTTTTGAGACAGAGTCTCACTCTGTTACCCAGGCTGGAGTGCAGTGGCATGATCTCGGCTCACTGCAACCTCCCCCTCCTGGGTTCAAGCAATTCTCCCGGCTTAGCCTCGTGGGTAGGTGGGATTACAGGTGCACAACACCACGTCCGGCTAATTTTTGTATTTTTAGTGGAGACAGGGTTTTGCCATGTTGGCCAGGTTGGTCTCAAACTCCTGACCTCAAGTGATCCACCCGCCTTGGGCACCCACAGTGTTGGGATTACAGGTCTGTATCTATTCCATTTGGATGATGTTTTGAGACTCATTTTGCTTCTTTGTCTCCCTTAGGAGCAGGAGACTTGGTGAGGTATATTGATTAGACTAGAGGGTAGGCTGCTGTCACAAAGAAGCCCTAAAATGCAGTGCTTCAAAAATATGATTAGGACTTATGTTTTTCTCATGTTATAATCCAGGTGGGCCCAGGGTTGGATAGGTAGCTTGGTTCTGTGAACTCGTCTAGGGACTTGGGTTCCTTCTGTCTTATTGCTTAGTCATCTCCTGGAGTTTGTTTTTATTCATGTGACTGAAGCTGACTCACCAGCATCACATGCATGTTCTGGCTCATTGGAAGGGTGAAAGAGAGGAAGTGGAGGACCAGCAGTTCCCTTTTTAGGAAAGTGATGAAGATACTGACACATCACTTGCACTCACATTCTGTTCATGAGAATTTAGTCACAAGGCCACATCCAGTTGCAAGGGAAGCTGAGAAGTGAGATCCCAGTAGGGTGACCACATGCCCTGTTAAAACTCCATGGGAGGGTATAAATGGAAGAAGAGAGGATAAATTTTGGAGGACAATTAGCCATCGATGCCACATGGACTCAGAGCCTGGCAGAATTATGATCCAAGAAAGGCAATAGGTCTACGTCTATCATTAGCCACATCCATTCCAAACCTCCTGAACTGGCACCACAAGTGGGCAAGATAGTGGCAGGGGAGAAGGTAGCACCACTTTCTTCTTTGATCCTTCAAATAGGCCAGAATCTGTTATCAAGGGTGCCCAGTTAACTAACTTGGAAGCCATTCAGTCATTCGACAGATAATTAATGGAGCATCTGCTATGTGTCTGGCATTGCCTAGGCACTGGGTGCAGGGATGTCCTTGTGGAGTTTCTAGGAGAGTGGAGGAGGTAGATGTTTAACAACAAAGAACTTTGCTAGATATATAATTACAAATTATGACAAATGCCATGAAGGAAAGAGTAGAGGATTCTGTGAAGAACTTGAGATATGGATTTCATTCATATTAGAGATAGAGGGAGGTCTTGGAGGGAGTATTTAAGCTGAGATCTAAAAGATGTGCTGGAATTGGCTGGTGGATGATGAAAGGGAAATAATGGTCTAGGTAGACTGTCTTAGTCCATTCAGGCTGCCGTAACAAAATGCCATAGGCTGGGTAGCTTATAAACAATAGAAACTTACTGCTCACAGTTCTGGAGGCTGGGAATTCCAAGATCAAGGCATTGGCAAACTCGTATCTGGCAAGGGCCTGCTTCTTTTTTCACTGTATCTTCACATGGCAGAAGCAGCAAATGAGCTCTCTGGGTTCTCTTTTATAAGGTTACTAATCCCATTCATGAGGGCTCCACCCTCATGACCTGATCACCTACCAAAGATTTACCTTCTAATACCATTACCTTGGAGATTAGGATTTTGACATGAATTTTGGGACACAGACTATAACACAGAGGAATTAGAATAGTAAATGAGAAGAGAAAGAAATTGTGTGGCTGGAGAGAGAGGCAGCATAGTTTTTCTATAGACTTGTAGGCCTATATGTATCAGAGAGCTATTGTTGCATATCAAATTCCCCCAAAAGGTAGTGACTTAAAACAATAGTCCCTTATTACTTCATGATTTGGCAGGCTGGCAGTCTAGGCTAGACTCAGCTGGGAGGCGTTCTGGATCTAGGCTGAGCTCCCTTATGCATCTGGAGTCAGCTGTGGGTCAGCAGATGCCTCTGCTTCTGGGGTAGGCTGGTTGTTGGCTGGGGCACCTCAGCTCTCTTCCACATGGTCTCTCATCCTCCATTAGGCTAGCCCAGGCAGGATTGTTCACATGGTGGCAGGGTTCTAAGAGAAAGTTGCTGCATGCAAAGCCTCTTGAGACTCATGCTTAGAACTGTCACGCCATAATTTCTGCCACATCTATTGGCCAAAGCAAGTCCCATGGCCAGCCTAGATTCAAGGGGTGAGGAAATAGATTTTAACTCTTGATGGGAGGAGCTGCCAAGCCACATTGTAAAGGGGGCAAGATAGAGGGAGGGGTGAATTATCAAGGGCATTTTTGCAACCAGGTAGGAAATTTGTGTGGTTGGAAGTCACAGGAGATTTTTAAGCAGGGACCAGCAATAACAGGGCACATAGCCAAGGTCATTTGTGCTGCACTGTGATGGAAACTTTCAAGAGCTTGTGTCTTACCTTGCCGTTGTGGTTATGAGTTCTTAGGATGCAAAGTCTGCGATGTCCTTTCCCAAGGCTGGACACAGTGCCCATCTGCCAACTCAACTCCCTTGGTTGCAAACAAGAATTGAAAGCTCTGTTTTCAGCACCTCCAGGTTTGCCAGTGAGGTGTTGTTGAGGAGATTTCACACAGACAGCTTAACTTGTTTGGAGTTGTGAAGCTAATACCATCACCACAAGCTGAGCTGTGAAGAATCCCAGACTTGTCTAAATTATAATTTGTTTGTTGGGCCTTAAGGGGGTCTGAAAAGCCTGTTCCAAATTCTTTCTCTCCAACACAAAAGCATATTTACCCAAACTGGCATTTCCCCTTTTGAGCATGTTTTTTTTTCAATGATAGTGTTTTGCCAACTATGGTGTGCTGGTTGTTAAGCTATTGTCTCTCGATGAACCCATGAACCCATCCTTCTAGACTTTTCTCTGCAGTAGCCTCTCTGCTTTCTCTCTCTCTCTCTCTCTTTCTTTCTTTTTCTTTTTTTTGACAGAGTTTCGCTCTTTTTGCCCAGGCTGGAGTGCAATGGTGCGATCTTGGCTCACTGAAACCTCTGCCTCCCAGGTTCAAGTGATTCTCCTGCCTCAGCCTCCCAAGTAGCTGGGATTACAGGCATGCACCACCATGCCTGGCTAATTTTGTGTTTTTAGTAGGGACGAGGTTTCTCCATGTTGGTCAGGCTGGTCTCGAACTCCTGACCTCAGTTGATCCACCCGCCCTGGCCTCCCAAAGTGCTGGGATTACATGTGATAGTTTTTCTATAGCCTTGTAGGCCTATATGGATCAGATAGCTATTGCTGCATACTGAATTCCCTTAAAGGTAGTGGCTTAAAACAATAGTCACTTATTAGTTCATGATTTGGCAGGTTGGCAATTTAGGCTAGACTCAGCTGGGAGGCGTTTGTGTGACCTAGGCTGAGCTTCCTCATCTGCAGTCAGCTGTGGGTCAGCAGATGCCCGTGTGATGTTGGGGTGGTGCTCTGTGGAGCACCTTTTCCCGTCACCAGCCAGATGCTCTGTCATGAGGGAGACTGGAAGGAAGGAAGAAGGGGAAGGGACACCCTCCTTTTTGTTTGCTTGCTTTTCCAGTAGCATCTCTTCAGCAGTGATTCTTTACCCTGGCAAGGGTCATTGATTACAGAGGAAATTGTTCCAGTTTCCAGTTTCTTTCCCTACACTGCTAGAATCAGCCTCAGGAGCTCCCTTAGAGACACCAGCATTGTCAGGGGCCAACCCTCTCCTCATAGGGTCCCAGCTCCTGGTGGTTCCAAACTTCTAGGTTCTAATAACCCCATGCTCTTCCCTTTATTCCTTCAGGACAGTAACTGCTTTACGTAGTTCTTATCTCCTTGTTAACTCAAGGGTTCCCTTTTTTACTTTTTTAGTTCTCCCATACCGTTTAAAAAATTCTGATAAAATAAACTCATGCAGTTTCTGTTGTGTTGCCCAAACCTTGGCTGTTATATATAGTATATAAGATTATTTTAAATGATACCCACTTGAGCACTCAAACAAAAATTTGAATGGGCATTTATTAGTATAATATATATTATGGAAAAATATAATGAATACACAAAACTCATTAGTTCTTGAATATTATTGCTTAAGATTAAAACAATAAATTAAGAATGGGTTAACTTAAAGAACAATATTATGCAAATAGGACGAGTGGAACACAAGCAAAATAGCTGTGGGTGTAGGCTAGCTGCTGGCTGGGGCACTTCAGCTCTCCTCCACGTGGTCTCTCATCCTCCATTAGGCTAGCTTTCGTAGGCTTGTTCACATTGTAGTAGAAAGCATATGCATGCCGGAGAAAGCATATGCATGCAAGAAATTTTGAGAGTACGCTAGTGAGGTATGTCTACCCTGCCCATTACTGTAATAAAATGACCTTTTAGAAGGAAAATCATCTTGATTCCAAAAAAGGATCCCGATAGAGAGATTAGAAAAGTCATAAATTCAGATTTCCTACGTTTCTTTACATTCCCAGGTCCATATATGATGTCACCAGGGTTCCCAACGTAGCAGCCAACCGTGGTCATTCCCCAGCACCTGAACTCTATCCTATAGCTGACTGTTTGCTGGGTTTGAAGGCTGAACTTTACATATTCAGATCAACCAACAGTTGAGAGGGTTGGCTGCCATTTTGAAAGTCATATATAGAAAGAGCTGCACAAAAGCAACCAGTGGAGTCTCCAAAGTTGGGGGCCCACATATTTGTGTTTCATCATCATGGTGTTGCTGAGCTCTGAGTTGCTTTCTGGGCGGCAGTCTGGAGGTCAAATACCAGACCTGGGAAGACTGTGTAGCGAGGTTGGAGAGGGAGTTGGGGAGGCTTGAGGAGCCACTCAAATATCTTACCTGTAGCTGACAAGGCACAACCCGTAATGACATCCTGTTCTCAGAACTCTAATGCTATTTTTTTTTTGCTTTCATGACAAGGAGTTGAGGTAGTTATCTTTGTTCCAAGCAACTCCAGATGGGTGAAAGTCAACCCACACAGTCTGGAAAGGATACTAATCCTTCAAATCAGAGACTTCACAAGAAGCACAGAGGTGGCCAGGCCTAATGAGGTTACCCCAGTGGAAACTGTGAACCCAAAATGTGACTTCTGGATTATGTGCAAATGAGTAGAAAAGTGCAGCCCACTAAGTGGGGACCTGGCATTAGACAGTTGTCTCTGGAAACACTTCAGCAAAGGCTAAGTGGGGAACGTGTCCCTCCATGACTGACACTCAGTGTCATAGCTTTAATTTTATTTCACTTCTGAGAGGAAAGTTGACATAGGTGAGCTACAGATGGAAAGGAAGGGGATATGAAGAACGATTTCTCTTTTACCTAAATGTGACAGCAAAAATTTTTCAATTTATACATTCAGTCCTTCACAGAGACTTCTTAATCTTCAGAGAGATTGTGATGTGCTGAAATTTTCTGGTTGAATGTTTTCCTTTAGGAATGGTGGTTCAGAGATAGAGGCAAAACCAATTGAGAACCACAATTTTTCTAAGATAGCTAACAGTTCCACTTGAAATGATCAATATGATATAGAAAAAAATGGTTCTTTGGTTTCTGCACTGATTTTAATCTTTTTGGAATTTTTTTATACACAGTGTCTTAAAAAGGACCAGGTTTGCTATTTATTGATAGATCTTCCTGAATGTCTCATCACCAAAACTTTTTTTAAAACATTGTTTCCTTAATCACTAAAGTTTGCCAAGTGTAGGAATGAAGTATATCAAGGCAACTTGCTTGTTCTTGATTTCTGAATTATTTTTGACTTGTTCCTTTTCTCTGCCTATATCCAATCACTTCCCAAGCCCCACACACTGGGGCCATTCACTCATTCATTCATTCGACAAATATTTATTGAGCACCCGATATGTGCAACCTTCTTCCTCAACCTGGAGATATTTATCCTCAAAATTTTCATTCAACGCTTTTTATTGTGGACCCTTAGCATCTGGTGACATGAGGTATCTGCCATTGGCCCAGAAAGTGTTCTGACATCTTTGGCATCACAAGCATCACTTAGATTAGTTTATTGCCTCTCTTGTGTCAAGGCATAAGTATGATAATGATCAGGTTTGCATATATCCATCAATTTAAATAGAGAAATAAATATAACAGAGACAAGGCGCGGTGGCTCACGCCTGTAAGTGAGGTCAAGGTGGGTGGATCATCTGAGGTCAGGAGTTCGAGACCAGTCTGGCTAACGTGGTGAAACCCCATCCCTACTAAAAATACAAAATTAGCCAGGTGTGGTGGCGCATGCCTGTAATCTCAGCTCCTTGGGAGGCTGAGGCAGGAGAATCACTTGAACCCGGGAGGTGGAGGTTGCAGTGAGCCAAGATCGCACCACTACACCCCAGCCTAGGAAAAAAGAGTGAAATTTCATCTCAAAAAATAAAATAAAATAAATATGACAGTAATCTCTGTTTATTAAACACATAATGTGCCAGGTACTATTGTGGTCACCCTGCAAAGACATGGACCCCACCACCCAAAATTTGTTTTAGATGTCAAGACTGATGATACACCACATGCACCAAGAGGGTAGGAAAAGGTTTATTGCTCATATAATGAAGCTTTCTGAGAGAGCAGGGCAGATTCCCAAGCAGGTCCAAAAATGGTTTCAGAAAACCAGGCAAGGAAACTCCCTTAGCATTTATGGTGGTTAGGGATGGGGATGGGGATGGGGATGCGATGGGGATGGGGATGAAATGTGGGTCTGGTGGGAGGGCTAGGGCTTGTTGGGTATGAATTTCCAGCTGGTGCCAGAGGAGAGAGCAGCAGGCTTTCTTAGCTTGCCCAGATGTGGGGCAGAGGGGGAGAGGGAGGGTGGAAGATGTTAGCAGTCCCATATCAAAAGTGGAGGCAGACTGTTTTTCCCTCTACAATTTTTTTTATTATGGTAAAATACACAACATAAAACTTACCATCTTAACCATTTTGAAGTGCACGGTTCAGTGGTATAAAATAAATTGATATTGTTGTGCAACCATCACCACCATCCATATCCACAAGTCTTCATCCTGTAAAATGAAAACTCTGTACCCATTAAACAATAATTTCCCCACTCTGTCTTTCTGCAGCCGCTGGGGACCACCATTCTACTTTCTGTCTCTCTAATTTTGACAACTCTATGGGCTTCCTTTAAGTAGAACCATACAGTATTTGTTTTTCTGTGACTGGCTTATTTTACTTAGCGTAATGTCCTACAAAATCATTCATGTTGTAGCGTATTGCAGAAATTCCTTTTTTTTTTTTTTTTTTTTGATGGAGTCTTGCCCTTGTCACCCAGGCTGGAGTGCAATGGCACGATCTCAGCTCACTGCAACCTCTGCCTCCTGGGTTCAAGTGATTCTCCTACCTCAGCCTCCTGAGTAGTTGGGACTACAGGCACAGGCAACCACACCCAGCTAATTTTTAAAATTTTTTTATAGAGATAGGGTCTCACTATGTTGCTCAAGCTGGTCTTTTAACTCCTGGCCTCAAGCAATCCTCCCACCTCAGCCTCCCAAAATGTTGAGATTACAGGCGTCAGCCACCACGCCTGGCCTTTTATAATGTTACTAATTTCATAGAAATTTAACAGACTCTTACAATACTAGAGAAACATAAATAAAAATATTTTAAATAACTCCCATCAAGAAAGCATAAATAACTTACTTTGTGATTGCAGCAAAAAAGTTAACCACTGAGGGCAGGCAAATCTTCAGGGGATTTAGCTGGCTCATCACTATCCGCTCAAAATTCAGACTCTGAGGATACTGCAAACCTTTGGTTTAAAAAAAAAAAAGATTTTTAAAGGTACAAATAAGTGAAAAGTGTAAGATATCTTTAAAAGCACAAATTATCACACATTTAAAAAAAACTTAAAAAAATTATTTGCAGAAATGCTTTCAATAAAGGTCCATGCAGATAGTCACACAGTATATGGCCCAGAAGAGTATCACTAGGCTAACCACATTCATTGGTCACCAAGGCAGCTTCTCTAAAGGAAACTTAGGAAGTAGCAGGCTGTAAGATTCCACGACAACGTGAAGTTCATACGTTTGTAAGCTCAGTGTATGCTGAGCTAATACAGAGGGAGAAAAAGACCTTGTGATTTGGTTTCAGCTAACAATCACGACAGGCAACAAAACAAAACAGCAATTTGATTCTAGCTTGCATGTCTCGTTAGTGAAGCTGAGTGCTGTTTTCAGGTGCACAGTAGTCATCTGTAGTTTTTTTTCTAAACAAGAAAACTCCAAATTTGCCTTCTACCTCAACGGACGGCAAATTTAGACAGAAGCCACTTTCTTAGACTTAGTGAATACAATTCTTTCCTACATGAGTAAAATAAAGACATCACATTTATTTTAAGAGGCAAGCTGACCAACTTGTACTTAAGTATATTTTCTTAGGAGTTTCTTTGATGCATATTTCAATAAAAATTACCTAAATGGGATGTCACTGCTTACAAAAACAAGATATTTAATTCAGATTCCTGGCATTAATTTATACAAAGAAAAGCAGAGCTTGTATTTACTTACCTTGTGATAAAACCTCATCCTACTAGTTCATACAACATCTTTTAGAAGCATGTAGGATGTAGGTAAACATATATAATGCAACACGTACAACTGTCAGTTTAGAGCTGTGGCTGTTAACCTAAGGAGACTGCAACCCCCACAGAGGACACCTGGCAGTGTCTGGAGACACTTTTAGTTGTCACAGCTGGGGGTGGTCAGGGACTGCTGTTGGCAGCTAGTAGGTGGAGGCTGTTAAACATCCTACAGTGCAGAGGACAGCCCCCGACGATGAAGGATGATGCAGCCCAAATGGCAATCATGCAGGGTTGACAGACCCTGGTTTAGAGGAAGTGACCCACAAAACCATATGAATTATTCATAAACATAAACAGAACAATTTACAATGACTTATAAACACTGTTCTTGGAGACTCTCTTCAACTAAAATACGCTAATCTAGTAAGTTTCAACTGATAGATTTGAATTATAAGTAACTCTTAGAAATTAGCAAAACAATACTGGTCAATTAAGTCTCAAGGCTTCAGGCAGAGTGTAATCTATATAAACTCAAACTTTAGGGTCAGCTGAACCTGGCTTCAGTTTTCTAATCCTGCCAGTAACCATGTGATCTTGGGAAAATGACTTCCCCGTGCTTTGGTGCTGTCTGTAAAGGGAGAATACCTGCCATTTACTGGGCTGTTACAAGGACAACAAAGAGAAGGTGCATCCAACTGAAGCTTTGTACAGGGCGCTGGCACAGCCCAGGGCTCAGCCTCACCTCTGGAGACATCTTCACATTTCAAACCTTCAAAGGCAGAAACCTCTTTCTTAACCTCAAATCCATCTTAAGGGGTTTGTAGGGTTCTCAAGCTCAAATCTATCTTAAGGGGTTTGTAGGGGCCTATGAGCTGCTTGAAATTATTATTAGAAGTTTGAGTGTACATGCAGTTTTCTGAATCCAGTTTTTATAAAAATCTCAAAAAAGTAATGAATCACCATTCTGAAGGGTGACAAGAACACAAGGAAAATCCAGTCCAGCACTCCCACAACACTGACCTTCTTTCAGGTTTCCGCTCAAAAGCTGCTTGTGTCTAAAAACAAAGGTGTAGAACACAGCTTGGCAGGCTGAGTAAAATGGTCCATGGAGAGCAACATCGCAGAATGCCTTTGTTCCCGAATCCTGGTTATTAAGGTATATGTGCAGCCAGTTAACCAAAAGATCTAGGCATGGTTTTACAGTACTAGAGAAAAGAAAAATTCAAGTCAACTTTACACTTCATAAAAAAACCAGAATAACATAAAAACACACAACTGCCTTTCATTACAAACCATGCTAAGTAAGTTCATAGGTTTCTTTAAATAATACCCATGGGTACAGAGGAAAAGCAAAGAAAGGAAGGATAAGGATGGGTGCGTAGGAAGACAACCTTCCAATTACAAGGCAGAGTAGCTCTGACCTTCTAGGAACAGGTGAGCCCCTAAGAACGTCCCAAGGGATGGAAAGCAGGTTCTCCTAACCATCTCAAAGGCACCCCTCTTAGGGTGATTGGCCAAATAGGACATGTTCACCAACACGTCTCAAGAGAAAGACAGTCTGGTGGACTTCAGTATTCCCTGATGCATCCAGTCAAGTCCTATGGGTGAATAATTTTGTTCTTGGGGAAGGGTTTCAACAGCATCCTTGTCCAAAGATATCTTCATGGGCCACTGAAAGAAACTGGCCTCCTAGATAGGTCTATTACCTTTAAAAGGGTTTTTCTTCAGCTTTAACAGATACAATAGATTTGGAATGCAAATGAAAAAAATGACAAACCTACAAAAAGAATCAAAACAGTATACAACACTGTCCTCTATCCACAAAACAAATGGATCTTTAAGTGCAACCACACAAAAGAGATGACAAAAGCCTTACATACAGGGTTTTATATATAAAAAAGGAGACACTTTATTCTAAAATCACCACTTAGAAATATAAACATCTTGCACAGAGTAGGAATTTTATTCACTTTAAAAACATGCCAAAAACATATGGGAGATATTTCTGACTTGAGACAATGCTATACTCTTTTTAAAGCATGATATTAAAAAGTACTCGGCAAATTAGGCTACTTACATAAGAGAAATAAATTTAGCTCTTGCCAAAAAGCTTCCAATATAATTTCCAGCAGCCTGCCTGATGATGGCAGGATTACTTGGATCCTGCAAGTTTTTCCAAAGATGTTCCAAAAATGCCTCTGCGAATCCCTATAAAAAGAGAGGGCATCGGTGTGATATTTTTTAATGCCTAAGATAATCTGACTATCAAAATCCCAAGATTTTTACTTCACCAATGTAGGGAAAAGTTCTACTATCTCATAACTATCTCATGGGCTTCATTTTTAAAACACGTTGAGAGAATATCATTAGAAACAAAAGGCACCTCGGGTGTTAAATAATCCAATGGATCCCAAACCTAGCTAAGCATCAAAATCAACCCAGGGCCAGGCACAGTGGCTCACGCCTGTAAATGTAATCCCAGCACTTTGGGAGGCCGAGGCGGGTGGATCACCCAAGGTCAGGAGCTCGAGACCAGACTGGCCAACATGGAGAAACCCTCTCTCTACTAAAAATACAAAAATTAGCCAGGCGTGGTGGCAGGTGCCTGTAATCCCAGCTACTTGGGAGGTTGAGGCAGGAGAATCACTTGAACCCAGGAGGCAGAGGTTGCAGTGAGCTGAGATCATGCCACTACACTCCAGCCTGGGTGACAGAGTGAGACTCCATCTCAAAAAACAAACAAACAAAAAACAACAAAAAATTCAACCTGGGAGGTACAAATTCAATAGGTTTGTGACAGGGCTTTGGAATCCACATATTATAAAAACTCTTCAAGTGATTCCAATGTCAGCCAGAACTAGTGACCAACAATAATTCACATCCCATGGAGCTCCACATGGGCACTCCTGTGAGTGCAAAGCACCTTCCGGTCTCTGGACACACTGAACTCAACCATGAACAGAAATACGGACTAATGTACAGCTGGTATTTGAGTTAATTATGCCAATCATGGAAAAAAACAGACACAGCTTCTCACCAAAGGGTGTAACTTCCAACTTCTCCTAAATAGCGCTGTTCTAAAGCTAGGCACGCCCATGTGGGCAGACTGAATTCAACCTTCTTTCCCATGACCAACACTCTCCTGACCTCTAGGAAGCCACAAAATCGTTGCAGAGAAGGAAAAGCCTTCTATATTCTTTCCCCCACCAAAAAAAAAAAGAAGAAGAAGAAGAAAAGTCAAAGCCTAAAGTTTTTAAAATTCTAGATTAATAAGTTGGTTTGGGCTAGTTACAACTCAACCCTTGGAAAGAATAAAGGAAATACTGTTAATTACCCCATATGAGATTTTAATAGAGAAAGGCTTAAGGGAAGACCACCACCTAGTGACCAAAGGCAGGATGACATTTTCAGAGCACCTAGCTGGGCTGGCAGGCAGCAATCTGTTTTCTCTCCAAGTGTACTGAGAAGGGAACGTGGGCCAGGCACAGTTGTTCACACCTGTAATCCCAACGCTTTGCGGGGCAGGAGGCGGGCAGATCACTTGCGGTCAGGAGTTCACAACCAGTCTGGCCAACATGGTGAAACCCCGCCTCTTCTAAAAACACAAAAATTAGCCAGGCATGGTAATCTGTGGTCCCAGCTACTCGTAAGAAGTAATGCTATAAAGTGTACAAGTGGTAAAATGCAGAAATTAAACAGTTATGCTTTTCCATTAGCCACGCCCTCACAGACAGCATCTGGCTTACAAAAACAAACACTGAAAGTTACAACAACAAAAGTGAAACATACTTCACCAAACCCAAATTCAAAGCCTTGGAAATAGACCAATTATGCTAAGTGCTAAATGACATGGCAGCAAATTACTCATATAAGGAATCGTTTTCAAGTTTGCTAAACTATTTTAATTCTTTCAATCTAAAGCCTTAACAAAGATGAGCAGCACTAGCTGTTTCCACCCTTTGATTATGATAAACTTCATCTCCACTTTCATTAATAAACTGCTAACCATATTAAACAATCCTTCCGTGGAATCTGTCCCACCACAAGTTTGATTTGCTGTTTCTTCAGCATCTTCAATACCCTGCCGGGATGCATTCACCTATAACAAAGGGGGGGGAAAAAAGAATAAAAGGATTTAAAAAATACAACTATGTTATTTTGGGATGGAAATTCATCTGATATACACACGTTCAAGGTGTCCAGATTAGTGCCTTATATCACACCCCAACACAATACACAATTATGGTGCAAGCCTGTAAACTGACCTAGGTCATGAAGGAATTTAAATATAATAAACCAAGCCCCTTTTACTACATACTTATATAAAATCGACAACTATCACATGATGCTCTATGTCAGGTAGCCTCAACAAATTCAACATTTATTCTAGCTCTGATATGGTCTGGCTCTGTGTCCCCACCCAAATCTCACTTTTTTTTTTTTTTTTTTTTGAGGCAGAGTTTTGCTCTTGTTGCCCAGGCTGGAATACAATGGCAAGATCTTGGCTCACCGCAAACTCCGCCCCCCAGGTTCAAGAGATTCTCCTGCCTCAGCCTCCTGAGTAGCTGGGATTACAGGCATGTGCCACTGTGCCCAGCTAATTTTGTATTTTTAGTAGAGATGGGGTTACTCCATGTTAGTCAGGCTGGTCTCGAACTCCTGACCTCAGGTGATCCACCGGCCTCAGCTTCCCAAAGTGCTGGAATTACAGGCATGAGCCACCACGCCTGGCCCCAAATCTCATCTTGAATTGTACTCCTGTAAGTCCCACATGTTGTTGGGGGGGGGACTGGTGGGAGATAATTTGAATCATAGGGTAGGTTTCCCCCATACTGTTCTCATGATAGTGAATAAGTCTCACGAGATCTGATGGTTTTATCAGGGGTTTCCACTTTTACATCTTCCTCATTTTCTCTTGCCGCCACCATGTAAGAAGTGCCTTTCACCTCCCGCCATGATTCTGAGGGCTCCCCAGCCATGTGGAACTGTAAGTCCAATTAAACCTCTTTTTTGGCCAGGTGCAGTGGCTCACGCCTGTAATCCCAGCACTTTGGGAGGCCGAGGTGGATGGATCATGAGGTCAGGAGATTGAGACCATCCTGGCTAACACAGTGAAACCCCATCTCTACTAAAAATACAAAAAATTAGCCGGGCATGGTGGCACGTGCCTGTAATCCCAGCTAATCAGGAGGCTGAGGCAGGAGAACTGCTTGAACCCGGGAGGTGGAGGTTGCAGTGAGCCGAGATCGCACCACTGCACTCCAGCCTGGGCAACAGAGCGAGACACCATCTCAAACAAACAAACAAAAACATCTCTTTTTCTTCCCAGGCTCAGCTATGTCTTTATCAGCAGTGTGAAAATGGACTAATACAATCTCTATGCACAAGACACTCACAGACACATTGTGTAATAAACATATCGTCAATCAATTGAGCAGAAAAATGATGAACTGCAAGCCAAATGTGCATGATGCAATATTTATTTTGGTATATCACCATTCAAATATCTTAACATACCACTCAAACCATGCCATTTTTTATTAACTATGCCTGACCTTCTTTGTAAACATTCTAAAATGTTCCTTAAGTATATACCAGAGAAAGACTATAAAGAGTACATATACAGTTGGCCAGAGAGGTGCAACTCCAAGGGAGCACTGCACCAGTGAGCCCAAGCTCCAGCTCTTCTAAGACCTTGTTCCATCTTCCTGCTTTCCTATAGCATCAATGTTTTCCTCCACCAAAGCTCCTCTCCCCTCAGTCCACAAACCTGCTCACATCTCCCCACTCCTAAACCACGCCTCTTAGCCCTGCTCCATCCCCTCCTTCCACCACAACCCTGCACCAAGGTCTCTAACAGCCCCAATTCTGCTTCCCCACCATCCACATCCTCTCCCGAAATGCAGTTTCTGCGTCTTCACTGACATGGTCCTCCAGAAAGCAACAAAGACTACCTTCTAACCACTAAATCCAAGGACTGTTGCTCTTTTCATCTTTCTAAAAAATGACAGCAGTATCTGATGCTGCTGACCAAACTCCTCCTTCCAGCGGATTCTTCCTGAGCATCCAGACTCTTGGTTTTCCCCATACTTCTGATCACCCTTCTCCTCCCCTGTCCTAAACTGCATCTTTCCAAAGGTTTATGCTCAGGTCCCCATCTGCAGCCACGACTGCCTGTGAGTATTCTCTGGTAGGCTGCCCACCAGCAACTGAACCTGGCCAAGATGGAACTACTCTTCCAACTGCCTCCTCTTCATATTTTTTTTTTCTTTTTTTTTGAGACAGAGTCTTGCTCTGTCACCCAGGCTGGAGCAGAGTGGCACAATCTGGGCTCACTGCAAGCTCCACCTCCCAGGTTCACACCATTCTCCTGCCTCAGCCTCCCGAGTAGCTGGGACTATAGGTGCCCACCACCATACCCGGCCAATTTTTTATATTTTTAGTGAGACAGAGTTTCACCATGTTAGCCAGGATGGTCTCGATCTCCTGACCTCGTGATCCGCCCGCCTCGGCCTCCCAAAGTGCTGGGATTACATGCGTGAGCCACCACACCCAGCCTCCTCTTCATATTTCTAACTACCATTAATGGCAACACCAAGATTCGATTCCACAGGGAGCAACTATTGAAGGATTCCTTTCCCTTACTGTCTGCCTCCCCTCCTCCAAACCAGTCTCAAGGACCAGTTCACCTTTCCTCACAATGTCACTAGAATCTACCACTTCCTTTCATTCCCACTGCACCTTAGTGCGGGCCTCCTTAAACAAAGTTTTAACTGTTTATAATTATAATCTGCCCTTAAGAAAGGCCAAACAGGAAAAATCACTTCCGTAGGAATCCCTTCCTGACCCCACTGTGATTCTATCAGGTTCTCTAACTCATAATGTATGTTTCATTCATGGCATTTTCCACAACCATACTTTTACATTTGGATAACTATGTATTTAACGCCTTGTTCTCCAATCATGAGAAGGAACTGTCTACAACTCCCAGCACATGCACAGATGGAGTTCAAGACACATTCAAAGAAAGGAAGCAAAGAATGGTGCTAGTGGTTTCTTTTCTTTTCTTTTCTTTTTTTTTTTTTGAGATGGAGTCTCGCTCTGTCGCCCAGGCTGGAGTGCAGTGGCACGATCTCAGCTCACTGCAAGATCTGCCTCCCGGATTCAAGCAATTCTCCCACCTCAGCCTCCTGAGTAGCTGGGATTACAGGCACCCACCATCATGCCTGGCTAATTTTTTTTTTTTTTTTTTATAGAGACGGGGTTTCGCCATGTTGGCCAGGCTGGTCTTGAACTCCTGACCTCAGGTGATCTGCCTGCCTCGGCCTCCCAAAGTGCTGGGAATAAAGGCATGAGCCACCATGCCTGGCCAAGTGGATTCTTTTCTATCACTGACTATTGTTTCCACATACTGTGATTATAACAAATTCAAGTCAGTAAATGAAAATAAAAAAATAAAAAATAAAAAAAAGAAAATAAAAATAGATTACTCAATACTTACATCCAGCTTGAGTAGTTTTTCAATAATAAGCTCCAGAATTTCATGCCTCAAGGTTGGAAAATATACACTAATCCTTAGTAAGTTATGAACGTAACATTCCTAAAGGAGAAAACGTAAGATAAAACATTTCAACAGAGAATAAATATTTCACAGTTATGTAAGAAAAACATCAATTACATGACCTTTAGTTTCAAATATTGAAAAAGAAAAAAACAGACTATCCAGCAATACAAAAACTATACTGTTTCTACATGTATTATGTTCGGTATAATCATTTCAATTATCCCCAGTAAATGAAATTTTTAATTTGCATAACTATAGGTTTTTAAGTAGCTGTATTGATAAAACTCATATATCATACAATCACCAACTTAAAGTATACAATTTAAGTTTTTAATATATTCAGTTATGTGACCGTCAACATAATCAATTTCAGAACATTTATTTTTCTTTTAGAGACAGGGTCTTGCTCTCTCTCTCAGGATGAGGTACAGTGGGTGCAATCATAGCTCACTGCAACCTTGAATTCCCGGGATAAGCAATCCTTCCTCCTCAGCCTCCCTAGTAGCTAGAACTACAGGTGCACACCACCACATGAGGTTAATTCTTCCTTTTAGGGAGACATTTTCTCACTATGTTGCCCAGGCTGGTCTTCAACTCCTGGATCTTCCCACTTCAGCCTCCCGAAGTGCTGTGATTATGGGCATAAGCCACTGCACCCAGCCAGCAATTTTGTAACATTTTAATCACTCTAAAAAGAAATCCTACATCCATTAGTGCACCCCTAAAAAATGAAGACCTTGGCAACCACTAGTCTTTCTATGAATCTGCCTCTTTGAGACATTTCATATAAATGGAGTCATATAATACATGTTTTTAGGGTTCAATCATGTTGTAACATGTAAACCATTCCTCTCATATCAATGGAGTCATACACAGTTTGTGGCATGTTTTTAAGGTTCAATCATGTTGTAACATGTAAACCATTCCTTTCCTATCAATGGAGTCATATAATACACAGCCTTTTGGCATGTTTTTAGGGTCCAATCATGTTGTAACATATAAAGCATTCCTTTTCATTGCTGAGTAATATTCCATTGTACCATGTTTTGTCATCTGTTCATCAGTTGACAGACATTTGAGTTGCTTCTACTTGAGGCTATTATGGATGCTGCTGCTATGAACATCCATGTACAAGTTTTTCTGTGGACATATATTTTCATTTCTCTTGGGTATAAACCCAGAAATGGAACTGCTGAGTCACGTGTTAATTCTACATTTAACCTTGAAGAAATGCCAGGCTATTTTCCAAAACGGCTGCACCATTTTACATTCTCACAGCAACATATGACAGTTCCAACGTTCCCATTTCTCCATATCCTTGTGAACACTTGTTACTGTCTTCTCGTTCTGATTATAGCCATCCTTGTGGGCATTAAGTGAAATCATTTCCCTGATGGCTAATGATGTTGAGCTTCTTTTCATGTGTTTTGCAGAAATGCCTATTCAGATCCTTTGCCCTCTTCAGTTGGGCTATTTGCCCTTTTATTATTCAATTATAAGAGTTCTTTACATATACAAGTCCATTACCAGACATAAAATTTAGAAATATTTCCTCCCATTATTTGGGGATTCTTTTCATCTTCTTGAAGATGTCCTATGAAGCATAACAACGTTTAATTTTGAAGTACAATTGATGCATTTTTTCTTTGGTTGCTTGTGCTTAGGCATCAAATCTGGAAATTACTGCCTAATCCAACATTATGAAAATGTACTCGTTTTCTTCTCAGAGTTTTACAGTTTTTACACTTCATGTAGGGCTTTTATTGAGTTCATTTTTGTATATGGATATCCATATGCTTCACTCTTTTGCATGTTCATATCCACTTCTGCCAGCAGCATTTGTTGAAATGACTATTCTCCCCTATTCAATTGTCTTGAACAACTGGTTAGTGTATGTTAGTCTTCTGTCCCGTAACCATGCTGAACTCATTTATTATCTCTAAAATTTCTTGTGTGTGTGTAAACTTCTTAGAATGACATATAAAATCACCATGCAAAAGAGAGTTTACGCCTTCCTTTCCATCTGGATGCTTTTAATTCTTTTTCTTGCCTAACTGCCTTGGCTAGACAAGCAGCAAGAGCGGAAATCCTTGTTTTGTTCTTTGTCTTAGGAAAAAACTTTTGGTCTTTCACCACTGAATATGATGTTAGCTGTGGGTTTTTCAGATGCCCTTTATCAGGTTGAGAAAATTTCCTTCTGTTTTTCTCATAAAGGGATATTGGTGTTTGTCACACACTTCTGCATCTACTGAGATGATTATGTGGTTTTTGTCCTTTGTTCTATTGCTACAAAATATTTTATTAATTCATTTTCAGGTACTAACTCAATCTCAGCCGGTCACGGTGGTTCACGCCTCTAATCCCAACACTTTGCGAGGTGGAGACGGGTAGATCGCTTGAGGTCAGGAGTTCAAGACCAGTCTGGCCAACATGGCAAAACCCCATCTCTACCAAAAACACAAAAATTAGTGGGGTGTGGTGCCCCATGTCTATAGTCCCACCTACTTGGGAAGCTGAGGTGGGAGAGTCACTTGAACCCTGGAGGCAGAGGCTGCAGTGAGCTGAGATGGTGCCACTGCACTCCAGCCTGGGTGACAGACAGAGACTGTCCCCCCACCCCCGAAAAAAAAAATCAATCTTGCATTCCTAACATCAGTCGCACTTGGTCATGGTACGTAATTCTTTTTGTATGCTACTAGATTCGGTTTTCTACTAAGGCAACCACTATTAATTATTAAAAACTGCACAGATGATCTGAACATTGTACAAAAACTTAAGCAGAATTCTTCTATGGAAGGCTTTGTTTTCAGGTTAAAATAAGGCATGTTCACAATTAGTAATACATGAACTATTATCTTCTAGTAATTCTTGCCCGTATGAGCATAAAGCCACTACAGATATTCCGGAAATGAACTCAGACCTTGACTTGCACATAGTAATAACAGAAAAAGGCACTGCGAATCCCCAATAGCCGCTTTATAAGAAAGGAATCTGAGTCAAATTCTTAGACATCAGTTTAAAGTCTAGAAGACAAAGTAACCTTTAAGAAAAAGACCTAACATCAGCCGGGCACGGTGGTTCACCAATCCCAGCACTTTGGGAGGCCGAGGCAGGCAGATCACAAGGTCAGGCGTTCGATAACAGTGTGGCCAATATGGTGAAACCTTGTCTCTACTAAAAATACAAAAATTAGCTGGGCATGGTGGTAGGTGCCTGCAGTCCCAGCTAATGGGGAGGCTGAGGCAGGAGAATTGCTTGAACCCGAGAGGCAGAGGTTGCAGTGAGCCAAGATGACGCCATTGCACTCCAGCTTGGGCGATAGAGTGAGACTCGGTCTCAAAAAAGAAAAATAAAAATAAAGACAGAAAAAGAAAGAAAAAGACCTAATATCATCTAAAATGAAATCATACAAACAACTTTTCCATGATGTTCTCAATGAAAAGATTTCTTACCAGTGTTCTCTCTGATTTTCGAACAAATGGAAATTTTTCCACCAGTATTGGCATGAGAAACCACGGTGCCCTATTTTTAAAAAATTAAATCAATCCATGTTGACTTTACTTTCTAGAAAAGGAATAAAAAGGAAAACTACCATTCTAAAAGCAAATATCGATAGACATAGGAGGCAAACAGGAACCCTTACCTCAAAGAACTGGAACTTTTTTTGTTTTTTGAGACGGAGTTTCGCTCTTGTTGCCCAGGCTGGAGTGCAGTGGCACAATCTCGGCTCACTGTAACCTCTGCCTCCCGGGTTCAAGCGATTCTCCTGCCTCAGCCCCCCAAACAGCTGGGATTACAGGCATGCGCCACCACGCCCACCTAATTTTGTATTTTTAGTAGAGACGGGGTTTCTCCATGTTGGTCAGGCTAGTCTCGAACTCCCGACCTCAGGTGATCCGCCCGCCTCAGCCTCCCAAAGTGCTGGGATTACAGGTGTGAGCCACCGCGCCCGGCCAGAACTGGAACTTACAATGTATAGCTTCTGAGAAAGTCTATAACAACTTAGAGAAAATAAGCTTCTGTTAACTCTGATATCAACAGCAAATCAAAGAGGGAGCTTCTCTCCCACAGAAACATAACAGCACTTTTGCTGACATTTCCCACTACACATGTATATTATTTTTAAAAGAAGAAAAAATAATCAAGTTGGATTTTTTTAAGTTAACAAATAATCAACAGACAGAGGGAACTAGAAATCCACCCCTCCAAAAGAAACCCACAAACCTGAAAAGCTTTTCTTAGAAGTGCAATTTTTATTCATATGGCATGACACAAACACACCCAGGGGTTTCTCACTGAAAAATTTTGGATAGCATATCTGTTGAAGATAAAAACAAAATTCCAACCACCATACAAAATTGGGGGAGAATCTGCATACGAACTTTGAAAAACAATTAAAGAGAATAAATAGAAAATGGAAATGCCACTTTTTGTAGAATGTAATGTTTCCTCAAGTGGATACAAAAAAAAAAATGCAATGTAAGACTCAAGCTTTAATACTATTAACATTTTATAATTTTTACTAATTGATTACAATTTTCTTGAGAATTAAACATTCAAAATAAGGAAAAGTATACTCATGATGGTACATATCTTGCTATTATTTGCAAGGCTCTGTGATATGTGTCAAAATTTGCAGGAAGATCTGAAAGAAGAAAAGTTCAGAGTATGAGCATCAAAACAAAACTGAAGGGCGACATGCTTGAAACTAAAAATAAATGCTGGCCGGGCACAGTGGCTCACGCCTGTAATCCCAGCACTCTGGGAGGCCGAGGTGGGTGGATCACCTGAGGTCAGGAGTTCGAGACCAGCCTGACCAATATGGTGAAACCCCATCTCTACTAAAAATACAAAAATTAGCCGGGCATGGTGGCAAACGCCTGTAGTCCCATCTACTCAGGAGGCTGAAGCAGGAGAATCACTTGAACCTAGGAGGTGAAGGCTGCAGCGAACCAAGATCACACCACTGTACTCCAGCCTGGGCAACAGAGCGAGACTCTGTCTCAAAAAACAAACAAACAAACAAAAAGTGACATACTTGAAGCTAAAAACACATGCTAACCAAAACGGAATAATTTATCAGAGAAATAATAATTTCAAGACTTTTCTCCACCAGCATCAATGAAAATTAAATGGACTAATTATATAAATAATGCATTCAGGACAACTGACTGCATATCAATGGTAAATATAACAAAAAGATTACATCAAAAGTTGTCATTTGTTGCAGTCTACTTATTAGAATAGATGCCAGGTATTCTGTGCTTTACTTTTTTTTTTTTAAAGAAGACAGAGTCTTGCCACCAGGCAGAGCTTGAACTCCTGGGCTCAAGCAATCCACCCACTTAAGCCTCCCAGGTAGCTGTGACTAAAGACACACACTACCCTGCCTAGTTCTACTTTAAGCCTTTTTTAAGAAAATATTTGAAAAAAAATGTTTTTTTGCAGAGACAAGGTCTCACTATGTTGCCCAGGCTGGTCTCAAACTCTTGGCCTCAAGTGATCCTCCCATCTTGGCCTCCCAAAATGCTGGGATTATGGGTGTAAGCTACTGTGCCCAGGCTTTAAACCTTTTTATACTTACTATCATCTTCATCATCAGAATCTGAAACATCTACATCGCCTTCCTTAATGATCACTCAGGCTTTTGAGGGAAAAAGAAAATATGTTGTTCTGTCATTGATCTAGACAATGAATGGCTATACAAAAAAAGTTATTGACCTAGACAATGAACAGCTATAAAAAAAGTTATTTTTCCATAATCCAAAGTTAGCCCAATGATTAATTAAATGCACAATCTGAAAAAAAGTAATGCAACTTTATAGTTTTTAAATGGCTAAAAATTCCTAGATTTCACCAGGAGTTCAATAAAGCAAGTTATAATTCATCAAACTCACAGCAACAAATGAATCTAGACACCTCCATAGGGGTCATTACGGGGAATATATGTCTACCAGACCTGGTGCCAATATGCATCTGGAATCTTCCATGGTAGCAGTCTCTCATATATAAGGGGAAGGTGGTATTTTAACAAAGAAGTATTAAAAAGAAAAGAAAAGAAAATTCCAAGCAAGCAAAGAGTAATGACTTACGAGGCACAAAATGGGAAGCAATCATGCTGAGACACGGTCTGAGGAAAACAGTCTATGCTGATACAAGATTACCAAGAAAAGCCAAATACTCTTCCACTACTGTTTGACTTCTATTCAACCAAGGCAATCTCTAGAGTGGGGGAAGAAAGATAAAAGCAGCATGTTATTAATATAACATATACTATTACCAAAGTTCTGAATTACATACTTGACAGTAAAATAAATGGTGAACTTACCAATATAATACTGATAAGTTGCTCAAAGTCTTTTGTCAAGTACATGACAGAAGAACGGAATTCTAGCAGCCAGTTGATGATCTGGTCATCCTTAAGTTAAACAAAGAGTACTTTCAAAATCACAAATCCTCTAAGATAACAGAAATTTACAGCTATCTTATATCAATCATTTATCAAGAATAGGTTGGGGGGAAAAGGTCACAAACTTGGAAGGAAATCAAAACTGGGTATTAAAACAGAAAAAGATGTCACAATAAACTTAATCGTTTTAAGAAAGTAATCTAGTAACTCTAATACACAGGAGAAAGACTTAAATGCAATACTTCAGCCTGATCACTTTTGTTTGCCCTGAAAAAGTGAAATCACCTCAAATGTTGACACCTGGGACTTTTAAAAACTGCAGAATTCTAGCAGATTGAAATATTAGAAGATCACAAAGGAACAATAGCTACCTCTATTTCCTCTATATTCAAGCTGACCAGGAAGCATGCTGATAAAATTCAGTCTAGGCTGATCAATTGGGGTCATGAATAAACATAACTTTTCTAAACCAAATCTGTGGCTGAGTTTAAATATATTATGATGTGTTTGTTCTGTATAAATGATAGCCCCATTCCTCCATGAAATATTTTTCAGGCAATCAAATTACTGTTCATAGTAATTGTTAGTGACATGAGAAGAACTGCTAAATTTGAAACGCAAGGTATAAAATACAGTGTCAATTATGTAAAATATTACTATATTAATTATATTCATGCATATATACTGCACAGGACAAAAACCATTAAGAAAAAGCCCCTAATTTGTGGAAGGCTTAGACATATAAATAAAAGCAACACAAGGTCATCATACCTACAGGGATATTCATATGGAGTTATCATTTAGTGAGAATACACCATATGCCAGGCATGGTGCCTGACACTCCGCATATATATCTTCTTCTAATCCTAAGAACTCTGCAAGATGTTTAGTTATTCCCATTTTGCTGTTCAGGAAGCTGAGGCTAAGAACGATTAATAAGCAATCTGCCCAACCAAGAGGCCAGTAAAGAAGCAGGTCCAAACCCATCTGTCTCGGTCAAGGCTATCCTCTGTCCACCATCCCACATGCCTCCCTATATGCGGAGAAGAAGCTGTCCCCTTTTCCCCACCTTAATTCAGCTACTGAGTGCTTACTATGCCATATCCATGTGTCAAACTCCCACAGATCAACCATTTTCTGATGAAATCCCAAGTAGCCTGGCAGTAAAATAAAGTAAAACCACAACTCATTTGTACTATGGTAATTTCATATGTCCAAAACTGTTAAGGATAACATTAACGGTAGCTCACTAAGGCCAAAGGCATGTAGAAAACAAGCTAAGTTAGTGTGTAAATAAAATAATCTATCCTATCTCTTTTCCACTAAAAAGACTGCAACAAAACTATAAGGATAACATTTAAACTGTACCATTTTTAAAAGTAAATCAGGCTGGGGGTGGTGGCTCACACCTGTAATCCCAACACTTTGGGAGGCCGAGGTGGGTGGATCACCTGAGGTTGGGAGTTCGAGACGAGCCTAACCAACATGGAGAAACCCCGTCTCTACTAAAAATACAAAATTAGCTGGGCGTGGTGGTGCATGCCCATAATCCCAGCTACTCGGGAGGCTGAGGCAGGAGAATTACTTAAAAAACTCGGAGGCAGAGGTTGCAGTGAGCCAAGATCATGCCACTGCACTCCAGCCTGGGCAACAAGAGCAAAACTATGTCTCAAAAAGAAAAAAAAAAAAGTAAATCAGTTGCAGACTTTGATGCTTTAGTACTGAACTATTATTATTTCTACTAGCAGGCAGGAACAGTGGCTCATGCCTGTAATCCCAGCACTTTTCGGAGGCCAAGGCAGGAGGAAACTGCTTGAGCCCAGGAATTTGAGACCAGCCTGGGCAACATAGGGAGACCTCGTCTCTAGAAAAATTAGCCAGGCATGGTAGCACATGCTTGTGGTCCCAGGTGCTCGGGAGCCTGAGGTGGGAAGATTGCTTGAGCCTGGGAGGTTGAGGCTGCAGTGAGCCATGATCGGGCCCATTACACTCCAGCCTGGGTGACACAGCGAGACCCTGTCTCAAGACGAAAAAAGTTCTACTTGCAACACTCCACACAACTAGTGCAATTCTTGGTATGTCAAAATACCAAGAATGAGAACTGCTGATACAAAATACAGTGGAACACAAAGAAAATGTCCCTTTGTATCTGGGAAAGGAGGCAGGGGTCAGGAAAAGCTTTAAAGAGAAAGTGATGCTTCAGCTGTCTTTAAACAGTAACACAGTTGAGTCTTTTCTGGAAGTTCTGCTTCTTACAGAAGGAAAAGTATGTTTTCAGAAAACTGAAAAATGTTCAGTATGGCTGGCATGTATAGTGACCAAGCCAACAGATAATAAATCTGGGGAACAAAGAAGCACCAAATAGACCATGGAGGGCCTTGTAAACCAGATCTGTAACTAGAGAGATCTGGAAGTGTGGGAAATAGACTCAATGAAGGAACAACCATGTGCTTAGAGAGAACCAGGGAAAGCTCCATGAAAGATGGAGCCCAGCCAAGAGTGGACATGATAAGTTTGGAGCATCTATGATGATTCTGGGTAAATGCATCTAACAGACAGTTAAGAAACAAGTCTAGGCCGGGTGCAGTGGCTCACGTCTATAATCCCAGCACTTTGGGAGGCTGAGGCGGGTGGATCACTTGAGGTCAGGAGTTCGAGACCAGCCTGGCCAGCATGGTGAAACCCCAAATCTACTGAAAATACAAAAAAATTAGCTGGGCGTGGTGGCACAGCTACTCAGGAGGCTGAGGTGGGAGGATGGCTTGAACCCAGGAGGCAGAGGTTGCAGTGAGCCAAGATCATCCCACTACACTACAGCCTAGGTGACAGAGCAAGACTCTGTTCTGCCCATCCCCAAAAATGAAAATGAAATAAGTCTGGAGCCCACAAGAGCAATCTTGGCTACAGACACAAATATATTAGGACACAGGTAGATTTCAAAGCCATGAAGGGAGATGAGGAGATCACACAGAAGAATCAACAGAGTGAGAAAAGAGTCAAGTTTTGAAGCCCAATCAACACCAAATTTAAGATCAAGAACCTATCGAGAGATACTAGAGCTTAAAGGATCACTGGCCGGGTGTGGTGGCTCACACCTCTAATCCTAGCACTTTGGGAGTCCAAGGCGGGTGGATCACGAGGTCAGAAGATCGATACCATCCTGGCTAACATGGTGAAACCCCATCTCTACTAAAAATACAAAAAATTAGCTGGGGGTGGTGGCGGGCGCGTGTAGTCCCAGCTACTCGGGAGGCTGAGGTAGGAGAATCACTTGAACTCGGGAGGTGGAGCTTGCAGTGAGCCAAGATTGCGTCATTGCACTCCAGCCTGGGCGACAGAGCAAAAAAAAAAAAAAAAAAAAAAAGAGAGAGATTAAAGGATCAGAAGACAGGAGGATCAGAAACACTGAAGTTTTAAGAAGTGGGTGGCCAACAGTGTCGGCTGATACAAGGAATACAAGGCTTAAAAAAGTAAGTCCACTGAGGCTGGGCTCAGTGGCTCACACTTGTAATCCCAGCACTTTGGGAGGCCGAGGCAGGCAGGTCACCTGAGGTCAGGAGTTCAAGACCAGCCTGGCCAACATGGTGAAACCCCGTTTCTACTAAAAATAAAAAAATTAACCAGGCATGGTGGCGGGTGCCTGTAATCTCAGCTATTTGGGAGGCTGAGGCAGGAGAATTGCTTGAACCCAGGAGGCAAAGGTTGCAGGGAGCCCATATCACACCACTGCACTCCAGCCTGGGTGACAAGAAGGAGACTTTGTCTCAAAAAAAGTCCACTGAAATCAGCATGTAAAAAAAAAACATGGGTAATCTGTCAGGGTAATTACTACAGTGATAAGAACAGTGGACTTAAATGTGAGTGAGAAATGATACAGCACAGTCAGCTGGAACAAAAACAACAGATGACAATTACTGCCCTTACTTTGAGTCAGAGACTGTTCTAAGTGCTTCTTGCATATTAGCTCATTGAATCCTTGTTAAGTATTTCCATGTTTAAAGCCAGGCACAGTGGCATGCACCTATAGTCCCAGCTTTTTAGAAGGCTGAAGAGAAAGGATCATTTGAGGCCAGGAGTTCAAGGCTGTAGTGCACTATGATCACACCTGTGAATAGCTAGAGCAACACAGCAAGACCACATCTCTTAAAAAACAAAACACTCCATATTTTTTAAATCTCTATTGTTTTCTTGGTTTCACACAGTGGAAAATAGAGGCAGAGAGGTTAAAACAATTTGCTCAAGATCACACACTGGATAATAAAATTGGAATTTCATTCCAGGCAATCTAACTACCACTGCCATGGTAATAAACCATTCTCTTCAAAACTGGGCAGTAAAGGAAGAATGGTGAAACAAAATGTATTAAGGTTTTACTACATGATAGGTGTATCTCGAACCTGGAAATGCTGAAACAGTGGTTTGTTTTTTTTTTTTGGTTTGTTTTAGCTTTAAAGAGACAAAAGAGTTGCATGCAGCATGGAGGAAAGAGGTAGTAATCTAATAGAAAGGAAGCATTAGAGCAGGGTTTCCCAGCCTCAACACTGTTGTCATTTGGGGCTGGATCACTCTTGGTTATGGGAGGCTGCCCTGTGCACTGTGAGATGTTTAGCAGCATCTCTGTCATTCACCCACTAGATGCCAGTAGCACCCTTTCCTCCCAGTTGTGACAAAAATATCTGCAGCCATCACCAAATGTCTTCTAGGGGGTAAAACTGTCCCTGGTTGAGAACCACCAGATTAAAGTAAGGGAGGACCATGGAGAGAGCAAGTTCTGCAGAACAGAATGGGACCCAAAGAGCAAACTATGTCTGTATAAAGTGGCAATAATTTTGCTAATGATCAAACACAAAATTAATTACCTTTATGTCTGGATCTAACAGCTGGTTCTTCAACAACTCAAAGTCATTTGTTTCACCCTTAACAAGAAGGGGAAAGAATTAAGTTATGCTTTTGTTTCCTGTTTAGTATCAACAGCAAGACTTTTAACCGTACTTTAACATCAGATGAAATTATAAAAGGAACACTAACTTTCACATGTCAATTGCGGATTATAAAATCATGACTACAAAAATTTAAACACTCATGTTAGTGCAGCCAGAGGGCTTGGAAAAAGGAAAATGATAAACTACATTTAGCTATACTTCTGTATTGACATTTGAATATAATAGTTGATACTCCTGCGAATTCTCAAAAAGCATGAGGGGAAAAAACAGCCAGCTCTAATGATCTAATTCAGGAGGATCTAAAAAAGTATTCACTCAAATATGGATACAAATGGATATTTCATATAAACATACGGTTACTTAACATTTTCCCTCTACTGCTGAGATATAGTAGAAATGCTTCTAAACTACCACAAAAACAAAAATCCCTATTCAGAGAACCGGTTTACTGTCCCAAAGTAATGCTTAGGTAAGTTCCTCAAAAAATAAAATGCTGTAGGCCAGGCATGGTGGCTCACATCTGTAATCCCAGCACTTTGGGAGGCCAAGGCGGGTGGATCACAAGCTCAGGAGTTTGAGACCAGCCAGGCCAACATGGTGAAACCCCGTCTCTATTAAAAAAATTAAAAAATTAGCCAGGTGTGGTGGTGCGTGCCTGTAACCCCAGCTATTCAGAAGACTGAGGCAGGAGAATTGCTTGAACCTGGGAGGTGGAGGATGCAGTGAGCTGAGGTCACGCCACTGCACTCCAGCCTGGGTGACAGAGGAAGACTCCAGCACAAATAAATAAATAAATAAAATGCTGTAATTGTTTTTAATTCTAGCACTTGCTAAAGTTAAAAGATGCTTTGTAAATAAAGCATTTGAAGAGGTGAAACCTCAGTAAAGACATTATTACTCTCTCATTATTACCTGTGAAATGGGCCAAGGTGGGGGAAAAAAAGGACACTATTACTCTAATTTTGCACTGACGGCATCATGCTATTATTAAATATTTGATTTCAACTGGTATCTTAATTAATCTTGCTATTTCTATTGGTCTTTAGTATAACAGCAATAGTTGTATTCTGACCTGACCAAAAGCAAACCTCACACATTATCTCCTCTTACCTTTTTGTACTTCAGCAAGACTTCTGTCACAGTTCCACCAAACCGAACAGTTTTTCTTGGGGGAGAATTGAAAAAATCATTCTCTAATGCACGCATATTTGAAATCCTGTGGAACCAAGATTAACAAGCTATTAAGTTCATGAAAATAATAAAAATTATAATAGCCAACCTTTATTGAACCAACATAATTCAGTGGGACTATTGTTAAGGCCTCTTTACTGGTCTCCCTGCTTCCACTCTTAACCAACAATCCCTCCTTTGCTCAGCAACCAATAACTGTCTTCCCACTGCACTTACAGTAACAATCCAAATCTCTCAGTGTGGTCTTTAAAATCCTACATTAATCTGGCCCCCGCCTACCTCTCTCACCTCATCTCCAACAACTTGTTTTACTACAGCCATCATGTCTTTTCTGCTCTTCAAACAAGCCAAGCTGTTTCTCATTTCACTTACTGTTCACTCTATTGGAAATACTCTTTTCCCAAATCTCTACGTGGCTGGATTTTTTTTTTTTTTTGAGATGGAGTCTTGCTCTGCTGCCCAGGCTGGAGTGCAGTGGTGTGATCTCAGCTTAACTGCAACCTCCATCTCCGGGTTCAAGCAATTCTCCTGCCTCAGCCTCCTGAGTAGCTGGGATTACAGGCACCTGCCACCACGCCTGGCTAATTTTTATATTTTCAGTAGAGACGAGGTTTCGCATGTTGGCCAGGCTGGTCTCGAACTCCTGACTTCAGGTGATCCGCCCACCTCGGCCTCCCAAAGTGCTGGGATTACAGGCGTGAGCAACCGCGCCCGGCCTAGATTTTTGTCTTCATTCAAGTAGAAGCTGAAATGACAGATGTCTTCCCAATGAGAAATCTCGAACACTCCTTCTCTCCCTTCTCCCTCCCCCATTACCTTGTTGTATAACTGAAATCATCGTGTTCGTTTATTTATTGGCCTGTGTACTGCCTTCCCACCCTATGCTGTAAGCTCTGTAGAAAGCAGGGACATTAGTGTCTTTGGATAAACCACTGTCCCCAGTGTTTAACACAGTAAGCAGGAGCTCGATAAATATTAGGAATCATATTACGCTAATTGTTTTACAAGGTTTGCTTCACTTACACGTAGTAAATTAATGAAAAAACATAGCATCCTAATGACTCTGAAAGTTAAACGCCAAGA